>NW_025791756.1:629074-943611 GCF_000001405.40 Homo sapiens
CTTGCAGGGATTCTGATTCAGAGGGCTCAGGTGGGGCCTGGAATGTGTTTGTTAACATGACTCAGATGTGCAGTCAATTTGGGGACTCACTGACAGCATTGACCTTACAGTTTATGGGATGATTCTTTCTGTTTTGCTGATGAAGAAACTGAGGCACACAGAGTCTGTAACTTGCCCAAGTTCCCCTTGTTGTAAGTCCTGGAGCCAGATCTCAGGTGGACCAGTGCTTCTCTCCCCTATACCTCATTTCTGAGAAAAAGGAAATCTTCTGGAATTTGACTTCTTTCATCTAACACATTTCCTCACAACATGCAGCCAGCATCATATTTTGGCCACTTACTATTAAAGTGAGATGCTTTTTTTTTTTTTTTTTTTTTGAGACAGGGTCTTATTCTGTCACCCAGGGTGGAGTGCACTGGTGATTATAGATCACGGCAATCTTGAACTTCTGGGCTCAAGCGATCCACCTGCCTCAGCTTTCCAAGTAGTTGGAACTCTAGGCACACATCACCATTTCTGGCTAATTTTATATTTTTCATAGAGACAAGGTCTTGTTATGTTGCTCAGGCTGGTTTTGAACTTCTGGCCTCAAGCGATCCTCCCACCTAGGCCTCCAAAAGTGCTGGGATTACAGAAGTTAGCCACTGAACCTGGCCCTGAAATGCTTTTACTTTCTTTTTTTTTAAATGAAAATACTGGACATGGAGATGTGGAAAGACACCTTGCTTTATTACTTTTGTTGTTATTATTATTTCTACAGTAGAATTTATACATCACAAAATTCACCATTTTTAAGCACACATTTCAGTGTCTTTTACCATATTCCAAAACTTTCGCAACCATCGCCACTACCTAATTCCAGAATATTTTCATAATGCCAAAAAGCATGCCTGTACCTATGGGCAGACACTCTCCAATTCCCCCCTTCTTGCGCTCTCTGACAACCACTAATCTACCTTCTCTATATATTGATGTACTTGTTCTGGGCACTTCCTCTATATGGAATAACAAAGTGTGGTATTTTCTATCTGCTTCTTAGAATATTGTTCTCAAGTTTCATCCTTTCTAGCCTGCGTCAGTACTTCAACTTTTTATGGCCAGATAATATTCCACTATATGGTTATACCACATTTTGTTTATTCATCAACTCATGGTGGTTTAAGATGTTTCCACTTTTTAACTATTAGGAATAATGCTGCTGTGAACAGCTTTGTACAGGTTTTTGAGTGAACATCTGTTTTTCATTTTCTTGGTTATAAACCTAGGAGTGCAATTGCTGCATCATATGTCACTTTATGTTTCACTTTTTGAGGAACTCACACACTGTTTACTAACTTCAGTAGCTACATCATTTTAGATTCCCAATAGTAATATATGAGAATTCCATATTCTCCATCACTTTTGAAACATGTGTTGTCTTTATTGTTTTCTTAAGTCATACTGCTGGGTGTGAAGTGGTATCTCATTTTGGTTTAAATTTACATTTTCCTAATGACGAAAAACATTGAACATCTTTGCATGTGCTTCTTGGCCATTTGTGTGTTTCCTTTAGAGAAACCTCTACTCACAGCTTTTTTTCCCCATTGTTAAATGTGGTTGTCGTTTATTGCTCAGTTATATGAATTCCTTATATACTCTAGGTACTAGACCTGTGTCAAACATACAATTTGGAAATAGTTCTCCCATTATGTGGATTATCTTTTCACTTCCTTGACAGTGTCCTTTGAAGCATACAAGTTTTTTATTTTAATGAAGTCCATTTATCTATTTTTCCGTTGTTTGTGCCTACTTAAAAAATGTCTAATCCAAAATCACAAAGATTTGTACCTAGGTTTCCTTCAAGACATCGTCTTTTGAATGAGAACTTTCCTGGGTTTTAGAGGAGGGTGGACATTGTTTATTGATGCCTCCTGTCCATTACCGATGTTTCTCCTGATTGTTATTCATATGCTCACCACCCCTCCATGGAGCATCCATGGCCTGTGACAGAGCTCTGGGGACTGATATCCTTCCACTGACTTTGGCGCTGGTGAGAGCCCTGGTCATGTGATTCAGCTTGGCCTTAACCCGACCCAGTTGCACGTATTCCTCAGGCCCTTTAGAGTTGAAGTCGAGACCTCTCTGAGAACGCTTGCCAGCCCATGCTCTTCTAAGGCTGGAGCAAACTTCCTCCATCTATTCCAGACAGAGGGGACTGCAGGGGTTGGACTCACTCAAGATATCTCTGGTGTTAGAAAGAAGACCTGTTTCAGGCTTTGGGGAAGATTGTTCAATATGAACTAGGTCCTCTCTAATTATTTTTACCGTATGTGTGACTTCTTTCTAGAAACAAGGGAAGAATATTTATGTTAGAACATTTTGTCTATTCTTTGTCAATTGTTGTTTATCTACAATTTTAACATGGATAAAGGAGAGTTCAGTGTCAATATATTCTTAACAACTAATTACGGCTCATGTCCACCGCCATGCGATCATATTTAAATCTGTCAACTATCCTGTTACTTAGGTATTATCCTGTTCCTGATGAGAAAACAAACTCAGAAAGATTGCAAAATTTCCCTAGGTCACAAAACTAGTGAGGAGAGGAGTAAGAATTAGATATCCGTTCCTTTTGGCCTTCAAAGCTAACCTTGTACCATTAGATCAAACTGATTTACATACTTTTGCTGGAATTAGTCTCAGACTTGTGGTTCTCACTTGATTTTCCCAAGGAAACAGTGTGCCACTTTAATATCGTTTCAAACTTTGAAATTTAAAACTCTTTTTATTATACTTTTTTGTCTTTGTTCTATTCCGTTGCTTTTGGTTTCTTCTCAACGGATCCCTCTTATTTATATGCTAAATATTTGTTACCTATTTTCTGTCAATTTTCACCTTTTTGAGTGTTTGTTATCTGTCTGTTGTATGCTAACAGTTCTTCACTGAGGTAAAATTTGCGTAGAGTATACTGCAAAAAAACCTAAAGGCACAGCTTAATAAATTTTAATATAATTATAATTGTAAAGTAACACCCAGTTAAAGACAGAGAACATTTTCCCCCATGCCACAAAGTTCTGATGTGGTCCTTGCCAGTCAATACTCATCCCCCAAATGAAGACTATATTCTGAATGTTGACACTGCCTTAGCCCCTTTGTGTTGCTGGAAAGGAATACCAGAGGCTGGGTAAGTTATCAAGACAAGAGGTGCCTTTTGCTCATAGTTCTGCAGGCTGTACAAGAAGCATGGCCCCCGCATCTGCTCCTAATGAGGGCCTGAGGCTGCTTCCACTTGCAGCAGAAGGTGAAAAGGAACCAGGGTGTGCAGAGATCATATGGCGAGAGAGGAAGCAAAAGAGAGCAAGGAAAGGTGAGAGGCACTTTTTAATAACCAGCTCCTACAGGAACTAAGAGAGTGAGAATTCACTCACTACCTTCTCCCAGGGTGGGGATTCATCTATTCATGAGGGATCCACTCCCATGACCCAAAAACCTCCCATTTACCCCCACCTCCAACACTGGGGACCACATTTGAACATGTGATTTGGAGGGGACCAATATTTAAACTTAGCAGCCACCATAGATTCATTTTGCTTGATCATGTGCTTCATAAAAATGGAATCATTTTGGCTGGGCCTGGTGGCTCATGCCTGTAATCCCAAGACTTTGCAAGGCTGAGGCGGGCAGATCACCTGAGGTCAGGCGTTCAAGACCAGCCTGGCCAACATGGTAAAACCCTGCCTCTACTGAAAATACAAAAAATTAGCCAGGCATGGTGGCCGGTGCCTGTAATCCCAGGCACCGGATATGTACTGGTATCTCATATGTACAGGATATGTACTGGTATCTCATTGTTGTATTGATTGATGTTCCTGATGGCTAAACTGTAGAGCATCTTTTCCTATGCTAATTGACCATTCATGTATCTTCTTTTCTTAAGTACCTATTCAAGTCTTTTGAGAAATTGTTTCATTGTGCTGTTTATCTTATTAAACTTATATATATATACATACATATATATATACAAATACACTCTAAAAAACCCCTTTGTTGGAAATAAATATATCTCCTATATTGTGGTTTCTTTTAATGTTCTCTTAATGTTCCCTGTTTGGAGATAACGATAGATAATCTTCAAAAAGGTGAATATACACACCCACACCCACACACACACACACACACACACACACACACACACGTGAGCCACCGGATCCAGCCTGTTGAATTTATTTCTAAGCACAACATGTATTTAGATGTTACTTGAAATGAAATTGTATTTTTATTTCATTTTCCAAATGCTCATTGCTAATACACAGAAATACAAAAGACTACTTCTATTGAGCTTATATTCTGCAACATTACCAAACTCACTAATTAGTTTTGGCAGATTTTTGTAGATTTCTAGGATTATTAACATACACAGTCATTATCTGTGAATAAAGACAGCTTCAATTCTTTCTTTTCAATCTTTTCAATACTTTTATTTATTTTTCTTACTTTATTGCATTGATTTAGATCTCTAGTATAATGCTGAATTGAAAGAATAACAACAGATATTCTACTTTTTTCTCTGATTTAATAGAAAAGCATTCAATCCTATGCCATTTAATATAATGTTACCTCTGAGTTTTTTTCAAATCTACCCTTAATAGGGTTGAAAGTGTTGCCTTCTCTTCTTATCATGCTGAGAGTTTTCTGGGGTTTGTTTTTATAAATCATGAAAAAAGTTTTCAATTGTGCCAAATGCTTTTACTGTGTATGACAAGGTAATCATATGGTTTTTCTCTTTTGCCCTGATAATATATAACATTACATTTTCTTAAATATAAAAAAGATTTCTTGAATCAAGCTAGGACAGTTTTTTTAATTATAAACTTTTAACAAATATGTTGAAATATAACTTACATGCAATTGAGATGCATGAAAGTGTATAATCATTAAAGTGTATAATTTTAAGAGTTTGAGCACACTATACACGAGTCAAAGAGAAAGGACAGAAAATACTAACGATGGCTCAGCACATGTGGTCTATCTTGCTGAATGCTCTATGTGAGTTTGAGAAGAGTTATTTGTTAGCTGTTCTTAGATGTATTTTGCTTAAATATCGACCTGGCTAACATGTGTCATTGATTGTGTGAATTAATCTTGTTCTAGTGGGCAGTAAAATTACTGTCTGATCACTTTGGACTTATGTGGACTGGTTTATGTTTTATTACAACGGATTCATGGAAAGCCCACAGCATTTCCCAAGACCCTCTAATTTGGCAGGACTCAATCACCAATCCACCCCTTTGTGAATTTGTCAGGGTTTGCTTTTAGGCTTTAGCAGGTTGGTCTACAATAGGCCTTATTGAAAAGTGTGACACTTATTCCTAAAGCACATCCATTCTAGTGTCTCAGTTGGATACCTGGGTGCTAATGAGGTGTGCATCAGTTCTTCCCACCATGGATGGCAGAAACTCCATCATACATTCCCCAACCCTCCTCCACCTCAAGTACCTCTGGTCCAAACTCAATTTCATAGCAGCCACCCCTCTGTTAAATCTGTTAGTCTTCTCCTTGTGCAGGTAGAGTCCACTCCTTGATAAGTATGCACATGGAACCCCACATAGACTTTGAGAGCTGCACCTTTGATCAGCTGTCTCCTCACTGGTGCCCTGCCCTGCAGATTGCAGTTGCTTCAGCCGTCTTGAACTCTGATCTCTGCCTTCTCAGCTCAGTGAGCTGCCCTGCCCTGAGTGGACTCTAGCTCACTATGCAGCTGCTGAGAAATTCTCCCCAAACAACTAGGAAATCATGGGGCTTCCCCCTTAAGTTTTCTCTTGGACTGCCTGTTGTACACTGCTGAAAACAATTTTACGTTTGTTTATGGAGGCAGGGTTAGTCTGATATGATTTATTCTAACAGACAGAAGCAGAAATCTGTTATACTCTTTTAATTACTGTGTCTTTATAATATTATGGTAGACAGAATCCTAAGATGACCCCCAGTGATCTTTGCTCTTATATAATCACTTCCTCCTGAGTGTAGACAAAGCTACTGAGGAGATGTCACTCCTGTGATTGTGTTACAATTTATGGCAAAAACAAGTTAACAGATGTAATCGAGATCCCAAATCGGTCCAATTTAAGATAGACAGATTATCTGATGAGCTTGACCTAGTGAACGTGAGTTCCTTGGAGGGACTGAGGACTTCCTGGAGAGATGTGAAGTGCAGGAGGGTTTCCATGCAGGGCGATCCTCCTCTGCTGGCTGGAGGAAGCATGCAGTGGGAACATGGGAGGCCTCTAGGAGCAGCGAGAGGCCCCTGGCTGACAGCCAGCAAGAAAACAGAGATCTCAGTCCTACAGTCACAAGGAACTGAACTCAGCTGACAACCTGAGGAAACTTGAGAGGAAGTTCTTCCCCAGAACCTCCAGAAAGAAACCCAGCCTAATTTCAGCCTGTGAGGCCCTGAGAAGAAGACCCAGAGAATCCAGGCCTGAACTTCTGATCTGTGGACACTGCAAGAAAATAAATCATTCTTATTTTACGCCGCTAATGCTTGCAGTAATTTAGTATGCAGCAATAGAAAATTAATACAAATAAAATGGAGAAGGCTTTGGAGTGGGGACAAGAAGGAAACGGTGGGAGAGGGATGCCTGTATGCTGATATGGTTGATGCCTGTATGGTTGAATTGGGTCTACCGTTCCTCATCTAATTAGCTATGGTCTATTAAGGTGCATAGCTACACACAAATATTGGTACTACGTTCAATTCAGAGGAATAAGATATTGCATTCTTGACAGTAGACAAGAACACCCTGAATTTGGGGTCACTGTATCATAAGTCATGTTATCAGGTCCCTCTAGGAAGGCTTAGAGGAAGATTTCCAGGATACACTTGTGACAACATTGAAGGCTTCTTTCTTCCCCAAAGGGACCCGATCTCCCCTCAGTCGAGAAGCTCCAAGTCTCTGAACTGGATGCCAGGTTATAAATTCCCCCTATACTGACTCCATCAGGCTTCTGTCCTCAGAACTAGAGTTTATCAGTAAAAGATAGACTCATGGGAGTCTAGGCATTTATTCTCTTATTTTATATAAATCAGTTAATGTGCAGGAACAAAACAGACTTTGAAGAAAGACACTCACAGTTGCCACAGGAAAACACCTTCAACATCCTCATGAGTCATCATGGGTGTTCTGTTGGGAGGACTTGATAGGAGGCTTTCCTCCTCACGGGCTAGTGCAGATCCAGGGGAAATGTCATCAAGTCCTCCATTCGGAGGGTAGCAGCTGAGGCTGCTGATTCGTTAGGCCTCCTGCAGCTGGAGATGCAAGTAGTGCATTTTCATGGCCACCGCAGGGCCCTCAGTTTAGCATTCTTCAGAGCCAGCATCCAACAAGCCACAGAAGCTCTGAGTATTTCCCTTTCCTCAGTCACCCACATAAATGGCTTCAGAGCCTTCTGGGGAAGGCCTGAAGGAAGATTTACAGCATACACTTGTGGTAGCATTGAAGGCTTCACTCTTCCTCAAGGGATCCAATCTCCCCTCAGTCAAGAAGCTCCAGGTATCTGAACTGGATGCCAGGTCATAAATTCCCACTATGGTGACTCCATCAGGTCTCTGTCCTCAGAACTAGAGCTTAAGTGTAACGTAAGTTGATTTCTTAGTAGATGTCCCATCCATTACATTCCCAGACACCTCACAATGATTCGAATGATTAGTAACCACCACATATCCCTGCCTCTCAGGGAAATCCCTCCCGCCTTGTCTCTAGATGGCCAAGTCCCACGGCCTGTCCTCTACTCTTCCAGAACCCTGTTGTTCTCACTGACAGCAGGGAGGGCAAATCCATGCAGCAGCTCCCGCCATGACCTCCAGCCTGCAGAGGATGGGCGCCACAGGACTTTTAAACGCATGCCGCTGTTCCCCTCACCTGTGCATTTCTTAACGCCTTGGTGAGGAGAATGTCTCTGGATCTTCCTTGATGGGAGCTAAAGGAACAAAGGTAAATAATGCTATGGGACCCACTGAGAACTGGGGCTGTGGAAGAGTGGCCACTGAAGTAATAGACAGATGCAGCTATTGCCAGATACTCAGTGCCAGAGCAGGGAGGGACAGGGAAGAAATACGGACCTCACCTTCCTCTCACTTCCAGGATCCATCGGGCGCCCTCCATTGCTAAACCTAACTAGAAGTGTGCACGCAGGGGAGCCAGGGATGCATTCTAGGAGGGACGAGCCCCGAGTGGCATGAGACAGGATGGAAATGAGTGGACAGTGGATCTGTGGGAAGAAGGAGGGGATGTTATGGGAAAACAAAAGGAGAATACTAGCTAAGAACGCTAGGTGACATTAATATTCCGAAGTCTGTGCTCATATTCAGAAAAGAAAGTTCAGCATAAAGCACTAAATAAGGAGTCAAGATATTGTACTTCCAACTGTTGTTCCAACAGCTGTATTATAAAGGGCCACTTTATTTCATGCCTTTCTAATTTGACCTAAAGTGCCAGGTGGCATTGGGGCTGGCACAGCCTTGCTCAATTATGTGTTGCAGAGTACACAGAGACTGCCAGGCTGAGGGAAGATGCAAGAGAATAGAAGAGATGCTCTCAGGGAACAAGAGACCACATGGCCCCAGAGTCAGGGGCAGCATCAGCCACTGTCAGCTGCTCATTTTCCCAGACAGAGCCCACAAGCCTCAGCCATGCTTTGCTTCTGCAAGACGCTTCTTCACCTTTTCAATAAACCTGCCTGAATTTAAGCTGACAGGGTTTATTTCTCCTTCATCATAAATGAAATTCTTCACCACAACAATCTCCAATGAATTTTGGGCACAGCAGGCAGGCCCATTTCTGCTTCTGTTCCACTATCTCTCCTGTAGGTTGAAAAGGAGGAGGTACTGAATTACCTCCAAATGTTCCTCTGGCTCTGATATTCTGTTATTCTGGTTCCTTTTTGGCTACTTTGTTTTTGGTAGTGTGTATCCTAAGGCGTCCAGTTGAACAACTTTTCTCTACTGTGTCCAGGCATTCCTGGTGGTATTTCAGATAAGACTCTCTTGGGTTGCTGAACTCACAACCACTGAACCAATTCTATGACCATCTGTTTCATGGCCACATGTTTGCTCATTTTATATGTACATAAAGGGAGGGGACAGACAGCAAACTTGCGTGTTACAAATTGTATCATCTTAAAAAGGAAACAAGGCAACACTTTGCAATAAAACCTTAAGATGCATGAAATTTGAGCCTAATGCAATAAAGGATGCCCATAAAATTCTTATCTAAAGAATGTTTCGAAAATTGTTGTACAAGGACATCATCATTTAAAGTGATATGAAGAAACCTTCTCAGCTAAGCATATGGGCTAGATTAGAGAGAAAAATAAAGGACCCATCTCTGCCCTGGAAAAACTGCTGGTAGCATCTTTCAAAAAGCTCTCTGTGTTTGAGTACGCACCTTGATCCATAGGCTCACATTTGATCCCAACTGGCAGCTGCTTCTTGGCATTAACATTGGATTCCCAACTAGTAAATCTTACCAAGATCTGACTTTCTGCAGATATAATATTATTTTGTTTGACCATCCTTATCTTCAAGGGCTACCAAGAAGGAACCAAGAATTTATTTACCTCCCCAAGGGAAAAGGTTTTACCAATGAGACACTTTCTCACCATGACCCCAGGACCCCATATGCCCTGTTCACTTGAGTGCCCTGTGTGGCCTGATAGAAGCTCATGCTGGTCACAGGATTCCTTATATGACTAGCCTCCTTCCTGAATCATGACAGGTGTCCTATATCCCATGCTCATGTCCCTGAAGTCACCAGCCTATCTCCAGTTAGAAAAATTTACATGTATATAGAAAAAATTACATGTATATAGAGAGGCCTCTTTGGAAGGAGCAAAAGCTTTCTCACCTTCGTACACTAATGGTTGGAAGGTACAACAGCATATGCACTTTGGGAAAAAATATCTGGCATATTCTTACAGAAACAAACAACTACCTATTCTATGACTCAGTAATTCCTAAGCATTTATCCAAGAGAAACTAAAACCTATGTCCAGAAAATGACTTATACAAGAATGTTCATAGCAGTTTTATTCATAATACAAAAAACTGAAAACATTCAAGTATCTGTCAATACAAGAATGGATCAATAAACTGTGATACACTCATTCCATGGAATGGCTAAAGGAACAAACTGGTGACACACAGAACAACATGGATGAATCTCAAAAACATTTGGAGTGCGATAGAAGCCATACCCAAAAAAGTGTGAGAAAAAAAGATAAGTAATAATGCTTCCAAGAAATGCACAGCAGACAGCCCAGAGGCAAAGACCCACAGGACGGCGGGCCGGTCCCAGGCTGTCGATCCTAATTAAGAAACTTCTGCTGGATTTTGCCCAGCTCCATTTCCAAACTATTTTGGGTCAGTGACTTCTTTATCCCTTCCATGTTGCCTCATTTTGAACTAGAATCACTGTAAGTGTTATTCTATGTCTGTCACATCATTCCACAGTAGGGGCAGATAAGCTGTATAGAATGGCTAAAATTCAAAAAGGTGAACACACCAAATGCTGTCAAAGATGAGGAGCAAGCAGAACTTTCCATCGCTAGTGGAAATCAAAAGGGTACAGTCACTTTGGAAAACTTAAGTTCACTCAAAATCCTGCACAGAAGTACTTACAGCAATTTTATTCATCATTGCCAAAACTTGGAAGTGCCCAAGATGTCTTTCACCAAGCGAAAGAATAAACAAACTGTTGTAGCCATACAAGGAAATCTGATTCACTGATTTTAAAAAACAAGTTATCAAGCCATGAAAAGACATGAAGGAACTTAAAGTACATAATGCTAGAAAGAAGCCAGTCTGGAAACCCACATACTGTACCACTCCAACTCTAGGACATTCTTGGAAAGTCAAAAAGATAGAAGTAGTAAAATGGTGAGTGGTTGTCAGGGGTGGAGGAGAGGAGGATGCGTGAAATGGTGAAGCACAGGGAATTTTCAGCAGTGAAACTCTTTCGCATGACGCTGTATTGGGGATTTAGGACATTATGTAATTGCCAAAACCCATAATCTGTGAAACTCAAAGAATGAACTCTAATGTAAACTATGGACTTTAGTTGATAATGACGTATCAACAGTGGTTCATCAATTGTAATGAATGGACCACACTAATACAACATACTAGTAGGGAAAATTGTGTGCTGGAGGACAGGGGAGCCTAGGAGAACTCTCTGTATTATCCACTCAAGTTTTCTGTAAACCTAGAACTGTTCTAAAAAATAATGTCTATTAACTGTTTTTTTAATTAGGATGCAGAAGCCCCATATCAAGGTTTTGGTGGCATCCTGTAATTGTGTGGTTAGTACTTGGCATTGAAGTGCACCAACCTGGAGTCAGAGCAGTTGGAGATTTCAAGGCCTGTGCCATTTACCTCTAACCCTGGGGTGCCCCTGGAATACAGATAGCAGATCGGTTAAGGAGAAGCAGCCTCAGCAATCTAGACAGTGCAGGTTTCTGGTGAGGACAGGTAAAAACCATCTGGGTGGGCAGAACTTGGTGAAGACTAGAAACCACTGAGACTCAGCAGCTGCCGCAGTGGCACCCACAAATCAAAGGAGGGGGCTGGGAAGAGCTAAGGGCTACTGGATGAGCTCTCTGCCTGCAAGACAGAAGCAGATCCAGAGATTTTGGAAAATAATGTAGGTTTCAGTACAGTGTGATCTCTTCAAAAAAGTAGAGAGAACGAAAAGGAAAGAAAAAGAGAGAGCATGAGAGAGAAAGAAGAAGAAGAAAGGAAGAAAGGAAAGAAGGGAGGGAAGGAGGGAAGGAGGAAGGAAGGGAGGGATGGAGGGCGGGTGGGAAGGAGGGAAAGAATAAAAAGAGAGAGAAAGAGAGTTGGAGGGAAGTAGGGAAGGAAGGAAGGAAGGAAGGAAGGAAATGAACAAATTTACATGAAGATGAGAACAGTGGGGAAACTTACACCACCAATATTTTCCATTAACAGGAACACGCTAAGTAGTTATTAGAGAAAGACACGCTACTGTAAAACAATATACTGTTTCCATGGGGTACAACAACCCCTTCCTCCTCCTCTGAAACACATTCTATCTCTGGCTCACTGTTGCCAGAGACACTGAGTCTTGTCTTTGGATACGTTCTGGTGCCCACAAGAATGAGATGAGACAGTGGATCCCAGAACACCAGGCCACGAACTTCCCTGTTGCTCCTTGTCCACTCCAGAAGCTACCCAGCTGCAGTTGGGGACCTCAGCCCCTGGGTCTGATGTCATCCATTTGCCTTTCTCAATGGACTTCTCTCCTTGCACTGGCTCCTACTCCCCCAGGACCTGTGGGTGACCACATGAGAAGAACACAAACAGGCCATGCCCCTTTCTTTCTCCCCCTCTCAACGCCTGCAGTAGTGGGTTCCATGGGGTAGTGACCTGAGATTTACTCATTGTGGGGCCTCTAGCCCAGAGCAGGGCCTACTACCTCATAGTCACCCCATGAATGCTCAGTGAAAGAAGACGTCCACCACAAGGTCCTGGGGAACCAAGAATTCCACTGTGGCCCATAAATTCTAAGTCTACAGGATTCTGGAATGGGAGATGGGAAAGGCCTTCAAAAGTGGCCACTTTTAACCCATTATACGGGCAACTGAGCCATGTTTCCCCATCCTGGACACATCCAGAGGGCACTGCCTAAAACCAGACACATCTCCCCACCCAGGACAGTGTAGGAGCCTTAGCCTGGGGGATGCAGGTGGACAGGGAGGGGGTGAGCCACCAAAGCTGAAGAGCAGAAAGCAGGTGAAAGGGGACAGTAGGGTGGAAACAGAGAGAAATGGGGGCAGAGAATGGGGGGTGAGAGGGGAAGAGTGAGGAGAGGGATGCAGATCTAGCTAGTAAGGAAAAGTCCTGGAGAGAACACTGTCCTCTCCTGAAGTAAAATCACTTCTACCTGACCACGGCACTGCAGCTCATGGGCAGCACATGCTGTGGATATTTGTTCATTCATTTAACAAATATTTATTTAATATCTGTTGCATGCCAAGCAAGGCCCTGCGATGTTTAGGGACCTTGACATCTTCCCTTCACATCTGAGTCATAATACAAAGAGGACTCTCTGACCCCACTGAGCTGGCAATGCCTCGGGATTTTTACCTGTTGGATCTGGCAGCTCTTGATGTCAGCCCACACCATGTGAGGCTGCTCTTGGTGCACCCAATGGGGAAGTTTCTACATCAGGGCCTCGGAGAATCCACTGGAAGCCCTGGACAGTGGGAGTCAGCGGCATCCCCAGTGTGGAGGCCAAGAGCACACAGTGCTTAAGCTCCAGGCACCCTCAGGAGGACGGCAAGGGACAATTGGCTGGTGAGAGCCCGGGTCACCGGGAACCTTCGCCTGGGTCTAAACAGGATTTGCCTTCAGATTGCCTGTGAGATAAAAGAGAGAAATCAAGGTTAACGTTGAGATTTAGGGCTTCGGTAACTTGAAGGATGGAGCTGCCATTTACGGAGACTGGGAAGACCCAGGGAAGAGCAGGTTGAAAGGTGGTGGGAACTAGAGGTGGTTGGGTTTCTGTCATATGTAATCAACAG
The DNA here is from genome assembly GCF_000001405.40 of Homo sapiens. NCBI lineage: Eukaryota > Metazoa > Chordata > Mammalia > Primates > Hominidae > Homo > Homo sapiens. The sequence goes on from NW_025791756.1 coordinate 642,650, forward strand.
TCCTGACCAGCCTGGGCAACATAGTAAGACCCCGTCTGGGAAAAGAAAAAAGGAAAAATAAGCTGAGCATGGTGGTGCACACTTGTAGTCTCAGCTACTTGGGAGGCTGAGGCAGGAGGATTCCTTGAGCCTTCAGTTAGCGGTTAGTGAGCTATGATGGCACCACTGTACTCCAGCCTGGGGGGAAAAAAATAAAGAGTCCTGACTAAATACTAGAGTAGCCAGGGAAGTTTTCACAAAGTAAGTAATATTTGAGGCAGATCTTAGTGAACAAGAATTCCATTATTTCTGTTAGGGAATTAAGAGAGTGTGGGTGTCGTTAGTTAATGCTTATTAAAGTAGCTTTGGAATCTCATCTACTGGTCTAGCTGGTCTATCTGTACACGTATATTGTATATGCTGTCTCTCTGAGCTTTCGCTAGGTTATGCTACGGTAACAAAAGCCCCAAAATCTTAGCAGCTACACATACGAAGGTTTATTTTTCATTGACATGTCCTTTTATGGCAGGTTGACTGTGACTCTACTCTATACAAGCTACTTTATTTGTTAGATGGTGAAAACTGTGATACTCGGAGGTTGTTGAATATGGTATTAGTATGTTCATTCATTCATTCATTTAAGAAATATTTATTCAATATCTGTTTCATGCCAGGCAAGGTCAAGTACTGAGAATACACTGGTGAATCAAAGAGACAAAATCTCTAATTGCCAGGAGCTTATATTGAAAATCAGATTAAACACATACAAAATCATCATAATAACAACAATGAATACTATATTCATAAATAATAGCTGTAAGAGATTTTAGTACATCTTTTAAATTAGAAAAATATAAAAATTATTAAAACTAAAATGGCCAGGTGTGATGGCTCATGCCTGTGATCCCAGCACTTTGGGATGCCAAGGTGGGAGGATCATTTCAGCCCAGGAGTTTGAAACCAGTCTGGGCACTACAGGAAAACCCTGTCTACAAAAAGGAGAAAATTAGCCGGGCACAGTGGTGCATGCCTGTAGACCCAGCTACTAAGGAGGCTGAGGTGGGAGGAGTGCTTGAGCCTGAGAGATCAAGGCTGCAGAGAGCCATGATCATACCACTGCACTCCAGCCTGGGCGACAGAGCGAGACACTGTCTCAAGAAAAAAAAAAAATTATTTGATGTAGTCCTAAAACTATTATGTAGAATACTATTGTTTATATCACATCACGTGAGCCCCTTAAATGGCTTAACACTTATTTAGGTATGATCCATAAAGCTTTTCTGGTAATTAAGTATACTTAAGAACAATTAAGTATAAAAGAGTTACTGCCTTGACAGGAAGATTGTAAAAATTTTAAAAAGACAAATAAATAAAAGAGTCAAAACTGTAGCTCTGTGAGGCTCAAATAACATCTAATTCAAGTCACAATGAACATCTAGCAATCATTCTGAACACCATATAATTCACTTAATACGTTTTGCCTGAACACCCAACACATCTGAATTACCAACACCCATATGTAGCCAAGAAACTGGCAATCATTTATAAATTATCACCTATGACTCCATCTGCTCTACGCACTTATTTTTTAAATTTTATTCATTTATTTATTATTTTTATTTGTTGTAGAGATGGGATCTCACTATGTTACCCAAGTTGGTCCAGAAACAGAAACAGACCCACACTAATTTCATAAATCAGATGACCATACAGTCATTCGATTTATGAAAAAAAGTGCCACATGGTGCGGAAGGAAAAGGATGGTCTTTTCAATAAATGGTGCTGGATCAAGCAGACACATCCATGTAGTAAAAAGTGAATCATAGCCAGGTGGGGTGGCTCACACCTGTAATTCCAGCACTCTGGGAGGCTGAAGCGGGCAGATTACTTGAGCCCAGGAGTTCGAGACCAACCTGGGAAACATGTTGAATCCCCATCTCTACAAAAAATAGGAAAATTAGCCAGGCATGGTGGCACATGCCTATAGTCGCAGCTACTCAGGAGGCTGAGGTGGGAGGATCACTTGAGCCAGGAGATGGAGGTTGAGTGAGCTGAGATCCTGCCACCACACTCTAGCCTGGGCAACAATAGACTGAGGCCCTGTCTGAAAAAAAAAAAAAGCAAAAACTAAAATAAAATCGTTATAAGGTTAACACAGAAAAATGTGTTCATACTCTTAGGTTAGGCATTGATTTCTTAAACAGGACACAAAAAACAGTAACCATAAAGGAAAAGATTGATAAAGTATAATTTCATTAAAATGAAGAATCTCAGGCTGGGTGCAGTGGCTCATGCCTGTAATCCCAACCCTTTGGGAGGCCGAGGCAGGTGTATCACTTGAGCCTAGGAATTCCAGACCAGCCTATGCAACGTGGCAAAACCCATCTCTACTAAAAATACAGAAAACAGCTGAGTGTGGTGGTACTCCCCTGTAGGTCCCAGCTACTTGGGGGCTGAGGCAGGGGGATCACCTGAGCCTTGTGAGGTCAAGGTTGCAGTGAGCTGTGATTGTGCCACTGCACTCCAGCCTGGGCGATGGAGTGAGATCCTGTCTCAAAAAGAAAAATAAAAAAAGAGAATCTCCCTTCATGAAAAAACACCATAAAAGAGTGAAAACGCAAGCTACAGATTGAAAAAAGGGAAATGCAATACATATAAATCCTAGAAAGGAGGCATATCCAGAATAAAGTATTACAAATCAACAGGAAAACAAGCATATCAATGAAAACTGGATAAAAAGATTTAACAGGCACGTCACAAAAGAGGACATATAAATGGCAATAAAAGATACTCAATCTCAATGAAACCACACTGATATATTACTGCACCCCTACTAGAATGGCAAAATAATTTTTAACTGACAGGTATCAGCGAAGATGTGGGGTAACCAGCATATCCCTGCTAAATGGTACAACTACTTTGGGAAAATGTTCAACAATATGTAATACTAAAGTTTTATCATTCATATACCTCTAAAACCAACAATGCCACCCCTACAAATATACCCCAGACTAGTAATGTTCAATTTCTTGATCTGTGGTGGTTCACTTGGTAAAAATTCATTACTTTTTTTTTTTTTTTTTTTGAGACAGGGTCTCACTCTGCCATCCAGGTCGGAGTGCACTGCCATGATCACGGCTCACTGCAATCTCAACCTCCCGGGCTCTGGTGATCCTCCCAACTCAGCCTACCGGGTAGCTGGGACTACAGGCACACGCCACCACACACAGCTAACTTTTGTATTTTTAGTAGAGAAAGGGTTTTGCCACATTGCCCAGGCTGGTCTGGAAATCCTGGGCTCAAGTGATCTACCCACCTTGGCGTCCCAAAGTGCTGGGATTACAGGTGTGATCACTGCGCCCGGGCCACCTGCACATGTAAAATTGTGAACTTCTGTATACTTCAGTAACTTTTCCAAGATTTCTTTGACGCAAAGTTCTCAGAAATCTTAAAGCTAGCATTTCAGAATAGAAAAAGTAGCTTCTGGTTCACTAGTGAAATTTTACCAATAGAATTTAAAAACAAAAAGCTACTAACGCATATCAGCTCAGAACACTACCAGCAGATCTTTTCTTTAACTTCCTGAAGCACTGGGATTCATTCTTTTGGCAAAGAAAGGATGAACAACACTGTAACCCAAAGAAAAGATACCACTGCCAGAAAAGACTTCTTTTCGAAAGCAGCTCTAAGCAAAAGATAGGAGGAAAACAAGGAAGCCAGGCCAAACGTCTTGGTTAACTCTCCGCTGAAAGGACGCCACATGAGATGATCTAAGAAGCCAGCCAGCCAGCCAGACGCAGGGAAATCACAGCAACTCTTTGGAGTGCAAACAGCAACCCCACAATCCAATCTACCCGAAATCCTGCGGTTCATTTGAGGCTTGCCCCGCTAGTCAGGAGGTGATTCAGTGATGGCTACAAATGCTGCTCATGTGCATCCTGGAGCTGGCACACCTGGCTTGCCCATCACCAGCCTGGAGACACCGCCAGGAGCAGAAGCCCGGAGGCCAGTAAAGACCCCAACTTTGCAAGTCAGGGGCGCGAGCGCGCTCGCCTCTCAGGTCCGCAGAGGGAACGGATTTCTGGCCTGGAGGGTGGGGTGCGGGGTCAGTGTCCTCTACAGGATATAGGAGGACGTGCCCCCGAAGCTGCTCCGTCCCTCCACCCCCTGGGATGCCACAGAACACCCGCCAGCGAGTTTCTTCCCCAGCGCCCACGAGAGTTGGGCTGCGGGCGGCAGCGGCAGGCGAAGAATCCAGCGCGGGGAACTCAGGCCCCGGCGGTGCACGACCCCCCACACCCCCCACCCGCCCCCGCGCTCGCGCAACAAAACTTGCCACGGCCGCGCCTCGACCCAGCTGTGCGCCCGCGGGTCCCGGATTCACCGCCCGCCCAGCCTGGCGCGGCGCCCTCACCTCAGAAACGCTGGGTGGACTTCGCGTAACTTCCCATTCACAGGGCAGCCGGCAGCCGCGCCGCCGCGCCTCGGCCCAGCTCCTGGCGCCGCAGATCGCCCGTCCCGCGTTCCCAAAAGCACCGCGCTCGCTCAGAAGCTCGGGCAGCCTCGCGACCCTCACCTACGCCTCCCAGTACCGCCGCTGTCTCAACCGCCACCCAGCCCCTCGCCTGCGCCTGCGCCTGCAGCCCACTGGCTCCTCAGGATCCCGATGGGCGTGTCAGGATAACCCAAGGCGCAGGCGCGGCGGGGCCTTAAAGGGACCCGGCGGCCTCTTCTGCACAACGGGTTAGAGCAGGTTAGGGGCCGCGCAGGCGGAGAAAAGGAGTAACCCAGGGGAAGGACCGAGTGCAGCGGGGACGGGGAAATCCCTCTCTCCCCTCCGCCTGTCTTTCAAAGCACCAGCCCTCGACCCTCCAAATCGCTGGTTTCCCCGGCCACTTGAACAGCCCCTGCCAGGTTGAAGAGGCAGGAGACACACCCCCTCTGGGGCTGGAGCGACCCCGCGCTTAGGACTGCAGGCCTCGCGCTGCCGCACCGCCCCGAATCTGACTTCCAGGCACGGGCACGCGGTGCAGTCGGGCAGGCTTCAGAAGAGCCCCCAGCTCTCCCAGAGGTGGCCTTAGGTCACTCTCAAAAAGAATAACCAACGTGTCAATGGCACTTGTAGTTATTTTCTAGTTTAAATTTATTAACAGATTTTGCAGATGGGCTTCCACTGAAATAAGCCTTTGAGAAAAAGAAAAACTTTTTTTTTCAACAGGATTAGAATACCAAGAAATAGGAAGTAAAGCCATGCCGTCCACCCAGCTAAAAACTTTGAAAACTTGATATTTTATCTAAGGCAAATGTTTGCATAACTTTAGGTCATGCCATTATTTAAAGTCAATTTCAATTAACAATTTCATTGCAACTGAATCTATCTTGTATAAGAAAACTAAGATACATCCCTGATAATCTACCTCTCCCCTCCTATACTCCATCCGTCAGCAAATCCTACTGGTTTTTACCTTCCAAATTTTCCTTGAATCTGTCCTCTTCTATCTCCTCCGTCACCACCCTAGTCTAGGCTGCCTTCACCTGGGGAGTGAGGGTCGAGGGACTACTGACCTAGTCTTCTTGTGGTTTACCCATATCCCCTTTATCGCCTCTCTAATCTCAACACAACAGGCAGAGTGGCTTTTCCAAAATATAATGTGACCGTGTCACTTCCCAGCCTAAAGCACTTAAACACCTTCCCATTCTCTTAGACAAAACCTCCTAACTAACCAAGCCCCGAATGGCCAGGCGCCTTGCCCACTTCTTCATCTCTTCTCACTACTCAGACCAATTCCGTTCTGCTCTCTCTGCTCCAGCCAAACTGGCCTCTTTTATTCCCTATTTACCAGCTTCCTGGCCTCCACAGAGCTTTTGCTCATGCTTTGCTCTGTGCCTGGAAGGTTCTTCTAACCCCTATTCTTCTGAGAACAGCTGTAGTCTCCACCTCTGAAAAGCACCTTCTGACCTCCCTATGGTGGTCCCTTACTCCTATCACATTGCATGAAACTGTAATCGGGTGGTTATTTTGGTGAATTTTTTACTATCGGCTACGTAAGCCCAGGGTTTGGTTTTGTTTGCTTCATGATTTGTATTTCCACATTTGTTAAATACATATTTGTTCATAAATGAGAATGATGGATGCTAGAAGTTGAAGTAAATTTGGCATAAAGTCAGAGAAAGAGAAAATGTCACAATCTGACAGTTGGAGTCAGAATGTAGAAACTTCAGTTATATTAAAACTGATTTTATATCGTTTTAGGCTGAGTTGTCTTAGGATGCTTTGGGTAACCTTTAAAACTGAGTTCTCAAAGAGCCTTGTATAAACACCTGAATTAATAATGATAAGCCATGGGGTGGCCCACATAAAACTAATAACATTGGTTGCTTTAAGAGAGGAAGACTGAGCCAGGCACGGTGGCTCATACCTGTAATCCAAGCACTTTGGGAGGCCAAGGCCCGCAGATCATTTGAGCTCAGGAGTTTGAGACTAACCTGGGCAACTTGGTGAGACCCTGTCTCTACATAAAATACAAGCAAAATTAGCCAGGCGTGGTGGCGGGCGCCTGTACTCCCAGCTATTTGGGAGGCTGAGGTGGGAGGATTGCTTGAGCTCAGAAGGTTGAGGCTGCAGTGAGCCATGATCATGCCACTGCACTCCAGCCTGGATGACAGAGCAAGATCTTGTCTCAAAAAGAGAGAGAGAGAGAGAGAAATGAAGACTGGTGACTGGTGGCTACTGGTGGGAAGGAGATTTTTACTAAATGCCCAAAAGGTTTAAAATTGTAACTTTTTTATTTCAAAGTCTGTGAAGATAAATGACACAAAAGAGCACATACCTTCCCATTTATTTGAAATTCTAGAAAGGGGAAAATTAATCTGTGGTGAAAAAATCATAGCAGTGGTTCCCTCTGGCAGGGGATTGACTGGGAAGTTACATGAGAGAAATTTCTGGGTGGTAAAAATGGTCTCTGTCTTGATAGGGATATGAGTTATATAAGTGTATTCATTTGTCAAAAAACATACAGTTAACATTTCAATGAATGTAAATTTTACCTTAAAAACTATACGAATAAATGCAAATTTAAAATCTGCTAGCTAACACCTAGTTGAGTACTCAGTGTCTATGGGCATTGGCCGAGGCTATACATACACGATTTTCTTTAGTCCTCATACCGTCCTCATGGGGTAGGTATTATTATCATAACCCCCTTGCATATGAAGAAGCCAAAATGCAGTAAATACCAAATAACTTGCCTCAATTTATACCCCTGGAAAATGCGGGAAGAGCTTTAAACACCATCAGTCAAATGCCAGAAGTTGTTAAACATTAGACTCTATAGCACTTCTCTGAAATTATAGTATTTTTGGTATATATATATATATATATATATATATATATCATCTACTAGATCAAGAGCTTCACAATGATTGAAATCATAGTTTGTCTTTTTGTTTGAGGTTTATGTTTTTATTTTACTTCATTATTTTAAAGACTGAGTCTCGGCCGGGCACGGTGGCTCATGCCTGTAATCCCAACACTTTGGGAGGCCAAGGTGGGTGGATCACTTGAGGTCAGGAGTTCGAGACCAGCCTGGCCAACATGGTGAAACCCCATCTCTACTAAAAATACAAAATTAGCCAGGTGTGGTGGCACGTGCCTGTAATCCCAGTTACTCAGGAGGCTAAGGCAGGAGAATCGCTTGAACCTGGGAGGTGGAGGTTGCAGTGAGCCAAAATTGTGCCACTGCACTCCAGCCTGGCCGACAGAGTGAGACTCCATCTCAGAGAAAAAAAAAAAAAAGACTGAGTCTCACTATGCTGCCCAGGCTGGACTTGGACTCCTTCATTCAAGCCATCCTCCTGCCTAGGCTTCACCTGGGACTACAGGCCCAATATTTTTGTCTTAAGTTTCTAAGCAGTCCCAAGACTTTGCACAGTAGCTGTTCAATGTATTTTGAGTGAATGATTAAAAACAAGCTTGATGTCGATTTTATTGGTACAATTTATATTTACATATGTAATATTTATATGCTTTTATGTATTTATGTGTGCATGTATATAATTGGTACTAACTTAGCACTGCTGTGCCTAAGTGCCTGAGATGCATCTCAAATGAATAGGCCTGAGGAGAGAAGCTTGTGTCATTAGCTCTGACCCTGCAGCACTAATCCTGGTTTACCCCTTTCTTTCAGTCTCCCTGAGCACAATTTATTTGCTGAAAGGCCACATCTCACTATGGAGTGAGGATCAAGAAGTAAAGGTCTGAAAGAGAGAAGCTGCGGGGCTGGGGAGACTGTTGGTCGGAGAGGCGTCGGGGGCCCAAGGAAAAGGGAGGATTGTGGGGAGGAATCGGCGTAGAGATGAGAGGAGCAGCAGAGACAGAGTCTCACGCAGAGGTGTGCCCAGACACCCTGAACCAAGTTACTTAACCTCGTCCACCACCGTGGCACCCGTGGGGTCCGTGGGCCCGTCGGTCTTCCAGGAGGGATTCTGTGTCCCTGTTATTGTGTGTCAACATGTGTTAGCCTGATATTTATATTTTTAATGAGAGAAAACGAACTCTGGAATTTGCGAACTGTTTTTTCGGTTTTGCTTTATACCTCTTGGACACTCCTTCCGAAGGATTGGGTCTCAAGGGCAGTGGGGTGTGACTACGGTAGACAGGGCTGATTAATTTTCATCCAAAACTCTTTGGCGGATTCCCCTGCTCTCCGCTTCTCCGGTCTAACAGTAGTTTAAAACAGAAGATCAGCAACATTTGGAGAGTTTTTTTCTTTGCATTTTAATGATAAACTTGATTTATTCAATTCCAAAAGTTTTCTTATTCTGAGGTTGTCTTTCTATATTTTGAGTATAAAACAATGGCCATACTATGTTGGAACCACCAAGGTTCTTCTCTTCACTTGTTCATTTGTAATGTCTCTTTATAATCTGAGAATTTCCTGAGCAAACTGGGAACTGTTATACATAATTCCTTGTTTTTCAACATTCTTTGTAAACAGGAATCAGGATTGGGGATGGGGAGGGAGGGAGGAGTAGGAGTCCTGATTTGTGGAACAGAAAATCATGGATTACTTATGTGATGGAGCAAAGGGTTTAAAAACTCTTAGCATCCCCAGATTTCCCCTTTTACTGTTTGCTGAAGAAAATTCTGTCTTTGACTCCCTTCCTTACCCTCTCCGGGCCTGTGAGAAGCTTCCTCCCTATTCAGTTTATTTCCTCCTCTGCTCCCCGACCCACCCCCCACAGCCCCCTCCTCTTTTTCAGTGAAGCCGCTGGAGGAAAGTCGGGTTTGGGAGAAGACCCACACAGGCAAGGACAGCAGGAGAACACTGACATAGTTACACTCTTGTCACCAGCACTTTTATTAAGACGTGAAAAGACAAAGACAACAGAGGACAGCAGAGAATAATATCTCTGTTTCAGCTATTCCAGGATGTTATGCCAATTATCCAGAGTCCTTGATCTGATGTAGTAAAGAGCTAGGGACATTTTCCCTGAAGGCTTTGATTGCTGGCAAAATCTCATTAAACGTGTATACATTCATAGGTTGGCCATAGGATGGATAAAAGAAGAGCCTCTGGCCTACATCTGCCACGATACATGTGCAAAAATGCTCTCTGCAGCATTATTTTTCATTGTAAAATAGCAGAACGAATTTATTATTCAATAATTATAAAATGGTCAAATGTATGTGACTATATTTGGACAATGAAAAATGCAGCTGTTAAAAGCAGACAATACTGATGATTCAGATGATGTTACTGATGAAAATAATAACAGATGACAATTATTGAGCATTTATGGCATTCTTACAGGCATTACCTTATTTAAAGTTCAGAACTACCAAGGAAAAGAGTAACTTGTGGCAGGCGTGAGAGGTTCCGAGGCACAAAAGGAAGATAGGCATTCAAGGAACACCAGGATAGAAGACCCAGAGTAGGAGAAGAGAGAGGAAGAGGAGTCCGCCAGATGGGATGCTGGAAACCGCGGGATAGCTCGGTGGAGAGAGGGCGCTCCTGCTCCGCAAGCCTCCCTACGACGGCAGGCCTACCCGGTCCTGCTCCTGCCGGCTCTGGGCATCTGGTTTCTGCCGCTCCATCTCCAGGGAGATGGTGGCCAGGCTGTGCCGTGTACCCATCAACTTCTCTGACAGCGCCATCTTCTCAGACTCCTTCAGAGACAAGGCCTGGGCAGAGGCAGGGGACAAAGGGCTTGGGGGATGGGCTGGTCCTGGGGGCATGCTCAGGCTTCTTGCTGCCTAGGAAATGTGCCCACTGGGGGCTTAGAGGCCTGAGTGTGCCACTGCAGGTGGACCCAGGGCAGACGTGCAGCCCTGGAAAAGGGCACAACGGCAGTCACAAGAATCCCGGACGTGGATACCACTCATAGAGCTCACTAACCCGCCACAGCACCCTGACTGCAGAGTCTTTCTTTCTACCCATCTTACAGATGAGGAAACTGAGGCTCAAGGAGGTAAAGTGACTCGCCCAGGTACACAGCTGGTGAGGAGAGGAGATGGGCACAGTCTGCCCTGTCTCCGTTACATTATAGGAAAGTTAGGGATTTGTTATTTGGGGGGACGGGTCAGCTGATGCCTGTGGGCATCGTGGGGACTGCTCAGAAGGCAGCCATGAGGATCCATGCCCAGCGTGGGGTGGGACGAGGCATGGGAGAATACGGAACAGCTTTCCTGGTGTCACGACTGTCACTGTCACTCAGTAAGTGCTCACTGTGTGCCAGGCATGGAGCACGGCAAAGCCTCACGAACCCCCTTCTAATCCTCCCCTCCTGCAGGTAAGGAAACTGAGGCCCCCAAGAGGGCAGTGGCCTGCCCCAGGGCTCCTAGCTGCCAAGTGGCAGAGCAGGGCCCGGCCCCAGAACTGGAGCAGCTCAGAGAGCAGCAGAGGCCACGCCAGGGCTCACGAACCTGCTGCTTCTCGCTCTCGGCCAGGAGGAGGCCCTCGTCATGCTCCTGCTGCAGGGCAGCAATCTCCTCACTCAGCTGTTCCTTCTCAGCCTTCCGCCGGGCCAGCAGCTCCTCCTGCTCACGCTGCAGCTGACTCTGCAGCTGGGCCCGCTCGGCCTCCAGCTCCCGCCATGCTGCCTCCTAGGGGGCCAGGACTGGACGCGTGTGACACACCAGGAGGGGACCAGGCAGACCCCCCAAAACATCAGGGCAGCAAGAGCCATCTGGCCCCCATACCCTCAGAGATGGAGGGTGACCAGGTAAATACAAGGGACTGATAAGGGCTATGACGGGGACACGCCAGGGCCGTGAAAGTGCCAAGGAGCAGCAGTGGGCTGGCCTGGGGGTCCGAACATGATCCCCTGCGGAGGGACAAGTAACTGTCAGCCAGGTAAGGAGAGAAAAGACCACCCCAGGCCAAGAGCACAGCCCCTGGAAAGGACTACAGGATGCAGGGTGCAGAGGGAAACAGGGCGCGGTGAGTCACAGGGCCAGAGCCCCAGGCAGTGGCTGGGCCAGGACAGGCCGTGTGGGCCATGGGGATTCTAAGGACAGTGAGGGGAGTGGGAGAGAGGACTCGAGCCAAGGTGACAAGGAGCAATCTGATTTTTAGCTTAGGGGATGTTCCGACAGCTGTGGAAGAGGGATTGGGGTTGGGATGGAGGAGAGTTAGGACTGGCTGTGAGGAATGAAGGGGGTCAGGGGTTGCCAGAGGAGCTGGAGAGAAGAACACAGATTTGGGGACATTAATGAGGCCAAGCCAGGCAATGCAAAGGGCAAGAAGAGCAAGGGGGAGGTCACAGTTCAGATCCCTGGGGACTGGACAGGCGGGCAGGCAGAGCCCACAGGCAAATAGCAGCCCACCCAGGGAGCCTGAGGGCAGGTGCCTGCCTCAGCAGTTGTCCCTAGCAACTCTGTGAGAAGCAGACAGAGCTGCCACTTCTTTTTTTTTTTTTTTTTTAGACAGAGTCTCGCTCTGTCACCCAGGCTGGAGTGCAGTGGCGTGATTTTGGCTCACTGCAACCTCTGCCTCCCAGGTTGAAGCGATTCTTCTGCCTTACCCTCCCAAGTATCTGGGACTACAGGCGCGTGCCACCATGCCCAGCTAATTTTTTGTGATTTTAGGAGAGATAGGGTTTCACTGTGTTAGCTAGGATGGTCTCGATCTCCTGACCTCGTGATCCGCCCACCTCAGCCTCCCAAAGTGCTGGGATTACAGGCATGAGTCAGCACGCCCGGCCAAGCCACCCCTTCTTTAAGAGCTTCACCATAGCTCATGCCTGGAATCCCAGCACTTTCGGAAAGAGCTTTACCGCCCCCTGATGGAGAAGCGTGATAACCACCACCCAAGGCCATGGGGACTGCAGGGTGAGTGGCATGCCCTGGAGCCATGTAGTCATAGCCTGCACCTCTGTCAGAGGAAGCCCTGTCTAGGATTTGGTGGCTGAGGGCCCCTGTCCTGAGGGCCACTCTGGAGAGCATGCCAGTGCCAGCAATCATAACTCATGGAGCATTTGCTAAGTACCAGTCACTATGTTAAGCCCTCTATGCAGATGGTCTCAGCTCATCCTCAATACCTTCCACTATCCTATCCCTATTTCTACAGGTGGGGAAATGAAGGCACAGACACCTTGGGTAGCATCACCAGTAAGCGACCAAGATTAGATTCAAACCCAGGCAATATAACCCCAGAGTCAGTGTTCTAGTAACTTCCCTGGCCCCTTGCCTTTCTACATGCTCAGGTCTGCGTGGCCCTTCATATGGAAACTTCTTAGCAAATGAAAGTGCTTTCCTGCTGTACATTAGGTCAACATTTCCCAAATGTGGTTGTGGACCCTCTGCATCAGGATTACCAGGGCTGGACCAGATTTGGGACCTGGGTATCTGAATGTCTAATAAGGACCACAACCTCCCCACCACCCCTCCAGTCCTCCCAGCTGTCCCCAGGGCCTCCACAACAGAGAGGGAGTCCCATTTCACAGGTGTACAGACCGAGGCAGAGCAAGAACGATGATGAAACACTGGCTCAGACTTCTGCCCACCCCTCCCCAGCTGCCTGAACCTTTTCACGCTGGAGTCACTGTAAGTCCTCCTCGTGGGCTGCCCACTGCTCCCGCAGAGAGGCCTGGGCCTCCCGCTCAGCCTGCACCAGCTTCTGGGCCATCAGCTCCTTGTCTAGACTGGCTTTCTCCTGCGTAGCTATTATTTGCTGCCGCAGGCCCGCCAACTCCCCTGCACGAGAGGAATGGGGGAAAGGGCAGGGTTGGGTTGAAATTTTTCCTTGGGCCAGCAGACTTAGGCCAGTTGAGCCATATGGGCAAAATCCCAGAGGCAGAGGGCCTGCCTGGCATCCAGTTTGGGTCCTCTTGAAGAAGTGGCTTGTCCTCTCTGGGCCTCAGTTTCCCTATCTGCTACATGGGCCCACTGGCCCTGACCCCTTTCCTGCCTACCTAGAATGGCATTAAAGGCATAAAATGACTGATGAGAAGGCCTCCCAAATGGGACGGATGTCAAACATATAACAACCCTAGGCCAGGTGCCATGGCTCACTCCTGTAATCCCAGCACTTTGGGAAGCTGGGGCAGGTGGATCACCTTAGGTAAGGAGTTCAAGACCAGCCTGGCCAACACGGTGAAACCCTGTCTCTACTAAAAATACAACAATTAGCTGGGCATGGTGGCGGACGTATGTAGTCCTAGCTACTTGGGAGGCTGAGGCAGGAGAATCGCTTGAACCCAAGAGGCAGAAGTTGCAGTGAGCTCAGATCGCACCACTGCACTCCAACCTGGGCGACAAGAGTGAGACTCTGTCTCAAAAAATCAAACAGGCTGGGCGCGGTGGCTCATGCCTGTAATCCCAGCACTTTGGGAGGCCGAAGTGGGCAGATCACCTGAGGTCGAGAGTTCGAGACCAGCTTGACCAACATGGTGAAACCCCGTCTCTACTAAAAATACAAAATTAGCCAGGCATGGTGGCGCGTGCCTGTAATCCCAGCTACTTGGAAGGCTGAGGCAGGAGAATCGCTTGAACCTGGGAGGCGGAGGTTGAGGTGAGCCAAAATCGCGCCATTGCACTCCAGCCTGGGCAACAAGAGTGAAACTCCATCTCAAAACAAACAAACAAAAACAAACAAACAAACAAAAACCCTATTACTGACTCAGCACTTACTATGCGTCAAGCACCCAGCTAAGTATTTTAGACATAACCTCATTTTGTCTTCATAACATGCCTATGTAGTTTATCCTCATCCCCGTTTAACAGATGATGAAATGGAGGATCAGAGGAGATCAGCAGCAACTTCCCACAGCTGCACAGCTACACATAAAGCATCTCCTTTAATGACTGACATGAACATACCTGTCAAGCGTTAACTATCAGCATTAATGGAAACGACTACAGGGAATGGAAATGGTATAGCCATCATCTAAAAACCATCTCCCGGGTTGGAAACCCACCAGCATTTCCCTTCCTGGTTCTGTCTGGCTCAGGTGTACATGGACAGGAAAATTAATTTCCATGACCCAAGTAGGTGCTTAGTTAATGTTAGATGAGCAGAAAGAAACCCTGAGTTCAGAGATTCGATGGGGAACGGTGCAGGGAAGTGGGGCTTGGATTCTGGGGCCAAGAGAGTCATCTGAAAACCACAGAGAACTCAGACTAACAGGCCTGATGACCGATGAACAGCAGTTACTGTTGACTCAGCCAGGCACCGTGCCACGGCCTTACACGCTTTTCCCATGTCATCCTGGCAACAGGCTTAGAAGGTGGGCATTGCCACCTCCAATCATCAGCTGAGGAATCTGCAGCCCAGAGAGGAAAGGGGCTTGCTCAAGGGAAGGTGAGATCTAAGTGGTGGCACAGGACTGGAACCCAGGCCAGCCAGACTCCTACTCCAGTGCTCCCAACTTCTGTGAGACTACAGACATTGGGAGGTTGCAGTCTGGGCTGGAACCTGGTGTTCCCCCCAAGTCCCCAGCCACTCGTACCAGTCAGGGTCTCCTTGGCCAGCAGCAGGGCCTGCCCCTCGGCTTCCAGCTGCTCCCGGCGGGCCTCAAGCTGGGCCAGCTGCCATTGCACCTCAAACAGGCTGCCCTCCAGGGCTTCCTTCTCCAAGCTGCAGCACATACAGTGCGTGAGGCCCTGGGACTCAGCCTCCCTGGCCCCAGGAAACTGTGGATCTCAGGGAGTGGCCAGGCATGGGCCAAGTGCCAATCTACCTGCCTGGCCAGGCCCACACTCCCTGGGGAAGCCTGAGCCCACAGCTAGGACGAGTTGGCAAGCCAGACTCCTTAGTAACTGCCCCTGGGGGCCCGTGCCTGGGTGAGGCTGGTCATGGCGTGGCCCCAGGAGGACCGCCCAGGGCGGGTTGGGCAGAGCCCAAGGCCTTACTGCAGGTGTGTGGCCTCCTCTGACACGGTCCTGCCTTCACGCTCCGCAGGCCGCCAGCTGCACAGCCAGGCCAGCGTGCTCCTTGGCTAGCGCCTCCTTCTCCCGGGCCACTCGCCCCAGCGTCTCCACCTGTCACTGGGCCTCCCACCGGGCCTGCTCCAGCTCCTGCTCCCGCCTGCTCAGCTGCCAGGAGAGCTGGCTCCCACCCAGAGACTGAGTAGCACTCCCAGCATCCCCCAGCTTGTTCATCGTGCAGCACCCCAACTCTGGGCCTAACCCAGTCCTGGCAGAAGGCCTGGGTTCGAGCCCAGGGTCTGCCCTGATGTGCTATATGTACTTGGGCAAGTCATGACCTTCTCTAGATCTGCAATGCACGTGTGTACAAAAACCAGGGCCCGGCCGGACACGGTGGCTCACGCCTATAATCCCAGCACTTTGGCAGGTGGATCACTTGAGGTCAAGAGTTCAAGACCAGCCTGGCCAACGTGGTGAAACCCTGTCTCTACTAAAAATACAAAAATTAGCCGGGCATGGTGGTGCACGCCTGTAGTCCCTGCTACTTGGGACGCTGAGGCAGGCGAACAGCTTAAACCCCGGAGGCAGAGGTTGCAGTGAGCCCAGATCGTGCCACTGCACTCCAGCCTGGGCAACAGAGCAAGACTGTCAAAAAAAAAAAAAAAAAGAAAAGAAAAATGAGGGTCCTCACTCAGCTTTGGAAGTAACAGAACCCTTGTATTACTCTAAGCAGAGAAGCTGAATATATAAACCAGACCCAAATGCAGCTGCTCAGCAGGCCTCAAGGTGGAGACTTGCACCCTGCTTCCTGCACTCCCTACCCCATCCTCTAGAGGCACCTCCCAGAAACCCAGGCCCTCCAGGATGGACCTTGCATGAAGGTCCCTGGATCCCTGAAACATTAAGGTCTCTTCCAGATGTGATGTTCCCAAAAGTCTAAGATTCCAATTCTAAAAAGTCTCCACCTATTATTAATCTGTATCATTATTATTATTATTATTGAGACGGAGTCTTGCTCTGTTGCCCAGGCTGCAGTGCAGTGGCACGATCTTGGCTCACTGCAACCTCTGCCTCCTGGGTTCAAGCGATTCTCCTGCCTCAGCCTCCTGAGTAGCTGGGACTACAGTCGCGTGCCACCACACCCAGCTAATTTTTTGTAGAGATAGGGTTTCACCGTGTTAGCCAGGATGGTCTTGATCTCCGGACCTCAGGTGATCCACCCGCCTCGGCTTCCCCAACTGCTGGGATTATAGGCGTGAGCCACTGCGCCCGGCTATCCCCATGTTATAAATGGGGCAACTGAGGTATGGGAGGTTGGGCAGCTTGTCCAAGGTCCCCAGCTAGGAGAAGTGGGACTGGATTTAACCCAGAAGCAGGCTCCAGTGCCTGTGACTTAACCCAGGACTGGATGCAGGAGGCTGCGAGCCTGGCCTGCCCCACATGCTCTCCAGACCACCCCACACACAGTTTGGCCTACCTGTGCTAGCTGCTCCTGCAGCCAACTGAGCTCATGGTGCAGTGTGGGGAGCTGTTGCTCCAGCGCCTCCTGGGCCTGCTCCGCCACTCATAGGGAGCCCTCCAGGCCCTGCCGTGCCACCTCCTGCTCCAACCACAGCTCCTCCAGCCACTCCTGCTCTGCCGGCGCCACTGTGGCCTCCTGCTCCGCCTGCCGCTGCCGGCCCTGCAGCGTGGCCTTTTCTTCCTCCAGCTGTGGGCCGGAAAGGAGTGGGGCCTCATGAGCAGGGCGTCCCTCCCAGGACCAGGACGCCTCCTCCACCCACCCACCAGCCACGATAGCCCAGGGGAGGCTCCCAGGGAATGAGGGACAGTGCCCTTGGGTGTGTGGGACACTGGGGAGGGGGAGATGAGGAGGGCCCATGGAGCGTCGGTGCTTTGACTCCTAGAGAGGACAGACAGACAGACGGAGATAGACAGAGAACCAGAGACAGAAAGGGAGGCAGGGGCCAAGACCGGTGCAGGGCCGGGCCCAGGGTGCCTCACTGAGTGGGGAGGACGGGTGGGCAAGGTAGGTGGGCCCGCAGGTGCACAGTGTACCTGGGTGACAAGGCAGTTCAGATCCAACTTGTCCTGAGCAAGGCTCTCGTTGAGGGCGCTCAGCTTGGACAGGGAGTCCTGCAGGGAGGCCTCCTCTGCCCTCAGCTTGGTCACGGAGAGCTCGAGCTCCATGCGGCCAGCCTCAGCCTGCAGGGTCAGGCCCCAAGAGATGAGGAAGGGCAGAAAGGTCGGGAGGAGGTGAGGAGAGACAAGAAGAGACCCAGAGAGATGGACCCTCGGAGACAGGGGAGGGGAGACAAGGAGGGGATACGGCGTGAGATGGAAAAAAAAATCACCGCAGAAAGCCTGCTGCTTATGGAGCCATTTAAAAGCCATGCACCGCAAAGCTGTGCAAAAATAGCTCAAGCTGCAGGGCAGGGCCAGAGTTCAGAGGATCCCCTGAGTAAGGTCTAGGGATAGCACTGCTCAGAGCCCAGGCTGCAGCGGACAGCGCAGGCCCCCCCGCCAAGGACCCTCTGCGCTGTGGCCACAACTCTCAGACTCCAGGAGCTGAATCTCAGGATGACCCTGAGCTATAGGCACTGCCCCCAGGAGCATCCAGAACAGCAGGGATACGGCCATAAAGAGAGGTCAGTCCACTTATGGCTGGGACCAGAGGTCCAGAGGTCTGTGGCCTGTGACAAAGATCAGCCTGTATCCAGAAGGAAGGGGTCAGTCTGTGACCAGGCTCAGAGGTCTGCCTGACACTGGGACCAGTCTGTGCCAGAGTGACAAGGCTTGGGGCTGGGGGTCAGAGGTAGGTTTGTGGTTGTGCAGCAGACAGGGACCCACCTTGGTCAGCGCCTCGGCCACCTCGGTCTTCTCGGCCTGCAGCATGTCCCGTTGCAGCGTGGCGCGGCTCAGCGCCTCCCTCACCTCCACCAGCTCCTTGGCCAGGACTGAGCGCTTCCCTTCCAGCTGCTCTAGTTGTCTATGGCTGTGGGACAAAGGGTGGGTGGGTGGCCCATGTCACTTTCCTGCCCGAACCTCCTGTAGCCAGCAAGATGCTGGGCCGGGGACCAGGCCTGAGGCAGGAGTTTGGAGAGAAACAGCCTGAGCCACAGGGCAACCAAGCCCACTACCGCTTAGCTCCATGACCCTGGGCCTCCGTTTTCACATCTGCAAAATGAGGTAACACTTGCCTCGTGACATTGTTTGTTTTTTTGAGACAGAGTCTTGCTCTGTCGCCCAGTCTGGAGTACAGTGGTGCGATCCTGGCTGACTGCAACCTCTGCCTCCCAGGTTCAAGCAATTCTCCTGCCTCAGCCTCCCTAGTAGCTGGGATTACAGGTGCTCACCACCACACCTGACTAATTTTTGTAGTTTTAGTAGAGACGGGGTTTCCCCATGTTGGTCAGGCTGGTCTTGAACTCCTGACCTCAGGCGATTCGCCTGCCTCGGCCTCCCAAAGTGCTGGGATTACAGGCGTGAGCCACCGTGCCCAGCCTGTTTTAAGGATACAAACTTCACATGTGCTTAAAATAGTGCCTGACACATCTCCCCAAGGACCTTCAGAAACAAGAATAACATGCTCCACCACAGTCTACTAAACATCATCAGCGATCACGTCCCTGAGAGGTAAGCAGCGCAGTGGTGAAGAGGTTAACTCTGAAGGCAGAATGTCTGGGTTCAAATCCTGGCTCTTCTGCTAACTGTGTGACCTGGGGCAAGTGACATGGCTTCTCTGTGCCTCAGTTTACCATCCACAAAATGGAGATAACAGCTTCTATGTCACAGAGTTATCATGGAGTTAAACGAGAGAACTGAATTGCTTAAAATGGTATCTGGCACTTAGTGAAATTAGTAAGGATATTATTATTCTTCTAACTAAATTTTTAAAATACTACTGCTAATATTACTACTGTTATTTTAATTATTCTTGTTATTATCATCCAAGTTCTACCTTTTAACTAGTTCTCTGACTCCAGGTAAGTGACTATACCTCCCTGAGCCCCAGTTTCCTGAAATGGGTCTGGTTAGAAAACCCGACATCAGAGGGGTCCAGACGGTAGGAGGCCCAGGACCCAGTGGGTGTCACCTAACCCCATGGGGGCACTGTCAGGGGACCCGAGGCACATTTGAAGGGTCCTGGCAGGGAGGTGAGATGCTGCTAACCTGCGCTCAAGCTCCCGGCGAACCCGTGCGCCATTCTGCACCGCCTCTTCCTGCTCTTCCTCCAGCCGGTCCCGCTGGCGCTGCAGCTCCTCCTGGGCAACCTGCAGCTTCTCCCGCTCCTGCGGCAGCTCCTCGGCCTGCTGCTGGGCCACCTGCAGGCTGTGGACCAGGTTGCTCTTCTCCCTTCAGGACAAGGGGAGCGGGAGCAGAGGGGATGCTGGGGCTGCTCTCTCCAGGGAAGGTGGCTGGCTGCTCCTCTAGCCATGAGCTACATCCTCCCGTCTTCCAAGGCACCTGCCTCCAGGAAGCCTTCCCTGACCCTGCCCATAGCAGACTCATTTCACTCACACACTCCAGCAGAAGAACCTGGCTTTCCTTCTCCCCAGCCCGCCCACTTAGAGTGGATGGAGGTGCTGGCGTGATCTCTAAGCACTCTACCACGTAGAAGAGGCCAGGCTAGGCTCCTGGGACACACAGGCAATTGTGCCACCAGTTCTGCTAGGCCATGTGACCAGGAAATGTCCCCTAGAACACCCCATGCCCCTCAATTCTGGGAAGCCTGATAGAGCTGAGTCTGCAGATCCCACAGCTTCCTGCTACACAGGCACATGGTGGCCACGGCAGGGGAGGGAGGAGAAGGGAACAACTAGGACCCCAAAGACTTGCTGTGAGCTGCCACTTTCCCCACTGGTGGTAGGTGCAAAAAAACTTCAAGACGTGATTTTTTTTTTTTTTTTTTTTTGAGATGGAGTCTCGCTCTGTTGCCCAGGCTGGAGTGCAGTGGCACGATCTCTCCTCACTGCAAGCTCCGCCTTCTGGGTTCACGCCATTCTCTTGCCTCAGCCTCCCGAGTATCTGGGAATACAGGCGCCCGCCACCACGCCTGGCTAATTTTTTTTTTTTTTTTTTTTTTTTTTGAGACGGAGTCTCGCTTTGTCACGCAGGCTGGAGTGCAGTGGTGCCATCTCGGCTCACTGCAACCTCTGCCTCCCGAGTTCATGCCATTCTCCTGCCTCAGCCTCCCGAGTAGCCGGAACTACAGGCACTCGCCACGATGCCCGGCTAATTTTTTATATTTTTAGTACAGATGGGGTTTCACCCTGTTAGCCAGGTTGGTCTCAATCTCCTGACCTCGTGATCCACCCGCCTCGGCCTCCCAAAGTGTTGGGATTACAGGCGTGGGCCACCGCGTCCAGCAATTTTTTTGTTTTTACACACAGTCTCACTCTTGCCTAGGCTGGAGTGCAGTGACACAATCTCACTGCACTCCACACAGCTTGCTGCAATCTCCACCTCCAGAGTTCAAGCGATTCTCCTGCCTCAGCCTCCCGAGTAGCTGGGATTACAAGCGCCTATCACCACGCCCAGCTAATTTTTGCATTTTTATTTAGAAGTGGGGTTTCACCATGTTGGCCAGGCTGGTCTCAAATTCCTGACCTCAAGTGATCTGCACGCCTCGGCCTCCCAAAGTGCTGGGATTACAGGCGTTAGCCACTGTGCCTGGGCAATTTTTTTTATTTTTAGTAGAGATGGGGTTTCGCCATGTTGGCCAGTGCCTGCGGGACAAGACCGACGGCGCCACGCAGGTGTTCCTCTAGGGCCTGCCGCTCACTCTCGCTGTCGCTAAGCTGCTTCCGCAGGGTGCCCAGCAGGTCCTGGCTTGCCTCATAGCGCCCACGCATGTTCTGGGGCGTGGGGATCACAGAGTCTAGCGGGGGTCCTTTGAGGCCTCCAGAGCCCACCTACTCTCTTCTGGTTCCAGGGATACACACTAGCCTACGCTAGGCGGGGTCCAGGGCCTGGACCTGCCCTGGGGCAGGATAGGGGCCTAGGCCTGAGAGCCAGGCTTCCACTCCCCTCCTATGTGCCCTCACCACCCTCTGAACCCTCATCTCCCTGGGGTCCCGGACAACTCCTATCAAAGCCCCCGGGATGCCAGACAAACTCCCAGGCACACTCGTCTCCTGGGTTCTGATCCCACCCCCAGGGCTCCCAGGCTCCTCCCCCTTGCATCCTGGTTCCACTCTCACACTCCTCCCTACCCTGGCTCTGCCCCTAGTTCCCAAGCTCTCATCCTAGGCTGTGATTTCCCTTGCTAGACCTTTTCCCAGGGTCCTGGCTCTGTATGACCAGGGACCTGTCTCCCTCTCTACCAGGACCCTAACACTGCCGCAGCCTCCTCCCTCCACCGGCTGCCCAAGCACCCACCCCCAGCTGCCCAAGCACCCCCACTTCTGGGCTGGCTTCAGCGCAGAGCCCTCGGCCACCTCCTTGGGGGTCCTGACACCCTCAGACACTATTTCTCAGGGCTCTGGCTGCACCCCAGGGCGCTCAGACTCCTCCCCCAGACACGCCCCCACCCCCACCTGGAGGGCGCGAGCCCCTCCCCCTGGGCCTCTGGCTGCGCCCAGAAAACTCAAGCCCCTTCCTACCTGGACCTTCAGCTGGCAAAAGTGCAGGGCGGAGAGAATCAGGGCAAGCGAGCGTGGAGTCGTCTGAGCAGGCCGGGGAGGGGCCTCTGCGGGGCGAACGGCCTCGGCCCGGCGAGGAGCGCCGCGGTGGAGACGGGGTCCGCTGGCCCGAGAGCCCCCGCAGGCTGCGGTCGGACGCTGTTGGACGCAGGCTGCCGCTCTCAGCGTCAGACAGGACGGCCTGAGGGTAAGGGAGGGAAGCAGGAGGCCGCAGAGTTAGGAACTTCGGGGTTAGCTGGCAAAAACGACCAGGGGAGGCTGGGGGCCGCCTCATCCCAAATGCTCCCGCTTACAAGAAGCCTTCTGATTTCACCTCCTCCACTAGCTCAGTCCTCAGCTCGCCGCTGAGGCATCCCATTTATTGCGAAGACATCATTTGGCATTGCTCACAGGTGGGCTCCGAGAGGGCCGTGCCTCCCCTCTGAGACTGGGGGCTCCCCAGGGCAGAGGCCGGGTGAGCTAGCAGGGGTGCTGAGCAGCTACAGCCTGGGTCCCAGGGCCCCACCCATCTGCAGTTCAATCCGAAGCCACCGAAAGGCGAGGCGGGGGAGCCCAGGACCGCCTGGCAGGGCCCTGTCTTCCCACCTTTCTGGGCTCACACCTGTGCCAAGTCCCTTAGGCTCTGCTGTAGCCCCTCTCCGTCCTCTGTCTCCAGGGCCGCCTGCTCCTGTAGCCGCAGGGATTCCTGGAGTGCGGTGAGGGAGACAAAGAGTGGTCGGGGTTCTGTCTTACCTGAAACCTCCCCTTTCCCTCCCTCCCTGGCCCACCACTGATCAGGTGGCCTCTGAAGCCATGTCCATAGGCCAGCCACCTGGTAGACCCCACAGCAGGCCCGAGGCCCTCAATGAACAGACCAGGCCCAGAGAAGAGCTGGGTTCTGCCCCAGGTCACACAGTCGATTGCAGGAGAGCTGGACCTAGAACCCAGGCCAGGCCCCACACAGAGGGGTGACCAAACCAGGCTGGACCCTGGGGGAGTGAGTGTCCCACTGGTGGGGGTGGACAGTTGGGATTCCAAAGGCAGCATCTGGACCTGGAGAGCGTGGATGGGAGTTCAAGTCCCAACTCTCCTGCTTACTGGCTCTGAGACTGGACAAGCATTTCCCCTCTTGGGCCTCAGTTTCCCATCCGTGTCATTAGGATTACTCTACAGGGCTGCTGGGAGGGAGAAATGGGATGGAGGAAGTGAGTGTGCTTCCCACAAAGCCTGCACACCTGTGTGGGCTGAACCTGAGTGTGAGTGGGATGCTGGGGGTGGCCCAGGCAGCCCAGCCCTAAGCCTGTGTCCATGGATCTGGCCGGTACCCCATCCCACCCTGCCCCATCTCAGGGGCAGCTGAAGCTCACCAGGGCCTCAAGCTTCTCGGTGAGGTCCTTGTCGACCTGATCCTTCTCCAGATTCTGCTTCTGAAGACGCTTCACTGCCAGGCCCAGCTCTGTCACTCTGGAGTTGGGGGAGCAACAGAGGTGAATACGGGACCACCCCAGCCTCTCAAATCCACTAGCTCTGTGTCCACCATGCTTCTCCAAACCCGAGGCAGGGACCCTAACATCCACCTCCCTGGCTGTGTGACCTTAAACAAGTTGTGGCTCCTCTCCAGACCTCACACTTCTCATCTGTGAAATGGGAATGAGGTTCCCACCAGCTTTATCTCATGGGAAAGCACTGGAGGACTTATCCAGGTGGCAGGAGTAAGGGGCACAAGTTGTTTTTTTGTGGTTTTCTTTTGAGACAGAGTTTCGCTGTGTCGTCCAGGCCGGAATACAGTGATGTGATCTTGGCTCACTGCAACCTCCACATCCTGGGTTCAAGCGATTCTCCTGTCTCAGCCTCCCTCGTAGCTGGGATTAGAGGCACACACCACCACACCCGACTAAGTTTTGTATTTTTAGTAGAGACAGGGTTTCGCCTATTGGGCAGGCTGGTCTTGAGCTCCTGACCTCAGGTAATCTCCCACCTTGGCCTCCCAAAGTGCTGGGATTACAGGTGTGAGCCACAGCACCCGGCCACAAGTTCTGTCATAGGAGGCTAAGCTGTTTATGATAAACACTGGGCAACTGCCTTCGGAACCTCAGTGGGGTGCCTGGGAAGGCTGGCTGAGCTCACAGAGGAAGGCCCTGCTCCTAGTGAACAGATGCTCCCTTCTCCCCAACTCTCCAGTTTTACCTTCTGCAGTGACGCCTGCCTCGTGCAGCACCCACCAGGGACCCTCCTGGCACTGAGGTCAGCCTTGTCCAGGTCGCTTTGCATCTGCTGCTGGGACAGGTCCTTCTCGTGGAGCACCTTGTCCCGCAGCTGCTCCTCCAGCTGGGCCTGCTTCTCCAGGGCTGGCTCGACCCGGCTCTCTGCCAGCCGCAGGCCTGTGCTCATTCCCAGGCCGGCCTCCTGGACAGCTCCCCTCCTAGCTGCAGCGGGTCCCTTGGGAAGAGAACACAGGATGGGGATGGGATGGGGCTCACTCCCAACTACAAATTAAAACTAGTCTGGGGCTGGGTATGGCGGCCCACACCTATAATCCCAGCACTTTGGGAGGCCGAGGCGGGCAGATCACCTGAGGTCAGGAGTTCGAGACCAGCCTGGCCAACATGGTGAAACCCCATCTCTACCAAAAATACAAAAAATTAGCCAGGTGTGGTGGTGCACTCCTGTATTCCCAGCTACTTGGGAGGCTGAGGCAGGAGAATTGCTTGAACCTAGGAGGAGGAGGTTGCAGTAAGCTGAGATCATGCCACTGCACTCCAGTCTGGGCGACACAGCCAGACTGCGTCTCAAAAAAATAAATAAATAAAAAATAAATAAAACTACACTGGGCTGGGTGCGGTGGCATGCACCTGCAGTCCCAGCTATGCGGGAAGCTGAGGCAGGATTGCTTGAGCCCAGGAATTTGAGGCCAGCATGGGAAACATAGTGAGAGTCCATCTCAAAAACTAAAGAGGAAGAAGAAAAAAAAAACAACCCTACACTGGGATGCCATTTGTCCACTATCAGATTGGGAAAAAAAAAAAGGGACACATAATACACAAAGAGAGGCTCTGGGGCAACAGGCCTTCCCCTACACAGCTGGTGGGAGGGTGAGTACAATCACAATGGAGGGCACTGAGGGAGATCTTCGAAAACTATGCAGGCATAGGACCTTCCCCACCGGCTCCTCCTCTAAGAATGGATCCTACAGATATACCCCAGCACAGAGGAGATGGCTTGTGGACAAGGAGGTTCACTGCAGCATTGCTCATGTAAGATATCCTGGTGACAACCTAAATGTCTATCAAAAGGGGACTGCTACTAAGTACATGATGGTACATCCTTTAAGTGGAGAACTGTGGCCAAGAAAAACCAGTGGAGAAGTTCTTCCTGGCCTGATCCAGAGCCACCTCCCAGTTATAACTAGTAGGTGAAAAAAGCATCTTCAAGAACTGTGAAGATGAAATTTTACCAGGCGTATATACAAAAAAGTGTGTGTGTGTGTGTGTGTGTGCGCGCGTGTGTGATCTGATTTGCTCATATAAAATAACCCTGGAAGGTCACTTAAGAAACTGATAGGCCAGGCACGGTGGCTCATGCCTGTAATCCCAGCACTGTGGGAGGCCGAGGCGGGAGGGTCACCTGAGGTCAGGAGTTCAAGACCAGCCTGGCCAATATGGCGAAATCCCGCCTCTATTAAAAATACAAAAATTAGCCGGGTGTGGTGGCTCATTCCTGTAATCCCAGCTACTTGGGAGGCGGAGGTGGGAGAATCACTTGAACCCGGGAGGCAGAGGTTGCAGTGAGCCAAGATCGTGCCACTGCACTCCAGCCTGGAGACTCGCAGCACAGCGAGACTCCATCTCAAAAAAAAAAAAAAAAGAAAAAAGAAAAAGAAACTGACAATGCTTCTTACGGTAACTTGGTGGCCAAAAAAAAAAAAAAAAGAAAGAAAATAATTGTATATATAAAAAGAAAAAGAAGCTGATGATGCTGCTTGCCTCCAAGGAAGGAATGGGAATATCTGGGGTCAGAGGTGGGAGGGAGCCATTTTACTGTGTACCCTTTTGAAATGTGAATAGGTGACTTCATCAAAAGTAAAATATAAAAATTTGAAAGGCTACTTACAAAATTTTTTTTTGTTTTTGTTTCTTTTTCAGATGGAGTCTCGCTCTGTTGCCCAGGCTGGAGTGCACTGGTTTGACCTCGGCTCACTGCAACGTCCGCCTCTCCGGTTCAAGCGATTCTCCTGCCTCAGCCTCCCGAGTAACTGGAATTACAGATGTACGTCACAACACCCAGCTAATTTTTGTATTTTTAGAAGAGACGGGGATTCACCATGCTGGCCAGGTTGGTCTTGAACTCCTGAGCTCAGGTGATCCACCCGCCTCAGCCTCCCAAAGTGCTGGGATTACAGGCATGAGCCACGACGCCTGGCCTTAAAATACATTAAAAATTATTTGTATTTTAAAAAATTAAAATGTATTTTAAGGCCAGGCGTGGTGGCCCATTTCTTGAGACATAGCAAGACCCTGTCTCAAAAAAAAAAAAAAAAATTAGCTGGGTATAGTGGTGAACACTTATAGTCCCAGCTATTTGGGAGGCTGAGGTGGGAGGATCACTTGAGCCTGGGAGGTCAAGCCTAACATGAGTTGTGATTGTGCCACTGCACTCCAGCCTGGGCGACAGAGAGAGACTGTCTCAAAAAAAAAGTATTTTAAGTCCATAATACAGGTTAAATCCTTTCCTTTCCTTTCCTGAATGAACTGTACCACTGGTTATCCAATAGTAAGGAGGGAAAGTGCCTCATTATAGAATTCTAATTAATATACACAGGAGTGACTAAATGAGAAGCTCACAGTTTTGCAGCCTCTAATGAGTGGGTTGGATCTTGAAAAGAGAGACAGCTGGCATAGGGACATCCTGATGGAAGAACACATTCTACTTATGGAGTCTTGATCAAACGAAAAAGCAAGCAGAAGAGCCTGAATCTGACCTAGCTTTACATCCAACATCCAATTTACAGGAAATACATGGGATAAAGAAATATGTTAATTGACACCATAAGGATGCAACCAGCAAAATCCAGACCATGAGAATCTCCAAGGACAACTAGCCCAGTTTCCTGAACAAATAAGTTAAAAAGGACTTCAAAGACAAAGCATGGGCCGGGCACGGTGGCTCACTCTTGTAATCCCAGCACTTTGGGAGACCAAGGTAGGTGGATCACCTGAGGTCAAGACCAGCCTGGCCAACATGGTGAAGCTCCCATGTCTACTAAAAATACAAAAGTTAGCTGGGCGTGGTGGCGCACTCCTGTAATCCCAGCTACTCAAGAGGCTGAAGCCATAGAATTGCTGAACCCAGGAGGCAGAGGTTGTAGTGAGCCAAGATCCTGCCACTGCACTCCAGCCTGGGCAACAAAGCGAGACTCCATCTCAAACAAACAAACAAACAACCAAACAAACAAACAAAACAAAGCAACCATTCGCACTTTGTGAATGTCTATGGATCCGGATTCAAACAAATTGTAAAGAAAAAACTAAAGCAAGACTATCTGTGACTTTTTATTTATTTATTTATTTTGAGACAGAGTTTCACTCTGTCACCCAGGCTGGAGTGCAGTGGTGTGATCTCGACTCACTGAAACCTCCGCCTCCTGGGTTCAAGCGAGTCTGGTGCCTCAGCCTCCCCAGTAGCTGGGATTACAGGCATGTGTCACCACACCTGGATAATTTTTGTATTTTTAGTAGAGATGGGGGTTTCACCATGTTGGCCAGGCTGGTCCCGAACTCCAGACCTCAGATGATCTGCCCGCCTTGGCCTCCCGAAGTATTGGGATTATAGGTGTGAGCCACTGCACCTGGCCTATCTGTGGCATTTATGAGACATATGGAAAATTTAGACGCTGGCTATTTGATGATATTAAGAAAAGATTATTAAACCAGGTGCAGTTTCTCATGCCTGTAATCCCAGCACCTTGGGAGGCCAAGGCAGGAGGATCACTGGGGCACAGGAATTCTAGACCCGTCTGGGCAACAAAGTGAGAACTCGACTCTACGAGAAATAAAAAAATCAGCAAGCCTGGTGGCATGGACCCGTGGTCCCAACTGCACAGGACCTGAGGTAGGAGGATTGCTTCAGACCAGGAGGCCAAGGCTGCAGTGAGCCATAAAGAAAAGAAAAGATTACTAACTAAAAGTAAGTCCTTGATATCAGCCAGATGACACTAAATCCCATCCATTCCCCTGAGCTCACAGGGGGGCTGCCTAGACTCCAGAAAAAAGGCTGTACCTAGTCCTAGACTCTGGCATGCAGGAGGTCAGAAGGCTGAATTCTCCACTAAACTCAAAAGTATAACCAGTCCAGACTGGGTGTGGTGGCCCATGCCTGTAATCCCAGCACTTTGGGAGGCCGAGGCGGGCAGATCACCTGAGGTCAGGAGTTCGGGACGAGCCTGGCCACATGGTGAAACCCCATCCCTACTAAAAACACAAAAATTAGCTTGGCGTGGTGGCACATTCGTATAATCCCCGCTACTCGGGAGGCAGAGGCAGGAGAATCGCTTGAACCTTGGTGGGGCAGAGGTTGTAGTAAGCCGAGATCGTGTCATTGTACTTCAGCCCGGGCAACAAGAGTAAGACTCTGTCTCAAAAAAAAAAAAAAAAAAAAAGTATGTGGCCGGGTGCGGTGGCTCACGCCTGTAATCCCAGCACTTTGGGAGGCTGAGGCGGGCAGATCATGAGGTCAGTAGTTCAAGACCAGCCTGGCCAACATGGTGAAATTGCGACTCTACTAAAAATACAAAAAGTAGCTGGGCGTGGTGGCATGTGCCTGTAATACCAGCTACTTGGGAGGCGGAGGCAGGAGAATTGCTTGAACCTGGGAGGCGGAGGTTGCAGTGAGCCATGATCGCACCACTGCACTCTAGTCTGGGTGACAGAGCAAGACTCCGTCTCAAAAAAAAAAAAAAAAAAAAAAAAAGTAGCCCTCTCTAAGTCTTAATTCCTTCATCTGTAAAAACAGAATAATGACTTATGTTAGAGATGCTGTGAAGAGCCCAGGGAATAACAAGTGCTGTCTGCATACCACATAACCTGTCCGCTCTCAAAGGTGGCTGGGCTGATGATGTCTGGAAGAAGAAGGCTGGGAGAAATGCTGGTTCCCAAAGTGGTCAGTACCAAGGCCACCTAGTCCAACCCTTGCCCCTAGGCCTGTGGTTCCTTTGGGGCAGATTCCAGTCTCGCCACCACCCAGCCAGGGGAGTCTGTGTTGAATGGGCCATGTCCTGGAAGTATGAAAGGCTCAGCCCTCTGAGCTGCTGGATGGCTCTGTCCTGTACCCGCCAGTCCATAAATGGTCAGCAGAGCACATGGCCCACCTACCCGAGCCAAAGGAGTTGGGAAAAATCTGTCTGGGTGGCCCCCTCATCCTCTCAACACACAGGCCTAGAGGGAAAAGGGTACTGTCTAATGCCAGTCAGTGCTGTCCTGAGCTCAGCTGCTAAGAATAGCAGGGAGTGAGGTGGTGGTAACCAGCAGGACTCAGGCAGAACAGAGGCCCATTACACACCTGGCTGCCCACAGGCTGCCACCACCTGCTCTTCCACCTTTCATGCCAGTTCCTACCCTACTCATCCACACAGACAGAAAGCTCTGGAAGGGGACGAAGGTGGGACAAAGCACCCTGACAAAGTAGCCACTACCCAGGCTCAGGGATCACATATTCCCCCAGTGTAAGCCACTCCCAGCCCTGAGCTGTAGGAGCAGAGATGCACAAAGGCCCCTCCCCACTGCTGCTCTGTCCCAGGCCAAGGCCAGGTGGTGGCTATGCAGTCGGGGTGCTCAGCTAGTAGCATAGAAGGCTAAAGCCAACCCCATCTCTGAATACCCCAGTGGACCAAGGATAAAGGAGCCTTTCTCAAAAGCAGTTACAGGCCAAGCATGGTGGCTCACACCTGTAGTCTCAGCACTTTGGGAGGCTGAGGTGGGAGAATCACTTGAGCCCAGGGGTTTGAGACCAGCCTGGGTGACACAGTAAGACCCTGCCTCTTAAAAAAAAAAAAAATTTAGCTGGGTGTGTGGCATGTGCTTGTGGTCCCAGCTATGTGGGAGGCTGAGGTGGGAGGATTCCTTGAGCCTGGAACTTTGAGGTTGCAGTGAGCTATGACTGGGACATAGCGAGACCCTGCCTCAAAAGAAAACAGTTCTTAACAAGCCCACACTTGGAGCGGCTACTCTTGTACCTGTCCCCCAAAGTCGTGTGCCTGATCCTGAGAGCAGACTGCACATATCTGTGGGCAGTCGGCCTGAGACAGCCACCACTGAGTGCCTACAGCACGGCCCATTTGGCCAAGACCAGCAACTTCCCTGACCTTTTTGGATCTCCTAGGTCCCAGTTCAGGGCCCTGAATCCCCACAACCACTGACTGACGGCCCTACCACCTGCTGTCTCTCCTGGCGGCCACAGCAGCAGCAGCAGCAGCAGGACCATCTCTGGTATCACATGAGGTAGGGATCAGATGGCTCTGAGAACAGGCCAGGACTGAGTATGGGGTGGGGGTGGGCAGGAACTCTCTGCAAGCAGGCACTTTCTGACCACCACAATTGCTTAAATAGAACAGGTAATGATGCTGCCTTTTGGACCTGCCTAAAGAGCAGAAGTCGTAAAAGACAGAACAGCTAAGGCTGATAAGGGGGTGAGAGACAGGGACAACCGTGCCTCACTGCAGGGACGGAGAACCTACTTGATCCTTTGAAGAAGTAATCTGGCAACAGTCTTAAAAGTGACTGCAGTTCAAACACTCTAGCCACACGACTCCAGCCCTGGGCATCCTCACAGCATTGTTTACAAAGGCAAAAGTCCTTCCAAACTAGGGCACTTGTATGGGCCACAGCAGACCCCCTGGCCCTAAAGATGCTCAGTAAGATACATTGATAATGTGGAAAAATACTCACGGGATAACATTTGATAATAAAAATAGGATGCAAACTTCTGGAAGTGAGGGACATGTCCATTACCTTGATGGTACTGATGGTTTCACGGGTTTTATCTATATGTTAACACTTATCAAATTGTACACTTTAAGTGTGTGTAGTTTATTGTATATTAATCGTAGCTCAATAAAAATGTTTTAAGAAAAGAACTGAAGGTGACAAATTTTTTTAAAGTTTTCTATACAGCATAATCTGAACTACATACATTATAAGATAAACAGACATGAAGTTAAAAAGCTTCTGCATAGCAAAGTAAACGATCAACAAAGTGAAGAGACAGACCACAAATGGGAGAAAATATTTGTAAACTACCCATCTGACAAGGGATTAATAACCAGAATACATAAAGAACGCAAACAACTATATAGGAAAAATACTAATAATTCCATCAAAAGATGGGCAAAAGATACGAACAGACATTTCTCAAAAGAAGACATACAAATAGCAAACAGGCATATGGAAAGGTATTCAACGTCACTGGTCATCAGAGAAATGCAAATCAAAACTACAATGAGATATCATCTCACCCCAGTTAAAATGGCTTTTATCCAAAAGACAGGCAACAACAAATGCTGGCGAGGTTGTGGAACCCCTGTACGCTGTTAGTGGAAATGTAAATTATAATAGTGCAATCACTATCGAGAACAGTTTGGAGGTTCCTGAAAAAACTAAAAATTGATCAGGTGTGGTGGCTCATGCCTGTAATCTCAGCACTTTGGGACGTCGAGGTGGCAGGATGACCTGAGGCTAGGAGTTCGAGACCAGCCTGGCCAACACAGCGAAACCCCATCTGTACTAAAAATACCAAAATTAACTGGGCGTGGTGGTGTGTGCCTATAATCCCAGCTACACGGGAGGCTGAGGCAGGAGAATTGCTAGAACTCGGGAGGCAGAGGTTGCAGTGAGCCAAGATCATGCCACTGCACTCCAGCCTGGGCAACAAGAGCAAAACTCCATCTCAAAAAAAAAAAAAAAAAAAAAAAAAAAAAAAAAAAAAGGCCAGGCACACTGGCTCACGCCTGTAATCCCAGCACTTTGGGAGGCCGAGGCGGGTGGATCACGAGCTCAGGAGATCAAGACCATCCTTGCTAACACGGTGAAACCCCGTCTCTACTAAAAAGACAAAAAATTAGCTGGACCTGGTGGCGGGCGCCTGTAGTCCCAGCTACTTGGGAGGCTGAGGCCCAAGAATTGCGTGAACCTGGGAGGCGGAGCTTGCAGTGAGCTGAGATTGCGCCCCTGCGCTCCAGCCTGTGCCACAGAGCAAGACTCTGTCTCAAAAAAAAAAAAAATTTTTCAAAAAGAAAAAACTAAACTAAAAATTGAGCTACCATATGATCCAGCAATCCCACTGCTGGGTATATACCTGAAAGAAGGGAAATCAGTATATCGAAGAGATATATACCTCAAAGAAGGGAAATCAGTATATCGAAGAGATATCTGCATTCCCATGTTTGTTGCAGCACTGTTCACAATAGCCAAGATTTGGAAGCAATCTAAGTGTCCATCAACAGATGAATAAATAAAGAAAACACGGTACAGATACACAACAGAGTACTATTCAGCCGTAAAAAAGAATGAGATCCTGTAATTTGCAACAACATGGATGGAACTGGAGGTCATTATGTTAAGTGAAATGAGCCAGGCAGAAAAAGACAAACACTGCATGTTATCACTTATTTGTGAGAGCTAAAAATTAAAACAATTGAACTCATAGAGGCAAAGTACTGGATGGTTACCACAGGCTTGGAACGGTAGTGTAGGGCTTGTGGGGAGATGGGGATGGCTAATGCGTACAAAAAAATCGAATTAATAAGACCTGTCTGGTAGCAGAACAGAGTGACTGTAGTAAATAATAATTGTACATTTAAAAATAACTAAAAGAGTATAACTAGATTGTTTATAACACAAAAGATAAATGCTTGAGGGGATGGATACCCCATTTACCATGATGTGATTATTACGCATTGCATGCCTGTGTCAAAGTATCTCATATACCCTATAAATACATGTACCTGCTACATACCCACAAAAATTAAAAATTAAAAATGTAACACAAAGAAAGAAAACAGAAAAGAATCGCATTTGAATAGTCATGTTAAAATAACAAGATAGCAGGTGCTTTTCCTTCTTTTTTTAGAGACAGGGTCTTGCTCTGTCACCCAGGCTAGAGTGCAGTGGCATGCAGAGGCCAGCTCACTGCAGCCTCAACCTCCTAGGCTCAAGTGATCCTCCCACATCAGCCTCCCTAACAGCTGGGACTACAGGTGCACACCACCATGCCCAGGTAATTTCTGTATTTTATTGTAGAGATGGGGTCTGGCCATGTTGCTCAGGCTGGTCTTGAACTCCTGGACTCAAGCAATCTACCCACCTTGGCCTCCCAAAGTGCTGCGATTACAGGTGTGAACCACTGTGCCTGGCCCTCTAAGTTTCTGCTAAAATGTACTTGTAACTTTTACACTGACTACACTCAAAAGTATTAAACTTGTAAAGAAAAGGCCCTGGAGGAGTTTGTTCTTTACAAGGTCAGTCAGAAGCTACAAGGGGCCAGGCTGGGGCCAAGGTGAGGGCAGGTACATGCAGGGGCAGATGCTGGGTGTGGAGTAGGTGCCAGGTGCTAGCTGGGCATGAATGTGCACCCGCTCCCTGACCTCTGCTCCCTGACTCTCACAAGGAACTAGCACTGCCTGGAGACAGGAAGAAGCAGAGTACGGAAGGCAGACTCTCTGGCCAGAGATCTCGCAGCCAGGAGCACAGTGAGAACAGAGCCTAAGCCTATCTGTCCAGAGCCCAGGCTCCCTTTCCCTACAACTGCAGCCTCCTTATTCTGCTCTGGCCCAGCAGAGTGAGGAGGGGCCGCCCACCCAGCCATACCTGCCGGTGGCTGCTGGGGGTGCATGGTCAGAAGAGGAAAGATGCGGTTCAGGTAGTCATTCAGCAGCTTCTCCTGCACAATGCCTGAGCCACAAGTCAGAAGGGAGAAAAGGGCCACATGATGAGTGCAGCTCCTGGCCCCTGCTGGCCCCAGAGACTTCTGGTCCTAGGCCAGCCACAGGTGCAGCAAGGCCTGAGGCCTTTGTCCCTTCCTTCTCCTCCCAACAAGAGGAGCCTCCTTCCTTCTCTGCCAGCCCTTACCTGTGACCCTGGATTTCTCAGCATCTGAGGTCAGCCTACAGCTCTTGCGGGAGAAAGACACGCCGGCCCCCTTGGATGCCATCCTTCGTCTCTCATGGGCAGCCAGTGGTCCTGGAGGCTGAGGCAGACACAGAGCCTGTCTACTCAGGGCCAGCCAGGGGCCCCCACACCTGACCTCAGTCCTGCCATGGCGGGAAGTCTTGGGAGCAGGTGAGGCCAGGGGCATGCACACTAACACATAGGACAGGGGAATGCAGGGGCTCCCAGCTTCCTACACAGGCAGGGTAGCCAGGGTCTAGGCCCATGTAACAGGGACCACTTCTTGTTCTCCAGTGTCCCTGTGCCCAGCACAGGGCTGGGCAGAGAGCAGGTACCAGATATATTTTTGCCAAACCATAACAAAATGTCTCAGCTCTGTGGAAATCAGACCAAAATGTCCAAAGTGAGGTGTCCTAGGGGCAGAGCCCCTGTATTCATCTCGGTTGTAAGCCATACTGAGTCCAGCTCACAACCAGAAGCGACAATCCTACACATTCCCCCAAGTGCAGACCACCACTGGTCTGGTCATCTCTAGCCATAAGTCCCACTTACTCCCCACAAGGCTGGAGCCTCTTTCCTCAGCCCTGGGTTCCTCCCTTCTTTGATCCATGGTCCTGATAGTTTCACTGTTCCCACTGACACATGTGGCCTCCCACCTCATCCAAGCACCACCCTTGCCCAGCCCTCATGGCAAACTCCATTGGTCCTCCTAGTGCATCTATCCCTCACATCATGTTGCTGCTGCAGCTGCTCCAAAACCTGCACTGAGTCCCTGGTGCTGGCCTCACTGATGTGTAGCTGTGCTGTCCAACACAGCAGCCGTCATCCACGTGAGGTTACTTAAATTTAAAGTTTTAAAAATTAACAATTCGATTTCTCAGTTGCCTCAGCCACATTTCAAGAGTTCAATGACCACATGTGGCTAACGGTTACTCTATTGGACAGCACAAAGGTAGAACATTCCCACCATCATATAAAGTTCTATTAGACAGCGCAGGTCTAGAGTTTCGCTCTGCAGCACTGCCTTAGCCAGCACTCCCTACTCTGCCGTTCAGTCTCTTATCTCGCCCCAAACAGACCCTCTACTCCCGCCACAAACCCCTGTGGGTCTGCACCACGCCTGCTCCTCGGGAAGGTGATTTTCCGGACCTCGGGCCCTCGGTGGGCCTCCATGATCGGTGCCCCTTCACTACCAGAGTAGTTGAAGATCTGATTAAATGCAGTCATTCATTTGATGAGCAGACCTTCCAGACACCCACTCCTGGTGTCAGTTGCTGAGGACCCAGGTGAGAGGCGGACCTTGTCCCCGCCCGGGGACTCCCCGTCACGGCTATCCCGTCCAACCTCGCCGGGGTATCCGGGCTCAGAACTGAACCTACTCCGTCTGGGAGCCCAAGGATGGCTCCCCCAAGTCGCCCCCGCCTGGCCCCAAGCTCCAGAGGACCTGCCAGACCAGCTTCCGCTCGGAGTTTCGCACTCAGATCCCGGCGCTGCAGGTGCCCTCGCACTGGACTAAACTGGACCGCGAAGGGAATAGCCGGAACCCGCCAGGCTCAGAGCCCTGCCGCCCCTCACTCACCCCGAGCCTCGGCCGCCGCGACCCGGTTCACAACATCCGCCCAACCTCTCGGCTACGGCGTCCGTTCAGGGCCAAATCACGCGCACGCTCGCGCGCTGAGCCTCCAGCCGCGCACGCGCACCGGCCCGCGCCCAGCCTCCGCGAGGGGACCCCCTCCGTGGCTTCCCACCGGTTTGTTCCAGGCCTCAGCTTCGCCGAAAGGCCTCACCACCTCCGACCTCCGCCTGCCCTGGGGATGCTCCCAGCCCTGCTGCGGCAGAACGCGACGTGCTAACCGGAATCCCTAGGCCGCCTGTCTCCTACCCATACTTGGAGGCCCCGCTCAGACGGTCCTGAAAACGTCTGAAAGGCGGTTCCTGCCAGAGTCCCTGCTACCTGTTACCTCCACCCCTATTTAGTCCTAGTGGACAGCCTCGCTCACCTTCCCTGGGATGACACTTCTGGCGGCTGAGATGAGCGAGCCTCTCTGGGCTCTGCCGCCGGGCGTGGGCTGACCTGCCTACAGCTGGGGCCTGATAAGGCAGCAGCAAAAGAGTGGAGGGGAGGCAGTGTTGAAGCTGGGGCAAGTAATTTTCCCCAATTTACAGGGAAAAACCGAAATTCAGAAAAGTTTAATGTCAGCCAGGGGCTGGAACCCAGACCTCTGGCAGCTGTCACTTTCACTATGCCCTTGGGCTGACTAGGCTGCAGAGGGGTTTCACCCCAACCCCAGGGCACCTCAAGTGTCCCCACCAAACCTTCCTAACACCTGACCACTAAGTAGGGAGGCCTCTCAGGGGGCTAGCTGTGCTAGGCCCTTGCAACTGACCTGTGGGACCTGAGGCCTGGCCCCTCATGGCTCCTGTCACCAGGTCTCAGGTCAGGGTCCAGCAGGCCCTGAGCTGACGTGCGGAGCCAGAGCCACCCAATCCCGTAGGGACAGGTTTCGCAACTTCCCGGATGGGGCTGTGGTGGGTCACAGTGCAGCCTCCAGCCAGAAGGATGGGGTGGCTCCCACTCCTGCTGCTTCTGACTCAATGCTTAGGGGTCCCTGGTGAGTGCCCCCAACCTTGATCCCCATCTGCCTTCAGGAGGGGCTTGACCCCATTCTCCTATTCTGGGATGAGAAAAAAGTCAGGGAGCCAGAGGCTCAGTGGGCATGGGGCAGTGACCTTGGCCTCTTGAGCACAGCTGGGAAGCCCTAGGAACACATAGACACGGCCCACTTAGGCCTCTATTAGCACGTCTGCTCTAGCACTGAAGCAGTGTTAGGACCACACAGATGCACGCACACAGCAGGCAGTGACCCCTCCTGAGCCTGATCTACCCCTCTAACCTAGCGTATGCCTTTGTGCAGGTGAGAGCCCAGATTTGGAATCTGAATGCCTAGCCAGGGCCCCTGGCTGGGTAATGTGATGGCTCTGAGCCTTAGCATTCTCATTTGAGAGATGAGATGGGGCAAGCTCCATCACCCACTGCTCTCACAGAGCGTATGTGTTAGATCTGAGCCCGGTGCCTGGGCCACTACACAGAGGCACCGGTGATAACTACCAAGTCTGGGCCTGCTTCCCAGGGGAAATTTTTTGACAAGTATCTGTGCAGGGGGGCTAGACTGGCCCTTGAAAGTGCATACAGGGTCCATCCCAGAAGCCTTGTAGCTTTGATCCCCTGAATGAACAAACTGTGGACATGCCAATACACATTACTGACATGTATGCCCACCTGACCTGCACCCACTCTGCAGGGCAGCGCTCGCCATTGAATGACTTCTAGGTGCTCCGGGGCACAGAGCTACAGCGCCGCTACAAGCGGTGGTGCCCAGGCCTTGGCAGGAGGATGTGGCAGATGCTGAAGAGTGTGCTGGTCGCTGTGGGCCCTTAATGGACTGCCGGTGAGTGGCCACTGGGCATAGATAAGACTGGGGGCAGGGGAGCCTGAGCCGTGGCGTTACCTTGTGCCTTCTTCTCTCCAGGGCGTTCCACTACAATGTGAGCAGCCATGGTTGCCAACTGCTGCCATGGACTCAACACTCGCCCCACACGAGGCTGCGGCATTCTGGGCGCTATGACCTCTTCCAGGAGAAAGGCGAGTGGGGGTGGAGAGGGGCAGGGTGGGAGACAGGGGACCTCAGCCCAAGTTGATCTTCTGTCTCTTGCTCCCAGACTACATACGGACCTGCATCATGAACAATGGGGTTGGGTACCGGGGCACCATGGCCACGACCGTGGGTGGCCTGTCCTGCCAGGCTTGGAGCCACAAGTTCCCGAATGATCACCAGTGAGACAAACACCTTCCCTCCGTCCTGGCCTGGGACCTTCCCCCAGCACACACTATAGTGATGCTCTGGGCCCTCAGGTACATGCCCACGCTCCGGAATGGCCTGGAAGAGAACTTCTGCCGTAACCCTGATGGCGACCCCGGAGGTCCTTGGTGCCACACAACAGACCCTGCCGTGCGCTTCCAGAGCTGCGGCATCAAATCCTGCCGGGTGGGTAAGCGGCGCCGGGTCAAGCTGGGAGAGTGGAGGGACAAGCCCACGCCCATCCACGAACCCACTGGCTCTTTGTCTCCAGCCGCGTGTGTCTGGTGCAATGGCGAGGAATACCGCGGCGCGGTAGACCGCACCGAGTCAGGGCGCGAGTGCCAGCGCTGGGATCTTCAGCACCCGCACCAGCACCCCTTCGAGCCGGGCAAGTACGCGTAGGCGGTATCGGCGCCCTGAGGGCCGGGCTAGGGAAGGTCCAGGACTCCAGGGGCAGGGCTCCGTGTAGGGCAACTGGGCGGGGCCAGATAAGCCAGAGTCCCAGGGTCTTCTTCACGCCCCATTACCGCCCCCAGGTTCCTCGACCAAGGTCTGGACGACAACTATTGCCGGAATCCTGACGGCTCCGAGCGGCCATGATGCTACACTACGGATCCGCAGATCGAGCGAGAATTCTGTGACCTCCCCCGCTGCGGTAGGCGGCGGGGACCAGGCCTGGGAGGGTACCTGGGAACCTTGGGGAGGGGCGTGGCTTGGCCGGGGAGGTAAGAGGGGCTGGGCGTGACCTGAGAGCATATCCGGTGGAGTACCGTACACCTGGGAAAGGCGGGTTTGGTCCCAGCCCCAGAGGGATCTCAGCTGTCGCTCGGGGCCCGACCTATCTCGGTCCATCTAAGGGTCCGAGGCACAGCCCCGCCAAGAGGCCACAAGTGTCAGCTGCTTCCGCGGGAAGGGTGAGGGCTACCGGGGCACAGCCAATACCACCACCGCGGCGTACCTTGCCAGCGTTGGGACGCGCAAATCCCGCATCAGCACCGATTTACGCCAGAAAAATACGCGTGCAAGTGAGGTGGGCGGGGGGGCGGGCGTTGGGACGTGCTGCTGCGGGTGAGACGGGAGGAGGGTAGTCACGGGCTTAGGGCTGGAGGCTGGCGGGCTAGGGCTGAGTGCAGCGCCTGCTTAGAGACCTTCGGGAGAACTTCTGCCGGAACCCCGACGGCTCAGAGGCGCCCTGGTGCTTCACACTGCGGCCCGGCATGCGCGTGGGCTTTTGCTACCAGATCCGGTGTTGTACAGACGACGTGCGGCCCCAGGGTGAGGCCCAAGCTTGGGGGCTACAGAGCCGGGGCTGGAAGCCTGGAACCGGAGGGCCGGGGCGAGGTCTCGGCCTGATGGCTGCCCGCACCCGCCGCAGACTGCTACCACGGCGCGGGGGAGCAGTACCGCGGCACGGTCAGCAAGACCCGCAAGGGTGTCCAGTGCCAGCGCTGGTCCGCTGAGACGCCGCACAAGCCGCAGTGAGTCCCTGGTGCTCCTGGCCCCGCCAGGGCCCTAACCCTGGGGCGGCATGCTTTGATGTCTGGGACCAGAGCTTGGAAATGGTTGAGACTACCCTGCCACGATTTCGCTCCCGCTCCCGCCTCGGTTCACGTTTACCTCCGAACCGCATGCACAACTGGAGGAGAACTTCTGCCAGACCCAGATGGGGATAGCCATGGGCCCTGGTGCTACACGATGGACCCAAGGACCCCATTCGACTACTGTGCCCTGCGACGCTGCGGTGAGCACTAGTGACGCTTGCCCCATGACCCTGCCTCAGCCCTCACCACCAAAGGCTGGCTCCCTTAACCCCAGTGAACTTTGTCTTTCAGCTGATGACCAGCCGCCATCAATCCTGGACCCCCCCAGGTTAGGAGTTGGGCCAGTTATGGGTCAGGCCCTTTAGCCCACGACATCCACACAGTCTGGGTTTCATCCAGCCCACCCCATCCTACAGACCAGGTGCAGTTTGAGAAGTGTGGCAAGAGGGTGGATCGGCTGGATCAGCGTCGTTCCAAGCTGCGCGTGGCTGGGGGCCATCCGGGCAACTCACCCTGGACAGTCAGCTTGCGGAATCGGTGAGGCACAACGGCCTGTCTCCCACAGAGAGGAGCTGAGGTTGTGTCCTCTGTGGTTATGCCACTGGGGGCTGGGAATCTATCCCTGCCCCCAGAGGTCCTAGCCAGAAGATGGCAGGTCTAGCATCTCTCCCAGGAGTCTGTTCCCTGTCCTAATTCCCCACTCCTCTAGGCAGGGCCAGCATTTCTGCGGGGGGTCTCTAGTGAAGGAGCAGTGGATACTGACTGCCGGCAGTGCTTCTCCTCCTGGTGAGCCTCCCTTGTGTTTGGGGACCCAGTCTCATCCCACCTTCCCCTTTCCCCAGGCAAGCTAACAAGTGAGCCTTGGGGCAACGGACTGAGAGTCACAAATGACCTAGCAGAGCTTCTCACCCAGCCATATGCCTCTCACGGGCTATGAGGTATGGTTGGGCACCCAGAACCCACAACATGGAGAGCCAGGCTTACAGCGGGTCCCAGTAGCCAAGATGCTGTGTGGGCCCTCAGGCTCCCAGCTTGTCCTGCTCAAGCTGGAGAGGTATGTGGACAACCTGGGAGGATGTGAGGTGGGGCTGAGCCTTGTGGCCTCAGACCCTGAGTGCCCCCATTCTTGTTAAAGATCTGTGACCCTGAACCAGCGTGTGGCCCTGATCTGCCTGCCGCCTGAATGGTATGTGGTGCCTCCAGGGACCAAGTGTGAGATTGCAGGCTGGGGTGAGACCAAAGGTAAGAGCATAGTGCACAGGACTGCTGGTGGCCAGGAGGCCCAGCCCTGGATCTTCCTCCAGGACCGTCTCCTTCTCCCCATTCCCCTCACTGCAGGTACGGGTAATGACACAGTCCTAAATGTGGCCTTGCTGAACGTCATCTCCAACCAGGAGTGTAACATCAAGCACCGAGGACATGTGCGGGAGAGCGAGATGTGCACTGAGGGACTGTTGGCCCCTGTGGGGGCCTGTGAGGTTGGTAGCAGGGCCCTGGGCCAGCCCTGGAAGGGTATGGGGGGCTAGAAATGAACTATTTTATCATGAAGCAGGCTAGTCATGGCTGTGGCCCGGGGCCCTCATCAGTTCTCCTACCTGCCAGGGTGACTACGGGGGCCTACTTGCCTGCTTTACCCACAACTGCTGGGTCCTGAAAGGAATTAGAATCCCCAACCGAGTATGCGCAAGGTCGCGCTGGCCAGCCGTCTTCACGCGTGTCTCTGTGTTTGTGGACTGGATTCACAAGGTCATGAGACTGGGTTAGGCCCAGCCTTGACGCCATATGCTTTGGGGAGGACAAAACTTGTAAGTACAGTCAAGGACAAGACTTGTACTCAAGGTTGAGATTTAATAAAATTAATATTTTTACTACTTCACCAAGGACTTTCTTAAACGA
The DNA here is from genome assembly GCF_000001405.40 of Homo sapiens. Taxonomy (NCBI): domain Eukaryota; kingdom Metazoa; phylum Chordata; class Mammalia; order Primates; family Hominidae; genus Homo; species Homo sapiens. The sequence goes on from NW_025791756.1 coordinate 684,068, forward strand.
AAATGGTTTTTCCCCCTGCAAGTAAACAGTAATGAAGAAGAGAATTATTCCTAGTGCAGTTTGTTTTCATGGTCTTAATTTTTGCTAAGACTCCACTGTTTTTGCCTTATCAATACAAGTGCCAACACAGTGAAGAGGCAAATATCATCTTAGTATTACTCTGAAAATAGTTCTGAGCTAATGGCCTACTGAAAGGAAAAGAGTGGCTCCTGCTATTCTATTAGACTTATTACAATTATCTTAAGTATTCTTTCTACCCTCCTTTAATTGAATGGAAACAGGGATGGATTGGAAGAGCTGTTTTTCTCCTTTCTTTCCCCCGGCAATATTTACCATTTAATGCCACTTACTAACACTCAAAGAAACAAAACCAAACTTCTCAATTGACAGTGCAGTGACCCAACAAAGACACGGGTTCTTGAATTCAAAGTGGAGCAGGAGAGACGGTAAATACACATTTACTTTAATATATATATATTTTATTATTTATGTGTTTAAAGCACAAATTAGTTTGGTAAAAAACATCTCATGTCTGTTTTATTTCCACATCCCTGAGACTGACAATGGGATGCCTATCAATTAATTCATTTAGAGAGCCATACACCACAAGAAATAAATTATTTGTCCTCTGGAGCTTGTCACAGGGGGATTTTTAAAAAACCATTAAACAGAAAGACAACTGTGCATCTTAGAAAGATAAAAGGCCAATTCTTCCTCTCCGGCTGATAGGTTCTTAATAATAGTGATATCTACTAATAAGGTGTTTTACATAGTGTAAAGCATGTTCACATACAAATTACTTAGCCTCTTTGAGCCTCAGTTTTCTTATATGTAAAACTGGATTAATAGTACATTTTGTGTTTAAAAAGATAATGTATATGAAGTGTTTACCATATTTCTTGGCATCTAGTTCAGTTCTCAGTAACTGATGTGGTGGTGGTGGTGGTCATAGTAGCAGTAAGATCCGTAGTAATAGTAGCAGCAGTTGTTTTAGAAATTAGTAACTGAGGCCTGGCAAAGTTAAAGGCTCTTTCATTAACACCCAGAGGGGAAGAAATGAAGCTGGTCTTCAGAGGCAGGCTATTTTCACTCTGTGTCCCAAATTTTCCCCCCTAGACCGTTTTTATATTCTGGGGCCTCAGAAAATATTCTCAGCTATTCTGTTAGCTTGATCTCCTACCATCTGAGAGTGGGCTTCCTTCAAACAACCAAATTTCCAGGTATTTCTAAACTGCCCTTCCCCTACACCATTCTTTGGTTCAGTATTTCAAGACCCCTAAGAGAAATGGTACATTTACATGTAAGCACAGGATAGTGAAGTATTTACAAAAGTGCTTTGGAGCCAGCAAATATGAATCAGAATCCAGCTTTCCTTTCCTACATACATGACATTGGGCAGCTAATTTCTAAGATTTTACTTCTTTATCTATGAAAGTGGAGTACTAGTACTTGCTCTGTGCAACTGTGATGGTTGTTACATGAGGTAGCATCTAGAAGCAGCTTGCACATTGCCAGACACCCAGTGGAAGGTCAATGAATGACTATTTGAGGACTAACTATTACAGAAATGTTTACTCTTCTGAGTCCTGATTTCTAGTCTCCTGGACTAAATAGGTTCACTGTTTTCCTCCCGGTTCAGTTTCCAGACACATCACAGAATTATAAGAATATTAAAAACTCAGGCTTATACCTACACAGGATTTTCTATAACCCTCTTTCTGCTTTGAGCTCCTAAAGCTATTTCATAGAAAAATGACCTTATTTTTAAATAGAGGGGGCAGTTGAAAATCAGTGAATGGGCCTACCCCCTAATGATTTTTTTCTCAGACCTAATTATAATAATTAGCATTATAAAGTGCTAATTATCTTTGGACACAGAGGACCTGCACACCAGAGACAGAGGTCCGCATTAAGTAAAGTGGATTTCACTTTCTTCAGTTGTGAGATTTCTCTTTTTTCTTCTTTGTAATGATGCAAAGATATATCTTCCACCAAGCCTCATTTAAAAGCTTTTTCCAGTTAAGGAAACTATCTCTTGGCCATCCACAGCCAGACTGCATATTGAGATTATGGATATTCAAAGAAATTGTCTTTCCTTTGTATATTGTCATAACTTTTTGTGAAATGTTTGTTTTATAGTTCCAGGCCAGCACCTAGAACCTGGCTAGAATAAAAAACTGCAGAAATCATGAGTTTCTTGTTTGGATGAAAGAGCACACCTATTAACAAATGATAGACGGCTATCCTACTGTGAGTCCTGAAAACTGGTGGTGTGATTGTTGAATGGGTTAGGGGTATAGCAGAGAAACTCAGTGTGGGCTACATACAATTTCAGCTTGAATCACACTTAACAGATCCTCTGTTCCAACCATTTAAATTTACAAAGAAGAAACTAAGGCACAGAACTACTTGAGAAGAGAAGCAGAATTGAAAACTAGAGCTCCTGATTGTTCTCAAAATAATTTTTATCATACTGCATCGGGTTCTAAGTGAGAAGGCTTCTTATTTAGTAATGCCAAGGTCATGTGTTAACATGTAAAAAAAATTAGACGAGGAATGGGGCATTGGTGTAAGATTATACAGAGTGTAAAGTTGGGCTTTCTCTTATCATCTGTTGTCAACAACAGGATGATTGTTACTGTTACCCACTCCTTACCATCATTCACACAGAGACATTGGATATTGAGGAGAGACTTTAAAACAGAATATTAGTAATGCAGAGCTATAAAGAGCCACGATCATATTAATACAATCCTCCATACACATAGTGACCTGTCTGCAGCTCCAGCCTAGAGAAACCCAGTTATTCACTTGTAGTGGGCAGCCCCATTATCAGAAAGCGCTATTCAATTGGAAATGCTCATCTGTGTTAGGTCAAAAACGACTTCCTCTAAATATCCATTCTGTGTATTGAAGTATAAATGAGTCCCACTTAAGAAAAAACAAAACAAACCAACTTCCAATGATTTAAAAATACTAACGTGACCCTCTTACGTTTACCTAAAGCTAGTGTTTCTCAAACATCAGCTGTATCAGAATCCCTGAAGGACTTGTTAAAACAAATTGCTGGTCTCTACTCTGAGCTTCTGATTCATTAAATGTGGGATGGTACCTGAGAATCTGCATTTCTAACACGTTCCCAGGTGACCCTGATGCTGTTGCTCTGAGAACCACTTTGAGATCCACATCTCTAAGCTCATCAGTCTGTCCGTTACACCTTACAAGACATACTTTCCTAATCTGACACCCTTCTATTTGTCTTTTTTTGGAATGCTTTAGAAATTTAGCAGTTATCTTTTTTATGTATTTTACATTTGTTACAGCTTTCCTTGGTGGACAGATATGAGTTTTCTACTTGAAAATAAACACGTTTTTCTTTAAAATATCATTAAATAAGAGTGTAATTAGTGATATAAAGCAAGATGACTAAAAAGAATCTCTCATTATTATGTTTGCACAGCCTGTATAGAAATTATTTGAACTAGAAAGGATTTGCTAAGTAAATTATTTCTATTTCCCTCACTTAATAGTGAATATTATGGTGATTAGGGGAAAAAATAAGCTTTCTTTTTTCTTTTGAGATGGAGTCTCACTCTGTCACCCAGGCTGGAGTGCAGTGGCGCGATGTCGGCTCACTCTGTCACCCAGGCTGGAGTGCAGTGGCGCCATCTCGGATCACTAAGCCATCTCGGCCTCCCCAGCTCAAGCGATTCTACTGCCTCAGCCTCCCAAGTAGCTGGAATTACAGGTGTCCGCCACCATGCCCAGCTAATTTTTGTATTTTTAGTAGAGATCACCATGTTGGCCAGGCTGGTCTCGAACTCCCGACCTCAAGTGATCCGCCTGTCTTGGCCTCCCAATGTGCTGCGATTACAGGCATGAGCCACCACGCGCAGCTAAAAGAAGCTTTTCTGATAGTAACTTTGTTTTCCCATTCTGGAGTTTATGGCAGTATGAAAAAGACTGAATTTATAAGCAGAAGATCTGTTTTTGAAATCCGGGGACCTGTATTTCACAATGGCTTTGATGTGTTTTGATTGTGCACCTTTAGACAACTTATCAGTTTCCTCATTTTTATACAGCAATAAAATAGTAACAGCTACCCATTAAATTCTGTACAGAAGCTAGGGACAGACGCAATAACACTTGCATATCTATAAAGGCTTTGTAAATGTGGGTATTATATCTAATGTTTATGCACATGCTGTTTGATTATTTTCATTTGGAATTCCACTCCATTAAAGGAAAAGTAACATACGAATTCAGATTCTTGTAAGTCTTCAGGCATAAGGCTTCCATTGACTAAGTACATTGCCTACATAATTTCTCCTAACCCAAATGAATCTCCAGTTAAACCAAGCTGGTGGTTATGTACTGTCTCCAGAGGATGCCAAGCATAAAGTCCTTGAGTATATTCATCTTGGATCCTCTGATTGGACAACTGCGGTATTGAGACTTCAAGTTCCCCCTTGAAGGCCCCAGACGGTACCTGTAATTTTACTCAAGTTTTAAATGTATGCTCTTTGTTAAGAAAGAGTGACAATGATTTGATTTATTTTCCGTGACTGGGGTTAGGGATGGGGGAGACTCTAGGAATGTGACTTACCAGTGAGGTTCTAGTTTTATAAATCATAGGACAAGTTTTGATAGGCAAATGTTGGACTATAGGGCTGAGGTTGTTTTCCACCACAACATATAGACTTCTACTAGCCCTTGAAGGAAAAAACACGAGAAAATCAGTTGGGTCAGCTGAGTATTCCTTTACGAGTATGGAACAGACTTACATAACAATTCTGCAGGTAATGGCTCTGGAAAGGTCAACCACTTAGTTTTGGACAACTCTTTTCTATTCTGTATAACCACTTTTTCACCAAAATGATACTAAATAAATATGCTATAGGAAGCTATATTTTGACATGACTGTTTTAGGCAAAGATACACTCACCAACTTACTCCACAAGAGTTTCTAATCAGAGAATATCATATGGATCTATTTGAATTGCTCCCATGCTTGGCTGAGCCCAAAATAATTTACTGTGCATATGTACACCAAGTGAGAAGGTTGAGGAGGTGTCACTTGTACATCTCTTTATTCTTTTTTTTTTGTATGTGTGTGTTATTTTCATGTGTTTTGAAAGGCTCTCTTGCTTAGCTTTTATTTTGCCATTAAAGATTTTTTTCTGTGCTATAACTGTATTTTTAAGTCTGGTTTGAGTTCAAGAAATCCACAAATTCACAAAAGATTAAGAATAATTTGTGAACAAAATGATGCAGAAATAAAAAATGCATTTTCCAAATAACTCCCTTGCAGTCCTTCTCCCCCAACTACCACTTTCTATTAAGTTTCTTCTTCCTACTCTATGAAGTGCCATGAGCTTTCAATTCATTGTATTTTAAGTATAAGCTATACTTACTAACCTTCACGTTATTCTTTGCTACTTAAATAAGCTTGCTTTCATAGTTCAATTGACGTATTGTTTAACTGATATTTTTAATTGGTATATTTTGATATATATTGATAATTGATAGCTATATAATTCATTTGAGATATTTTGGGTATGGAGGGTTGGAAGGAATCCTTTCATAATTTTTCTACTTAAAAGAAATCTTTTTTCATTTAACAGCTTTTCCCATGGGGATAGAGTTTTCATGAATAAATCAAAGTCATTAAATGTGGTATATGGTACATCTTTTAAGAGTCACAGAAAGAAGCAACAACAATTTACCCAGGCAGAGGGTATAAGTTTAGACCTTGGTTGCCTGATTTGTGGGACAAGTTCTTTAATTTTTTTTCTTTATATTTTGACTTTTTTTTGGACTCTCTCCTCCCCTTCCAGGCTCCAGGTCAAATACTTGACACCTGAATGATGTTCAATTATTTAAAAGATGGATTGGCCAGCTCAGCTCCTGTCTCAGACAGACTGTCTTTAAATGTATTTTCAACATGTCTTCAGACAGTTATTTTTCCTCTGTTCAATTTTGTTCATCTTCTTACTTAACCGTTCAAGTGCTCCTATTTCCTTTTTAAATGTAGTATTGAGAAGTGCAAACATTATTGGAAAAGAGAGTCTCACTAGCATAATTGTGCATTATCTTCCTCTTATATCGCCGGCCTCCCTGCACCCCCATGCCCACCTCCTCCTCGCGCCTCCATGCCGCCTCCCACTGCTCCAGCTCCTTGCAGCTGCGAGTCCAGTCACTGGTCACCTTTCGTATCTCCTCACTCAGAGCCTGGCTGGCCAAACCTGCCTGGTCCAGCTGTTCTCAGAGCATGGCATTCACCTGGGCCAGGCTGGCACTCCTGAATGGGGCACAGGGGATCAGTAGGCGCTCGCCCAGGGGGCCATGCTGCCAGCCCTGGCCCTCCCTGCTGCTCCTCCTCCAGCCAGATGAGGGCACTCTCCAGGTCTTGGCTGTGCTCTGCGTCCTGGGTGGCAGAGAGGTTAAAGCATCAGGCTGGGCAGGTGGAGGGCAGGGCCTGCCTCTGCCCCACCCTGGCACCCACCCTCAGCTGCTGCTGCTCCAGCTCTCCGGATCTCTCCAACAGCTGCTCCAGCTCCGAGAACCTCTTCTTGTACTGGAGAATCTGGGGATTGGGAGCTGATGGTGAGCCCCAGGGGTGGGGGCAGGGCAAAGTGAACACGTGGGAGGGAAAGAGCAGGAATGGGTGGCCCTGACCTTGCCCTGCAGCCACTGCACAAGCTGGGCCTGCCGCTGCTGGCCCTCCAGGTAGGCCTGCAGCTTGTGCCACTAGGAGGCCTGCTCCTCCTGCAGCTGCCTCCGCAACTCCACGCTCTGGAGTACCAGCCCCCTGGGCTCTTGCGTCTCCAGCTCACCAGATTCCAGCCACAGAGCCTGCTCCAGCTGCAGGGAAGGGCCCTGGGTGAGAGTCCTGGGCCTCCTGGGAAGGCAGGCTCAGGCCTCTGTAGGGGGTGGCAGGCTGGGCCCAGACCCACAATGCCTTGTAGGCTGATAGCCTGGTGCCCTGGGGAGCAGCACATGTGGGCAAGCCCAGGGGCAGTGCACGTGTGCATGGGGTGATGCAGCCATGCACGGGCACGCAGATGGGGCATGCATGGACACATGCAGGTGAGCCCACAAACCCAAACCATGCAGGCAAAGCTCAAAGGTGCACCTGGGTCAACCTCAGGGGCCTCAGTACACCATGCGCCTCTCCTCCAGAACACTTAGCCCTGTCGTGGTTTCTGTTTATTACATTGATGCCTGTGTCTTCCCACCATGCCCCCACCCCAGTGTGAGCTCAGAAAGCCTGGATTTTTTGTTCCTCATTGTATCTTAGTGCTATAATGGTGGCTGTGGAATGGCATGGCTCATGCTCAGTAAATATTTCTTGTGATGGTGAATTAATGGCATGAGCTCATGGGAATACATTCAAACAGAGGTGTCAATCCGCCTATGCATATCTGAGCTTAAAAATATGCACACACATAACACATACAGGCAACCTCAAACATCCCCAGGGGGACACGAAGGAACCCCCTCATATACACAGCATTAAGATTTGTAAGAGGTGCACACAGATGTTGCCCTATACGGCGCCTGCATATTAATGCCCACTTCTGGCTGGGTGCAGTGGCTCATGCCTGTAATCCCAGCACTTTGGGAGGTCAAGGCGGGTGGATCACTTGAAGTCAGGGGTTCGAGACCAGCCTGGCCAACATGATGAAATCCCGTCTCTACTAAAAATCGAAAAATTAGCCGGGTGTGGTGGCATGCACCTGTAATCCCAGTTACTCAGGAGGCTGAGGCAGGAGAATCACTTGAACCTGGGAGGCAGAGGTCGAAGTGAGCCAAGATCGCACCACTGCACTCCACCCTGGGCGACAGAGCAAGACTCCATCTTTTATTTATTTATGTATTCATTTATTTGTCTCATGGGCTGAGCGAGGGGACCCCGGCTGGTGGAGGGACAGCTGCGCCCTGCAGGCCGCTGCGTCCGGGCAGACCCCGGCCTCTTGTCGTGCCCCCGGCCCGCGACAACCCGGGCAGGATGGGCAGCAGGACGCAGCGGGGCATCCGCGGAGCCCGTCGAGAACGCTCTCTTGGCTTCCGGGGCCGGGCAGCAGTGGGTGCGGCACCCACAGTGCCCACAGCGCCCCCAGCCCTGGGACGTGGCTCCAGCCCGCCCCCAGGCAGGCGGCCTCCTTCGCCGGGAGCACGTCGCCTGGGCAACATGGAGAAACTTCAACTCTTAAAAAAACAAGACAGCCACCACAACAACAAAAACAAGAACAGAAATTAGCTGGCTGTGGTGACTGGTGCCTCTGCTACTCCAGAGGCTGAGGTGGGAGGATCGATTCAACCAAGATGCCACCAGATACAGTGAGACTGTCTCTCAGAGAATAAGTCAAACAAACAAAAAAAGAGGCTGTGTAAGAGGTGACTCTGGGGACAGTGGAAAAACACTAAGGTTTTCAAGTGGTGTTAAAAGCCACTAGGCCTTGGGGACCATTGAGCAATCTACAAAGCACGGAAGCCTAGATCCCTGAGCTCTGCCTGCCAAGTACCACCACAGCTAACATGGGAGACCTCCCCCACAGAGACTGAAATTTGCCTCCCGAGGAAACAAGTGACTACAGACATCTGTCCCAGGACAGTAAACAAGAAAACAAGGTCTCACAAAAACAAAAACAGCTGACCACAGCATACAATCACTGAGACCGAGCCTGCGACTATAGGTGAAAAAAAAAATGCTGTCCATTATTCATACCATGAAAGACCAGGAGAAAGTGCGAACGCAGTCCCCTACTACTGTTGTGGGAATCAGGAGAACAGAGAGACCAATGGGTGGAACAGGAGGATTTATTGACTGCACTGAGGCCCAGCAGATGAAAATCCAAAGGCTGAGCCCCGAACAAAGACAGGGCTTAACTTTATACACACTTCTGAAAGGGGGTTGGCTAGTTTGAATGGCGCGGCGGGAATTTGATGGCATGAAACTCAGGGGCAGGCAAGAGGGGCTTATAGAAGCAGAACAAAGGCAGCTAATCAAACTGTCACAGGTCTTGCAATGCAAGTATAGCTGGTGACCTTGCAGCTGCACTGAAGGGAAATCGGGAACTTAACAAAACTTGAATAATTAGAAATGGAAAGGGGGAAAGAGAAGGTAGTAAAGGCATTTGTTGTTTTTTCATCTTATCTTTGCTAGGGGTGACTGTATTGAGAGAGTCTCCGGAACTCATTCCTCGGGGCTCTGACTTTTCAGATAGTGTTACCGAGGATCTGCTAGGGCTCTATCTATGGCAGGTCTTGGAGTCAGCCAAGTACAGGAAAACGTGTCTTTTCCTTTTAACTTCTGCCTTATTACTACAAGTTGTACAGCACACCATGCCTGGTTTTCATCAGCAATGTTTCCTGAGGTTACAGAAAGATTTCTAATCCTGGGAGGAAACACTCCCTTGAAGCAAAAGTGTTCTCCCCCAAAAAATGCAAGGAGCTATCTTCTTGATAGCCAGGCAGAGATAATTCTCAGGTTTTGCCCCACAGAATCTCTATCTAAAATAGAGCAGTGGTCATGCCTAGTGAAAAGTTTGAGGGAACTCACCCAATGTTGGGTTTCTTCAGAGCCATATATATAGATATAACCAAATATCCTAAAAGACACTGCCCTTCATCATTCCATGCTGTTAGACATTTACAGGACCATGGATGGTGATCTCCTCCAGACAAAAATAAATGCTGGTGCAGAATAGGTAAGTGTATTATAATTTGAGGACATCAGCTTTTGGGCATTTTAAACCATGGGTCAGACATGTTAGAGCAAGAGGCCAGGTTGATAGCAAGAGGGAGTGTTTTTCTTTTAATTTGTCAATAGCAAAGTGATGTTTGCCACTGTCATTTCAGAGTGAGGGGACAATTTGTTGTTGTTTGGTTTTGTGGGTTTTTGTTTGTTTGTTTGTTTGTTTTTGAGACAAGGTCTCACTGTCACCCAGGCTGGAGTGCAGTGGCATGATCAGGGTTTACTCCTGCCTTGACCTCATGAATTCAAGCAAACCTCCTTACTAATCCTCCTGAGTAGCTGGGACTACAGGCACGTGACCCCACACCCTGGGGTGTGAACTGGGATTTGATGTTTTCAGTTGGCTCTCTAATGGAATAGGTTCCCTTACTCTTGTAGAATCAGATTGTCTTCATGATTATCATTCTTGTGTGCCTTATATTTCTACTACCCTGCTGTTTTTTTTTCTATTTTTCTTTTTTCTTTTTATTTTTTTCTTTGTGAGACAGAGTCTCGCTCTGTCTCCCAGGCTGTATTGCAGTGGCAGGAACTCAGCTCACTGCAACCTCCACCTCCTGGGTTCAAGCAATTCTTTTGCTTCAGCCTCCTGAGTAGCCACCTGGCTAATTTTTGTATTTTTAGTGGAGACAGGGTTTCACCATGTTGGCAGGCTGGTCTCGAACTCCTGACCTCAAGTGATTCACCTGCCTCAGCCTCCCAAAGTGCTGGGATTACAGGCATGAACTACCACACCTGGATCTCAAACCATTTTAGTTAAGCAAAGACAGATTTGTCTGGCTTTTTAGTACAATGCTGAATTATCCTCCAATCTATATTTTTAGGAAGGACCTGGGGAATGGCAACTTGGAGATATTTGGTGAAAATGTGAACCTTTCATGTTCTGCTTCAGTCCCTTTTTGAAAATCCTTCCAATTTACCTTTTGCAACCAGTTAGTGTCCTTCCCTTCTTCACCAGCATGTGAATTAATTGATAAAGATCAGAATATTTGGGCTCAAAGGTTTCAACAGTTAAGTCAAGTTTTCTGCCAAAGCCTACAGGATTTTGGAGCCTGCTTTAGAAACAGAAGAGTGAAATATATTTAAGTTTAGATCAGGGAAGTTCTTTATAATATTCTTAATTCACGTTTTGGTGAAGTGGTATACACAACGGTAGGCTCCCCTCTTCCTGTGGGTTTGGGTTTTACCTTGAAAGGGGCTGTCAGAACAGAAGTTTCAGGGAAGGGACCAGATCCCTGGGGACTTTCCTTAGGTGATGGTGATGGAAGAAGAGGCAAGGCAGGACAGGAAGGCTCAGGTAAGAAAGACTATGCAGGTGCAGGGGCAGGAGGAGAAGGAGCAGTTGGAGGTGAAAGAGACAAAGCCTCCTCGATATTTCTCAAATCAGAAAACATGACAGTCTACCTCCTTCAGCTTACTTCCTCAATGGAGGCAATTTTCTCAGTTCTTTTAGAAATTTTAGAAATTTAGACATTTCTAGGTCTCATTGGAATTAAGTCTCCTATTTAATTTGTCTGGTTCGAAAACCAAATTTCTCTCTCTCTCTCTTTTTTTTTTTTTTGAGACAGGGTCACCCAGACTGGAGTGCAGTGGTGTGATCTCCGCTTACTGCACTCACCGCTTGCTGCATGACAGCCAGTAAGTGGAGGGTTGAGGTGTAGGGGCAGGGAAGGTGACTTTATTCCAGAGAGCCACCAAACTGAACAGATGGTGAAGTAACATCCTGAAGAACCATCTTAAATTAATACGATTTTCAGGCTCCTTGTACGTTAGGGAAGGGAGGAAGAAGGAGGCGCTTGAGGTGAAGAGGTCTGACAATGACAGACATGGGCTGCAGTGGGAGCCCAAGGGGATGGTGAAAATTGTTCGTCCTTTGTCAGGTCACACTGCTCTTATAAATCTTCAGCATAACACTGTTACTTGTGTATACAACCTCTCTATCTTCTCAGGAGTTAGTTTGGGGAAGGGATTATTATCATCTGTGCTTTAAAGTTGAACTGTAAGCTAAATCCCTCCCATAGATAGCTTGGCCTATGTGCAGAAATAAGAAAAAGCAGTTAGCCTGGAAGATGTCACCACAGGGTAGGAAGGGTTAGGAGCAAAATGCAGTCAGTCATGCTAGGCCTCCTTTTCATTGCCATATATTTAATGTATTTGAACACATAATTTTAACTTTTTATACTTTATTTTTATTTATTTATTAGTTTTTTGAGGCAGAGTCTCACTCTGTTGCCCCCCCAGGCTGGAGTGCAATGGCGTGATCTTGGCTCACTGTGACCTCTGCCTCCTGAGTTCAAGCAATTCTCCTGCCTCAGCCTTCTGAGAAGCTGGGATTACAGGAGCCCCCCACCATGCCCGGCTAATTTTTGTATTTTTAGTAGAGACAGGGTTTCACCATGTTGGCCAGGCTGGTCTCAAACTCCTGACCTCGGGCTCCCAAAGTGCTGGGACTACAGGCATGAGCCACCATGCCCAGCCTAACCAAGATTATTAAACCATTCTAATTTGTCAAAAGAGTCATACTGATTTTTAAAAAATAATGTAATGGGCCAGGTGCAGTGGCTCATGCCTGTAACCCCAGCACTTTGGGAAGCCATAGCAGGAGGATCATGAGGTCAGGAGTTCAAGACAGCCTGACCAACATGGTGAAACCCTGTGTCTACTAAAAATACAAAAATTAGCCAGGTGTGGTGGTGTGCGCCTGTAATCCCAGCTACTCAGGAGGCTGAGACAGGAGAATTGCTTGAACCCGGGAAGCAGAGGTTGCAGTGAGCCGAGATTGCACCACTGCACTCTAGCTTAGGCGACAGAGTGAGACTACATCTCAAAATAAATAAATAAATAAATGCATATAATAATAATGTAATGAACTTTTTCATGTCTTTATATAATAAATATTACATTATTTAAATTGTTCAAAAGCATCAAAGATTCCTCTCTGCTATCAATTTCATTTCATTTATTTTATTGTACCAAACTACCAGGACCATTAATTTAATCTACAGCTAAATCTCTTATTTTTTCGTGTTAGAAATTCAACAAGAAAATTTTTCCCTAATGAAACCTCACATTTCAAGCATAAGCAGCCTGGGCGAGGTGGCTCACACCTGTAATCCCAGCACTTTGGGAGGCCGAGACAGGTGCATCACTTGAGGTCAGGAGTTTGAGACTAGCCTGGCAAACATGATGAAACCCTGTCTCTACTAAAAATATAAAAATTAGCTGGGCGTGGTGGCGTGCGCCTGTAATCCCAGCTACTCTGGAGGCTGAGGCAGGGAAATAGCTTCAACCTGGGAGGCAGAGCTTGCAGTGAGCTGAGATGGCACCACTGCACTCTAGCCTGGGCTACAGAGCAAGACTCTGTCTCAAAAATAAATAAATAGATAAATAAGCATAAGTAGTAAAAAAATAACATAAATTAAAAAATAAGGCACAGGATCTTGCTCTGTTATCCAGGCTAGAGTGCAGCGGGGCAATCATAGCTGACCAACTTGGAACTTCTGGGCTCAGGCAATCCTCCTGGCTCAGCTTGCCTTGTGTTTTTTTAGAGATGAGGTCTTGCCCTGTTCCCAAGGCTGGTCTCCAACCGCTGGCCTAAAGCAATCCTTCCGCCTCAGCCTGTTGAGTTGCTGGGAGTACAGGTGCAAGACATGCAGCCTAGCGTTGTAGTAAAACAATTTTCAACAAATTCTTAATTTTCTTTCTTTTTCTTTTTTATTTCTTTTTTTTTTTTGAGTTGGGAGTCTCATTCTGTCACTCAGGCTGGAGGGCAGTGGCACAATCATAGTTCACTGCAGCCTGAGATTACAGTCATGCATTATCTTGCCCGGCCAACTTTTAAAAATTAGCTAATACTTAAAAATTTGTAGAGACAGGGGTTTCACTGTGTTGCCCAGGCTGGTCTCCAACTCTTAAAGTGCTGGGACTGTAGCTATGAGCCACCATACCTGGCTTAATTTTCTTATTTTAATTTTATATAAGTGATTATTATTGTTCCTAAGATAATTGGGGCAGTGACTCCTTTACAATTGTAGAGATCTAATTTGTCTATTCACTTCACTGAAAGAGTATGCCAATTTGTTTCATGAGAAAATATCCTATATTTATAAAGCAGGAAAATTCCTTCCACCAAACTAGGGTGCATTCTAAAGAAACGAATTGTGCTAAGTAACATCACTTAAAGTGAAAACAGAGGCAATGGTATCTATTAACAATGTTTATCAGTGAAGGAAATAAACTGAAAATATGAACATCATTAGATCCTTGGAGGGCCTTCATTGCTGAAAATCTGAGTAACACTGTGATACTCTTTTGAGTCTGGCAGGACATTGTCTTTCCAGGGCATGTAACAGTGGGTGAATAATTGCTTTTCATTCATTTCCATTAAGGGCTGAACTTCCTTAATGTTCTGGAGATTATTAAATTTGATTTGTATAGTTGTGAAAAGTACTCATATTGCTGATTCCATTGCTTATATGTGATCATATAAATCTTTTCTCTTTCTGTAGTGTGGTTTAAACTTAATTCTTAAAGGGCATGTATTTGAATTTTTCAGCTGGTTAGAAACCTGAATATACCAATCAAATAAAACTGCTCCTTACATGCTACAGATTCAGTTTTCTTCCTGTACTAAGATGTCTTTTAGACACAGTAAATTCGTTAAAGCCAAGAGCCCCTAGGAAACGAAGTTGGTTGGGAGGGGGGACATCGAGTAGTAAGATCACTCTTGTAACAGAGATGCCACTCTTGCAGATATTGACAACAATTGGGCCTATAAAATGTTTACCAAACATTGGAAAGACAAGATCTGAACAACTTATCATTGCTGCAGTCTCAAATATCAGGAAATGCCATTATTCTCAGGACAATAAATAGACAATAAAGAAGACTCACAGAGCAGATTAGCTGTCATGTATCACCAAACAGGGACTGGATCCTTGTCAACATGACCCAACAGAGATTGTCCCCAGAAATTCACTTCATAACCTCCAAACCAAAAACCCACACTGATGGCAAAAAATAATGATGCAAAGAATGAGAGAGAGAGAGAGAGAGAGAGAGAGAGAGAGAGAGAGAGACCTGTCCTATAGCCATACTCAGTGGGTAAAAGCCAAAGAGCTCAATTTCTGCTCATGATACTTAATAGAACATAGGGAACATGAGCCAATAGCTCAATGGGTTCAGATCTGCACCAAGTGCCTGTTGGACGCAGGATTCTACTGTCTCCAATAATATGTCTCAGATGCACTAATTTTTTTTCTTTTTTTGAGACAGAGTCTTACTCTGTTGCCCAGGCTGCGGTGCAATGGCGCGATCTTGGCTCACAGTAACCTCCACCTCCCGGGTTCAAGTGATTCTCCTGCCTCAGCCTCCCGAGTAGTTGGGATTACAGACACACACCACTGCGCCCGGTAATTATTATTATTATCATTATTATTATTATTGTTATTATTATTATTGTGCATGTGTATGTGTTTGTAGTAGAGACGGAGTTTTGCCATGTTGGTCAGGCTGGTCTTGAACTCCTGACCTCAGCTGATCAAAAGTAGGTGAGGTCAGAAAACATACCCTGGGAGAGGCTGGCACAATGCCCAGAACCGCCATCACTAGGCCTGGGGTTTTCCTCTGTAGTGGAATACTAGTATTCATGTAGTGCAGGGACAAAACCAATTAGATAGTTCTGGGAGTTAAAAAGAGGTGATTTACAGTGCTATTTGAGAAGGGGTATTAAGGAATTTGCCAGGGCACTGACGCGTGTCAGGTGTAAACCTCAGGTTGAGAGAGAGCTAAGTATTTTCTGTCCATGAGGGTGATAAGCGAGGGCCTGAAGAAAGAGGGACTGGGGAGGACACTGGCACCAGAAATAGGAAAGGGCTTGTTGGGGGTGGGAAGGATGGGTCAGGGTGCTATCTAGAAAGTTGCCTGGCAATGGATGTAGGATGTGGGAGTGAGACATCAAACATGAAGCAGTCGCTTAAAGTCTGAAGAAACACTAGATATATGAACTGCAGGAGATAGTAGGGAAACTGGACCGGCTCCTCATAAAACTTCCCGCCTTCTATCTCCGGGAGGATCGCAGGGCATTTCCGCCAAGACAGGTGAGACTGCGGTTCTGACCTGCGGGCCTCCGTGCATATGCGCTAGGGCACCTGGGGGCCGGCAGAGCCGTTCCCCTACGCAAAGTAAGCGTGTTATGTCTACAACCCAATGGGGACACTGAGAGCCCCAAAGGCCCTGCTTTCTTCCCAGAGAACAGCGCCCATCTGTGTAGTTTCTACCTGGCTCTATGAGGTGAGAACACACTCCCCGCTAGCACAGAAATCCTACAAACTCCTGTGGGGGCTGCGCTTGGAAGCAGAGGCTGTGTAAGAGGTGACTTGGGGGGTAGGGAAAAACACGAAGATTTTCACACAGGGTGAGAACCCAAGAGACTGGAGACCACGGACCAATCCCTGCAAAAAGCAGCCAGGGTAGAAAGGGAAGAGCTGAGCGGACTTCACGATAGCTAATTTGTGTTACAAAGCCGATACGGCTGATGCTCGCTTTTTCTCCTATGGCGTGCAGGCCACATGTTACTTCCTATTCCCCAACCGTCTACTGTAGGATTAACACCTAAGACGCCAACCAAGACACAAACCAATACAAGAAAAGATATGACCCTTAGCGTACAGTCTGTTTTTGAAACTCCAGAAAGTCAGGGGAAAGCGCGAACGCAGTCCCCCACTACCACAAATTATGCAGTCGAGTTTCCCACATTTGGGGAAATCGCAGGGGTCAGCACATCCGGAGTGCAATGGATAAGCCTCGCCCTGGGAAAACCACCTTCGTGATCATGGTATCTCCCCTGCCAGGTAAGTATGAGATCTTCGGGCTCTGCCCCGACACAGCCTCATACGCCTCACTCTTTACACACACGGTCACTTGCCCCGCGCACTCCCGAGCCCTTTCCAGCCCTGACACACAGCTGGGATTCTCACTTCCGATCAGCGGTCCTGAACCCGCTCCCAGGGCACGGGAACTCCTTCGTGGCGAAGCAGCAAGTGGTGAAGCAGCAGCCTCTGCGCTGCCTCATCTACATAGAAGTCGCCCTGTCCGTGATGTCACCGACAGTGCCTTGCCCAGTCCCCGTCTGCCTTTCTGCCACTCAACCGACCAATCTGCTGCCAGAGCCGCCAAGGGGAAGTGACGTCTGCCTCTCCCTTTTTCCCTCCCGCCCCTGCGTCTGTTCTCTCCCAAAGAAGCTGGTCCTTAGCCTGTGTTAAGGAGCAACCTTTCGGTGGCCAGATGGAGCCGGGGCATCCTTCTTCAAATAATGGCTTTTAATTCGCAGACTAGAATGTTTCGGATTACAAAAGAAACCGGTTCTCTTCACATCCTTATCCTTGTGATGCAGCATTCCGCTTGCAATTGGAAGCCATTTAATATCAGAGAGAAACCATATTTATGAAAGTAAAGAGGCTGCTCAGATGACTGCAAACCAGCCTTCCTTACTGGTTTTATCACTGGTAATGTTATAAAGACAGTTGTCCAGTTTCATGAATCTTGTAGGTTTTTTTTTTTGATGTTGTTTTTTTTCAAAAATCCATATTGTAGAAAAATATGCTGTCCCAGAAGAGATGATTGGACACTCTCAAGCGTGGTGCTGGAGTTTGTCATCTCTTGCACAGCCATCTCCACACCTTAGTGCTTACCTCAAGTTAGTTTTTTATATTCTGCAAAGACGAAACCAAAATAATCCAAATTTGACACAAATACCTGGGCTACATCTTATTTGAGATGTTTAACAAATGTCTGGATCATCTTTTCTTATATATTACGCAGGAAACACTGTGAAGTAAGCAAAGTTGGAATGCCCAAGTGAAAGACCATTTGAATATTTACAAGTAGATTTCAGACAGGAATACTACAGGGTGGTCACAGGATAACAAATTCTAGGCAGCAGATTTACATGACTTGAGGCTGTGGGCTGTTAAGACGCTGAAAAACCAGGGTGTGGACCAAGCTGGCTAAGGCTGAGTGGACCCAACGTGGTGCTGGATTGGATGGAGGTTTTACCTAGGCCCTCATTATATGCTCATTAACATACTAAATCACACACCCGCCAGTGCCATGACAGTTCTGAGACCAGTGTTTGATGTAAAAATGGCACCACAGTTCCAAGAAATCTCCACCTTTACCCAGGAATTTTCGTGAACATTCCACTCCTTGGTTAAAGAAACCCATCAAGATGAAACCCCAGAACCCATTATTCTCTCTTGGGTATGCCCAAGCTCCCCTTTCTTGAGTGTGTAGTTTTTGCTTTGCAATAAATCTCTTCTTTCACTATCTGCTGACTCATCTTTGACTTTGTTCTCGCGATGGTGTCAACAGCCTGGACACCACAGCTGGGGTCGAGATCCCACCAGTGTCCAGGGACCTCCCCCAGCCCACCAGTATCAGATTCTATTCCATTGCTCAAATCACAAAACATCGAGTGGAGAGTTCTCCTTGGAGATCATAAAGTAAAGATTCTGTGGCATGGTGGCCAGTTAGGCCACTGGAAGCATGGCAAAATTTTGAAAATGAGGGATTAGGTGACAGTGTAGTAACTGCTGAATACTAAATACTTGATCCAGGCCCCATTCCCTGGAGATTGACAGGGAGACACATTGTCCAGGTAGTAGTGGAGAAATGCTTTCTGGGTATCTGACCAGCCTTTGTGGAAAGAACTGGCACCATCCTGCAGATGTAACCGCCTGATGGGTTCTTCCTGACCAATGTACACAAAAATTCAATTCATGGAGACCATGGCACTGCAGGCAAGAGTTTCATTGACACAGGCCAGCCACGACACGTGGGAGACAGAGTTATTACTCAAAGCAATCTCACTGAAGGCTTGGAGGTAAGGGGTTTTTCAAAGATAGTTTGGTGGGGAGGGGGCTAGGGCTTGTGTGGTGCTGATTGTTGGGGATGAAATCACAGGGGCGTGGAAAATGGTCCTCCTGCATGGAGTCAGCTTCTGGGTGGGGGCTAAGGGACTGGTTGATTTTCGGGCCAGATGGTGCCTTCCAGCAGTCAGAAATGCAAAAGCCTGAAAAGACATCTCAAGAGGCCAATCTTAGGTTCTACAATAGTGATGTTCTTCACAGCAGTAATTGGGGAAGCTGCCAATCTTGTGACTTCTGGAATAATGGCTGGTAATTATTTAATGAGGCATACATCTTAGTAGAAATCAGGCCCCTTTCATACTTCTAACTTGGTAGCCTTTCATTCATTTTACAGGGGTAATTTAGTTTTGGGGAAGGTTATCATTTAAAGCAGCCTTTTTGGCTGTCCTCAACCTTTTTGTCACCAGGGACTGGTTTCATGGAAGACAATTTTTCCATGGAAGGGGGTGGTGGATGTTTTCCAGATGAAACTGTTCCACCTCAGGTCATCAGGCATCAGTTACAGTCTCATAAGGAGTGCGCAATCTGGACCACTCACATGAGCTGTATCACCACTCAGCTCTCACTCCAGCCTCAGGTATCAGCAAGACCTCACCAAAGATTACTGTTTAATTGTCTCTGTGTGTGTTTTTGTTTGTTTCAGGTAACAACTAATGTTGGAACTATGAAAAGCTCTTCTCTACTTTTAACAAAGCTTAGTCAC
The DNA here is from genome assembly GCF_000001405.40 of Homo sapiens. Lineage (NCBI taxonomy): Eukaryota > Metazoa > Chordata > Mammalia > Primates > Hominidae > Homo > Homo sapiens. Next base: position 703,455 of record NW_025791756.1, read on the forward strand.
AAACAGTTCCCCAGTTGATAAGAAAAACTAAAACAACAGAACAATTGAAAGTCCGAATCTGCAAGTTCATCTCTGAGAACCGAATTTTACAGCCACTCCAGATTTGTACTCCAAATGGATAGTTTGATTGTAGAAATCACATCCCTTCAGTCTGCCAATGTGATAACTGCCCAAGAGAAAGTGATGCCTACATTCGTAGATAATCCCCTTTCCCCCATCCTATATATAACTGGAGTCAACAGCAGCTGGAGGAAAATGGCAAGAACTTGGAATCAAGATTAGGTTAGAATAACACTGCTGTAGACAGTTTATCAGCTCTTCAGCATATGTCCATTTTCCTTGAAGGATGAGCCTTTAGAAACCTCTGACAATAAAGTTTATTTTGCATCCATTCCCTTGCCTATGATTTTTTCATACAAATCACAATTATAAAACTTTCTTGCTCCAGCTAAAAGCAGGAAACTCAATCATGAATGTGTTCACTAAATATATACCACAGAATGATAGCAACCAGTCTGAATGCATCACTTGATTCCAAAATTAAATGTTAGCCCTCAGTGGTGCAACTACATGTATCTCCAACTCTGGAAGCCACAGGCAACATATTCCTGTTTCCTTGCAGGGAAACAGATCTATAAGCAGGGCGGCAGTCTCACACATGTACATTCCTGGGAAACCCAAGGAAACAATGATAGTGACGCAGGGCAGGCAAGCCCCCAAACTGAAAGACTTTTGCTAATGTCGTGATTGGCTTTCTATGTTATTGGAAGACTGAGATCTCCATGAGGAATGAAGATAGGTAATGCCTAAGGCTGAGGCATGACCTCACTGGGTCACCTTAGCTGTGAAGTGAGGTCAGTTGTCACCTTGCAAACCTTTTGGTAATCCAAATCTTGGAATGATTTCTTTAAGAATTTAGACACTTCCAGTACTTTTCCTGTCCTTGTGGGGAAAGCTTCTATCCACCTGTTGAAAGTGCCTATAATTACTAGCAAATCTTGTAGTTCCCTGTAAGGTGGCATCTGGGTTAAGTCTGTCTGCCAGTCTTCACCATGGTATGTTCCTTGGTGTTGTACAGGTTTAAGCAGGGATCGGGGTATGGGGTGGCTTCCTGAGTGGTAACCCTTTTTATAGTTTAGAACAGTCCCTTCCCGAAGAATATTTAGGAAACTAATTTGAATGGAAAATCCCGTCCCAAATGTGAGGAATCATGAAAATGTTTAATTATTTCCCATCTGTCAGCCTCAGGAATAGAGTTTGTTCTTTTCTACCAACCATCCAGAGGGTCTCCCTGGAAGCCTTTTACTCAGTCCCTTTAATTTCCTTAGGGGTATAGTATGGTGTCACTGACACGGATGGAGTACCTGGTAGTAGCGCAGCAGCTTGAAATACCAGGGTTTCCTTAGTTGTGGCCTTAGCTGCTCTTTCCACCAGGGAATTTCCTCTAATAATAAAAGTGTCTCCCTTCTGGTGTCCCCTGCAGTGAGTAATTGTTATTTCTTTGGGAGTTGGACAGCATCTAAAAGTTCCAAGATCTGAGTAAAGTTGTATGGGGCATCCCTTGGCTTTTGATAGTTCCCTTTCCTTCCCTATGGCTGCATGAGCATAGAGCACCAGGAACCCACATTTAGAGTCAGTCAACACATTGACTCTTGAGGGTTTTGGTTTTCTTCTTCTTTTTTTGAAACAGAGTCTTGCTGTGTCGCCCAGGCTGGAGTGCAGTGGCATGATCTCAGCTCACTGCAAACTCGGGGATTCTCATGTCCCAGCCTCCCAAGTAGCTGGGATTACAGGAGCCCCCCACCACACCCAGCTAATTTTTGTATTTTTAGTAGAGACGGGGTTTCGCCATGTTGGCTAGGCCGGTCTCGAACTCCCAACCTCAGGTGATCCACCCACCTTGGCCTCCCAAAGTGCTGGGATTACAGGGGTGAGCCACCGTGCCCAGCTTAAGTCTTTTCATGGTTGGAAGGCCCTAATTAGAGCAGCTAATTCTGCTTTTTGAGCAGAAGTCTGAGAAGGTAAACCCTTGGCCTCAATGATTTCTTGTTGGCTAAGCTTCCTTTCTTACTCCCTCATGAATATAGCTATTTCCATCTCTAAAGCACTCAACATTTGGGTTAGACAAGAGCTTGTCTTCAAGGTTGGGCCTTCTAGAGTAGAGCTCTTCCGTGGTTTCCACACAGGAGTCAATGAATTGGGGAGCTCTTTCTTGAGACGTGAGGTGCAGCAACAGAGTAGCAGGGTTTAAAAATCAGCATATTTTCAGGGTAACATCTCGGGTGTCAAGCAGAAGGGTCTGATATTTAAGTAACTGGCCCTCTGTTAGCCATTGCTGTACTTTTGCCTCTAGGAACCTCTGTACTGTACTTCATGGGGTGGCAGGGGGTGGGGGTGGGGTGGTATGGCATCTAATTGTTGTCCCAAGGTAAACTTAGTGGTTTCTTCTAACAATAGAGTGATGGTAGCCACAGATCTCAAGCTTCCTGGTCACCCAGCTGCCACCTGGTCTAGCTGTTTAGAGAAATAAGCCACTGGTCCAAAGTAATTCCTCAGTCTTTGAGTTAGAAAATCCAAAGCTGTCCCTTGTTATTCGTCCACATAGAGGGTGAAAGGTTTTTCTAAGTCTGAGAGTCCTGAGGCAAGGGATGTCCCTGGCTTTTCTTTTAAGGCTAAGAATGCCTTTTGACAGGTTCCAAGCTCCGACTCCTGGGTTCACACCATGCTCCCACCTCAGCCTCCTGAGTAGCTGGGACTTGAGGCACCCACCACCACAGCCAGCTAATTTTTTGTATTCTTAGTAGAGACGGGGTTTCACTGTGTTAGCCAGGATGGTCTGGATCTCCTGACCTCCTGATCCACCCGCCTCGGCCTCCCAAATTGCTGGGATTACAGACGTGAGCCACCGCACCCGGCCAACAATTTTTTTTTTCTTTAATGAACAGAGCATCAGTGAATGATAGTGCAAGTTTAAGACACCTAATAGACAAGTTAAAGGAGTCCTCCAGGCAGAAGGAAAGTGACACGGGATGAAAATCTGGATGAAAAAAAAAAGACACTAGAAATGACATCTACAAAGGCAAATATGTAATTTTAACATCTGACTGTTTAGCCGGGCACGATGGCTCACGCCTGGAATCCGGCACTTTGGGAGGCCGAGGAAGGCGGATCACTTGAGGTCAGGAGTTCGAGACCAGCCTGGCCAATATGGTGAACCTTCCTCTCTATGAAAAATTCAAAAATTAGTCAGATGTGGTGGCCCAAGCCTGTAATCTCTGCTACTCAGGAGTCTGAGTCAGAAGAATGACTGGAATCCGGAAAGCAGAGGTTGCGGTAAGCCAAGACTGTGCCACTGCACTCCAGCCTGTCCGATAGAGTAAGACTCGTCTTAAAAACACCACCAACAACAACAAAAAAAACCAAAAACAAACAAAGAAAAACACATCTGACTCTTGAAACAAAAGTAATAGAGATGGATTGTAAGGTTTATAACAGGTGTAAAGTAAAATGCATGACACTAGCATAAAGGCAGGGAGAGGAGTCATGTGAAGAGGTATGATGCCACTTGAAGGCAGACTGTGATGGGTTAATTTTTGTGGAAAGCAAGGCAGAATTTTTGAAGTTTGTGTCTTCAAATACTTTGTTTCCCATACATACAAGCTAGTTTGTGCTGCAGAGATCTTATTTTCTAGGAGGCTCGAAGGGGGACCTTCTGCTGTCTGTCCTCATGGGATGCACAAGACACAAGGGAACAGTCTTTCACTTTTAAATACAGTGATAGGTCTGAGGAGATAGATACAGCTGCAATTTTTTTTTTTTTTAAATGAGATGCGATTCTCACTGGTCTTGAACTTCTGAGCTCAGTGGAGGCTTCCCCTACGTCGGCCTATCAAAGTGTTGGGATTAATAGGCGTGAGGCACTGCACCCGGCCACAACCACCAACATTTAAAATCACGTCCTTGGGTGGTCTCGAACCACCAACCTTCCGGTTAACAGCCGAACGCGCTAACCGACTGCGCCACAGAGACAACGTCGATTGTCTGTTTTCATCTCTATATACATTAAGCAATCACAAAACCCTAGGGGTTGCCATTCGCTTTCTGCGGGACAACTGTGCAGACTACAAAGCTTCGGAAAACCGGAGAGGCTGAGTCGACTAATCGTCTTGCTGCACGTTAGAAACGCGTGCATTGCGTGACTCTGAAGCCAGGAGGGCGGCCGAATGGCCTTCACCCTGCGTTCACCCTCGCCTGCTTCAGAAGCCAGTGCCTCTGGAAATGCCTGGATCTGCGACCCCAGCCTGAGGCAAGTGGGGCCCAAGGGAAGCTGAACTCCCCGACGGCTCTCACGGTAGCTCTTTCTGTTTTTTTGCGCCGCCTTCAGGCAGTCATCTGCTCCGCTTGCTCTCCCTTCACTCAACTCGGCTTCAGTAGATGGGGTCGGTGGGGCGGGAGCGGGAAAGAGGCAGGGGAGTCAAAAGGGAAAACGTGAAAAGGAGGAGGGAGAAGCAGAGGAGACCAGGACTAGACAATGGGACAGCCCAGGATGCCCGTGCAGAGGGCACCGGCTGGATGCAGAGAAGATGGGACATGTATCAGAATGGAGAGGGGGAAATGGGGAGAAGATGTGAGAGAAAATCACAAGAACCTGTAGCTGCCCAAGAATAAAGAAGTAAAAATCGCATAATGTTTTTACAGTAATAAAAATAAAATCGGGGGACCAGGGGCAGTGGCTCACGCCTGTAATCCCAGCACTTTGGGAGGCCGAGGTGGCTGGATCACTCACTTGAGGTCAGGAGTTCGAGACCAGCGGGACCAACTCTACTACAAATACAAAAATTAGTTGGGCGTGGTGGCGCACGCTTGTAGTCTCAGCTACTCAGGAGGCTGAGACAGGAGAATCGCTTGAACCTAAGAGGCGGAGGTAGCAGTGAGCCGAGATCGTGCCACTGCCCTCCAGCCTGGGCGACAATGCGAAATTCTGTCTCTCAAAATATATATTTAAATAAATAATAGAGGGGTGGGGAAGCAAAACGATGGGCAGTAGGTGTGGGGCGCCTTGGGATTCTCTAGTGGTTAGTAGTCTGCATTGTGCCTGCAGCAACCTCTGTTCTAATCCAAATCCTGGTACAGTCAGACTCTATCTTGGACCCACTGGGGCGAACCCACGTGTCTTTTGGTTTGCTTTTGATTCCTGCAGCAGCTGCGGCCTTTATCTGCAGCCAGAAAGCCGGAAAGCAGGGTTTACCGCTGGCCCCACAGCGCCATACTGTCTGGGGAAAAGAAGGAAACCCAAGAGTACACAAACAGTGGCCCAAAGAGAAACCTTCCAAGTGCTCTATGCCTCACCGTTTAGCAGAAAATATCAAGCAACTCTCAACCTAGCTGGTCTGTAGCTTCCACGAATGAAATAATGTATTTATTGCAGTCTTTCTGGTTGAGATATTTCAAATATTTGGTGGAGCTTTTAATGAGAGAGAGAGACACTCTCGAGTGTGGAAGAAAAAATGAGGGGATGTGAAGATGAGGCGACTTTAGGACAGAAAAAAAAAGAGACAAGCCATGTAAACGTTTTCGGGTGGGCGTGAGGCGATGTCAGTCTTGAACCCCCTTATGTCAGGTAAAGAGCGCAGCCTCTTCTAGCACAAACACCGTTTCCCACATGGAGGAAATCACAGGAATCAGCAACTCTAGAGTGCGATGAAGAAGCTTCACTCTGGGAGAACCCCCTTCGTGACCACGGTCTCTCCCCTGCCAGGTAAAGTGGAAATGAGCACATGGCCGGCAGGGACAGCACAGCCTCCTCGCCCTGGCCGGTCACTCAGGGTCACCACCCTCCCCAGTGCCGCCCCTCGCCAGTCTTCCAAACCACTCTCCACCAAAGATTCCACCGACAGTCACCCCACAAGACAACCCAGGCCGCCTCTCAGCAGCGGCTCCCGCCCCGCAGCCACCGCGCCCTCTCACCCCCCCGCGGTTCTGCCCGCCGCCGCTGCCGAGTCTGCGCACTTCACCTCCCTGGCTCCCGCTCTCCCGAGCTTACAGTGGACTCGGGGTTCTTCCGAACCCCTCTTGGGAGTACTGAATGGAAAAGGGGGAGCGTGCGCAAGTGCTTGGTAGAGTGTAGACGTCGTGGGATTTGACTGTGGTACCATCGCTTCGACGTCCTAGTGCTGATTTTTCCACCTGCCTTCTGCTTAGGGCACCGGCAGCAGTTTTCCATCTGTGCCTACTCCACCTGCTGTCCTTGTTGGGTCAGCGAACATCGCCTCCCTCTACCGCTCAAACAGCAAATGGGACCGCCCTCGAGGACCTCACCCGCCGCTTACCCCCCTAACAAATTCGCGGGCATGGCCTCCGGTCGCCTCTTCCCAAGGCCTAACGAGCGCCTTCGCTGGCAACGGAGGTGAGGAGGCTCCGCTGACTGGCTGGTGCCCGTGTCCGGGGCTGCCACAAACGCCACGACTTGGCTTGGCCTCTCTCTTAGTTATTCGCAGCTCAGCCCGATGGGCGTCTCCGGGGTGGCGACAGGAAAGAAGGTGGGCTTATTGGGTGCAGCTCCACGGGGGCTGGCATCTCTGCCGGGCTGTGTACACCTGAGCGAGACGCTCAGTCGCTCTCTAAAGCTGCTCCCGCGGATGACGGACACGGAGATAAACAGGAACGGTGTGTCGTGAGAGGTGGTCCACCAGCACTTGCCCTCCTTCGTCCGGCTTTAACCCCGCTGCGGAGACTGTTCTGCTTCTGGCCCTTGGAGCAGGCCGGCTGACAGCGTAGTGAAGGAAGATTCCTGCGGGAGGGCGGCCAGTGTAAAACAATTCCCTGACCGGGAATCGAACCCGGGCCGCGGCGGTGAAAGCGCCGAATCCTAGCCACTAGACCACCAGGGACTCGCAGGAGGGAGCTTTGTCTCCCTTCTTCTGTCAGAAGCGACAGCTTCCCTGAGCTCTGGGAGGACTTGGGCCTTGTGAGGGTCGCTCTTTGCTCCTGGAGTCTCTCACAAGGCCATTCCCTCCCTGCTTTCTTCAAAAAAAGAGCCTGCAAGCGACACACCGAGGGCTCCGCGAGAGACACCGAGGCCACGAGTCCGGAGGCCTGGAGCGAGTTGCAGCGACCCGGCCGCAGCTCACCACTGGACTAGAGATGCGCCTTTGCGAGGTGGCAGCAAGTGACCAGCCGGTCGTGGGTCGCCAGGTCCGGAGTCGCGCACCAGGTTGCCAGGAGGAGGCGAGAGCGCGGAGGCGCCCGGGGTGAGACGGGGGCACCCTCTGCATCATAAAGGACCCAGACGCCAGCACCCTCAACGTCATAAGGAATCAGACGGATGCGGAAACCGAGACGGGCTGGATGGGAAACTCTTTCCAGGAAGGCTCCGGGGCCCTCAGCTGGTCTCCGACCTTCCCCTGCAACCTGTGACACCTGCCATTTTCCCATCTTAGGCGATGGCAACGCCACCCTTCCGTTTGCTCCGGGCAAAACTTCGAGAGTTCCCTCTGACGCTGGAGATTTTTCCTCAGATCCAAGAGCCAACTGGTCATCAATTCGTGATTTCCCATCGGCTAAGTGCGTGGGCATTGAGCTACACGCGAGTCTCTCCACCTCTGCGGAATGGCTACTTCGGGGTAGGGGAGGGGCCCTCCCGTGGATTGTAAGGTGTTTAGCAGCAGCCGTCGCCTCCGCTGACTAGATACATGCCAGGGGGTTAGCATTCTCCCTCCCCGCTTCCCCCATTCGTGACCTAGTGTCCCAGCGGGGATGGGAGAGGCGTGTAAGGGCGAAGTTGCCCCCTCTTGAGAACCACTGATGCGCGTTGTCCTGCTGTCTGAGCTTGTGCAGAGGACTCTCCAGATGAAGGCTCGGGGTCAATCCAGCTTGAGACCCCCTCGCTCCCCCGCACAGTCGGACCTTAGGATTGGAGATTTTTAGCATCTCTGCGTCATGAGATTCGAAACCTTTAGGTCTTTTCTTCCGTTCTGTCCTCCAAATCGGCCTCTTCCGAGCCTGTTGACCAGGGCCAGCCAGGCAGAGGGCTGGGTTCGCTCAACGAGGCTCCTCTCGGCCCTCCTGGAGCTTCAGGCCTCTTTCGGTTGCAGAGAAGCTTTATGGGTCACTTCCTTCGGCATCCCCGGGGGCAGGTGCGCGGTGCCCCTGGAAGAAGAGGGTTTGACCGCGGTTCTCGACCCCCGGTGCCCAACTTCCACCTCGGTGCGCGCGCTCTTCCAGGCTCCTGCTGGTCCCACTCGCCGGGAGTTAGGTGTCGGGTCAGCCTGAGTTCCCGAGACGCCCAGGCCCGGAAGGACACGTAGGGGAAACCAGCTGCTCACTTTGGTCTTGTCCGCAACGGACCCCTTTCTGCCGGGAAAGAAAGGCGGCGAGTCCTGTCCTGTTGGGTAGGTGGAAGAGAGATCAAAGGGAAGACAAGAAATATCCTGGGAGGTTTCCGGATCTAAAGTTACCATGAAGTCGACCTAACCTCCTCTGGAGGTCCTCCCAGTCCTCCCGTGGCTGGCGATGGTGAATCGAGTTTCCGTCTCCAGTTTGCCAAGGCGGACAAAGCTGACACAATGGGCCTGTCCACTATCTTCTTTCATATACACAAAATGTCAGCTCTTCCTGTTTCTGACTGGCAATATCCCGCCTGATGACCAGCTTAGCAAATTAGAGACCCTGCACGGGACTTCATCTCTGTCTTAGTTCGGGCTTCTATAACAATGTACCATAAACTGGGTGGCTGATTCACAACAGAAATTGATTTCTCACAGTTCTGGAGGTTGGAAGTCCGAGATCAAGGTGCCGACGTGGTAGGGTTATGGTGAGGACCTTTGGTCTGGTTGTAGACTGCCACCTTCTCATTGTATCCTCAGGGGGCAGAAAGAGGGCGAGAGAGCTCCCCAGGGTCCCTTTTATAAGGGCATTAGTCCCATTCAGACTAATGGGACTAAATCCAGACTCTGTGCTGAGTGTTGTGGATTTTTTGCATGTTCATCCTCCCCGCAGGCAACTGGAGATGTATTGTCCCCAGAGGGTACAATAGAGAATCTTCCGTCACAAGTCAGCAACCAGCATATGTGAGTGACAGCATGTGTCCCACTCAGAAATGAGAGTGTATTAGTCCGTTTTCATGCTGCTGACAAATACATAACAGAGTCCAGGACCAAAAAGAGGTTTAATTGGACTTCCATTTCCATGTGACTGGGGAGGCCTCAGAATCATGGCGGGAGGCAAAAGGCACTTCTTACAAGGCAGCAGCAAGAGAAAATGAGGAAGAAGCCAAAGCAGAAACCCCTGAGAAACCCATCAGTTAGTGAGACTTACTCGCTATCAGGAGAATAGCACAGGAAAGACCCGCCCCCATGATTCAATTACCTCCTGCTAAGTCCCTCCCACAACACATGGGAATTCTGGGAGATACAATTGAAGTTGAGATTTGGGTGAGGGCACGGCCAAACTATATCAGAAAGGGATGAAGTGACAGCATATCCTGATGTGTGTGATGGTTTCATGAGTTATTATCTATTTCAAAATTTATTGCAATGTGTGGAAAAGAACAAGGACTTGTACTATCTGACTTTAAGGTTTACTATAAGCTATTAGACACAAGGCATCAGGAGTGACAAACGGATAAACAGCCTGAGTTAGAAGACCTGAAATTGATCCACAGCTATACGGTCAATAAATGGGTTTTCAATAAAAGCAGTTCAATAAAAGAAAATAAGTCATTTCAATTAATGAACTTCTATATGGATGTGGGGAGACCAACAATGTTATTCTCCCTCACACTACACACAAAAGTAATTTCAGCCGCATTACTTAAAAGTTAAAGATATAAAGCATTTCAAGGATACTTTGTGACTTGTTGGCAGGCAAAGATTAGCCTACCAACAAGCAGGACACAGAAAAAATACATATATAAGAAAGACATGATAAATGAGACTTCATCAACATTAGCCACACCTTCTCATCAAAAGATACCACTAAGAAAGCGAAAAGGCAAGCAAGCCACAGACAGAGAGAAAATACCCACAAAACGTATCTGACCTCCACACCCTGCAATTATAATTATAGTGGTCTGGTACACTGCACCCAGTTTCTGCTGGATGGAGTATTTTCTGGGTGTCTCTAATGAGTAAGAGAGGGCCCCATGGGATATTCCTTCAGTTCCCAGATGAACAGTGGGAAAGATTCCACATTGACCAACCTCGGGGGCCTGAAAACCCAGGTCCTCAAGGAGGGTAGAGTATACCTGGACCCTGACCCAGACCCCTGGATGGGCTGTGCCAAGAGACCCAGCAAGGGAAGGGATTTCCTCCTGCCTCAGGTTCTCTGTTCTTCTGTGGTTAGACCACCTGAACCCAGCTCCCTCCCCAAGCACTAGAGATGGGCTTTTCCAAGGGCTGGGGATCTTGCTGTCCTGAGGACAGCTGAGCAAGGGGGTCGAGGAGGAGCTTGGGTTGTGGAGGAGAGGAAACCGGGTAAGATGCGTGAAGCAGTTGGCTATACCAGGCACAGAGAGGACCCGCTGGGACCCAAGAGCCTGCATGTGAAGCCAGGCCTTAGGCCACCTTGTCTGTCAAGGGGGTGCCTACTTCCATGGTGTCTTCAAAGGGACTGTGGAAAGAGAGGCCTTCAGCCCACACCTCTGAATGCTTTTCCACCACAGCATGCCCTGTGGCCTTTATCCTGCTGGTGTGGAACAGTCAGACCCCTGCAGGGCTGCAGAGCCTCTGTACTGGGCGGCATCCCAGCCTGAGTGCCAGAGCTCAGAGGGCAGGCCCCCGAGCAAGCAGAGAGGAGGGCACCTTTTGGACAGAACGTGTGGGACAAGAGCGATGGCTCATCCGTTCAGGTTCCTCACAAAATGAGAGTCAGGAAGATCAGGGCGCCGGCCTGATTTCCCAGGCAGGGCTGAAAGCAGACAACCGGAGGGAGAGCAGCACCTGGGCCAATGAGGTAGAAGACAGAAGACCACAGTGTACTCCTGCCCTCAACCTCACCCCCTCCCACCCACATCCTCCACACTCCCTGACCACCTTCCTCAGAAGTGTAATAGGAATCCAGATTCCCCCTGGCCTGGTTGCTGCAGGAGGCACAGTAGCCTGATGGAGCCTGAGGCACGTGTGGGAAGATGTGGATTGTCTAACTGGAGGTTGGGAGTCCAGGGTGTAGAAGCAGCTTGGAGTGCAGGATTTGGTGGTACGTGTGTGGCAGTAGGCAAAAGAAAGAGACAACTGGCCGGGCGCGATGGCTCACGCCTGTAATCCCAACACTTTGGGAGACCGAGGCGGGCGGATCACGAGGTCAGATGAAGACCACGGTAAAACCTCGTCTCTACTAAAAATACAAAAAGTAGCCGGGCGTGGTGGCGGGTGCCTGTAGTCCCAGCTACTGGGGAGGCAGAGGCAGGAGAATGGCGTGAACCCGGGAGGCGGAGCTTGCAGTGATCTGAGATCGCGCCACTGCACTCCAGCCACTGCACTCCAGCCTGGGTGACAGGGCAAGACTCTGACTCAAAAAAAAAAAAAAGAAAAAGAAAAGAAAGAGACAACTGAGCCACTTGAAATACCAAGAGAATTCAAATTTAGAAAATTCCCGGGGAACTATGCGTGCAGGCACTCACCAGATCCACAAAACAGCTGCTGCATAACTGCATGTTGCAAGCAAGCCCTAAATTGCTGATTTTGAAACAGCCTGATGGGTTCACAAAGACAATTTCTGAATAGTCTTAAGAGCAGAGGTGCACTAAAGCCACTGTGCCCTGCAGGCCCGGATCCCAGTAAGTTCTTCAAGGAGTAAGTCTTACTTCCATTTATGGAAGATTTTTGGAGTTGTCCTTGGTCACCCCCAGGAATGTTTTGGTTAGGAGTAGAATTTTAGATGTCATCAATTTAAAAATTAAAACTAAAACGCTGGAACTCATAGAGAGATAAAATTAAGAGAATACATTCACTATCCTGAGTAGAAAGATTTCTTATAGAACATAACAGGCTTTAAAAATAAAGAAAAAATATGGCAAAATTTCATCAAATTAAATGCTTTGAGAACTAAAATTAAAATCCAAAGCCACTCAACCAACTGGACAGACTGCTTCTTGGCCAAGGAGACCCCAGAGAAGTCTTAACTACTGAGTTCCTGCCCAGTAGTTGGAATCTCAGACACCTCTCCTTATACTCTCTCCCTTTGTGGTTTAGACACAACTGACCAGCATTATTGTTAAAATAGAGATCCTAAGACTGACAGAACAGACTCCTTGCAGTAGTAAGATATGGTATGATAAACGAGACCTAAGGCCACGCCAGGCAAGGTGGAGTCATGCGCCCCTCAACTTAAAGAATAAACTATGTTCCAATTGCCACAGGTTTTTTTCTTCTTCCTTTTTTTCTCTAGCTAAACAAGCACTGGCCTTGAGATAAGCAATGCTGAAGCACTTGCAGCTCACCCATTACCATAAACTGACTGAGCCCTCCCTACACAAGCCATAACTACAGCTTTGATTGGACAAGAGACTGATTTCAGTAACTTCCCCTTGATAAGAGAGCACTGGCTGTGGACGGGTTCTGGACGGTTTACAGAGGCTGTGCACTTGACTGCCTTTGTGTCCCTGCTTCCCCTTTTGAAGCATAGGGCCTAATTATAATGTATTTAAATGTTGTCTCCACCCCAAAATGAACATGGGTTGCATGTAACAGGCATGTTTACTCAGCATGCATGCAGCAGGATCCCTTCATGAATATTCAGAGCTCCTCCTATTCCCTGTTGAATATGTATATGTGGCCCACCACATCAACATAAATCCCTGTTCCCCCCTCCCCTCCCTGGAAACGTACTTTTCAGGTTTCAGCAGCAAGAGGGTATGCCTCCCTGTCTGTCGGAATGGCCACCTTGCAGGCTGTAACCATTTATAAAAAATAAAATCTCCCTTCTAAATTTATAAATTGTGTGATTTTTCAGTTGACAGCTTTCAGTCAGACTTTTCACTGACTGGGAAAAGTCATTTGCAATATATTTATTTTAAAAATGACTCCTCAGCATACAGAATTCTTGTGCAAAGATCACAAGCATTCTTATACACCAATAACAGACAAACAGAGAGCCAAATCATGAGGGAACTCCCATTCACAATTGCTTCAAAGAGAATAAAATACCTAGGAATCCAACTTACAAGGGATGTGAAGGACCTCTTCAAGGAGAACTACAAAACACTGCTCAACAAAATAAAAGAGGATACAAACAAATGGAAGAACATTCCACGCTCATGGGTAGGAAGAATCACTATCGGGAAAATGGTCATACTGCCCAAGGTAATTTATAGATTCCATGCCATCCCCATCAAGCTACCAATGACTTTCTTCACAGAATTGGAAAAAACTACTTTAAAGTTCATATGGAACCAAAAAAGAGCCCGCATTGCCATGTCAATCCTAAGCCAAAAGAACAAAGCTGGAGGCATCACGCTACCTGACTTCAAACTATACTACAAGGCTACAGTAACCAAAACAGCATGGTACTGGTACCAAAACAGAGATATAGACCAATGGAGGAGAACAGAGCCCTCAGAAATAATGCCACACATCTACAACTATCTGATCTTTGACAAACCTGACAAAAACAAGAAATGGGGAAAGGATTCCCTATTTAATAAATGGTGCTGGGAAAACTGGCTAGCCATATGTTGAAAGCTGAAACTGGATCCTTTCCTTACACCTTATACAAAAATTAATTCAAGATGGATTAAAGACTTAAATGTCAGACCTAAAACCATAAAAAGCCTAGAAGAAAACCTAGGCAATACCATTCAGGACATAGGCATGGGCAAGTACTTCATGTCTAAAACACCGAAAGCAATGGCAACAAAAGCCAAAATTGACAAATGGGATCTAATTAAACTTAAGGGCTTCTGCACAGCAAAAGAAACTGTCATTAGAGTGAACAGGCAACCTACAGAACGGGAGAAAATTTTTGCAATCTACTCATCTGTAGTTTCATCAGAATCTACAAAGAACTCAAACAAATTTACAAGAAAAGAACAAACAACCCCATCAACAAGTGGGCGAAGGATATGAACAGACATTTCTCAAAAGAAGACATTTATGCAGCCAAAAGATACATGAAAAAATCCTCATCATCAGTGGCCATCAGGGAAATGCAAATCAAAACCACAGTGAGATACCATCTCACACCTGTTAGAATGGTGATCATTAAAAAGTCAGGAAGCAACAGGTGTTGGGGAGGATGTGGAGAAATAGGAACACTTTTACACTGTTGGTGGGACTGTAAACTAGTTCAACCATTGTGGAAGTCAGTATGGTGATTCCTCAGGGATCTAGAACTAGAAATACCATTTGACCCAGCCATCCCATTACTGGGTATATACCCAAAGGATTATAAATCAGGCTGCTATAAAGACACATGCACACGTATGTTTATTGCGGCACTATTCACAATAGCATAGACTTGGAACCAACCCAAATGTCCCACAATGATAGACTGGATTAAGAAAATGTGGCACATATACACCATGGAATACTATGCAGCCATAAAAAATGATGAGTTCATGTCCTTTGTAGGGACAGGGATGAAGCTGGAAACCATCATTCTCAGCAAACTATCGCAAGGACAAAAAACCAAACACCGCATGTTCTCACTCATAGGTGGGAATTCAACAATGAGAACACTTGGACACAGGAAGGGGAACATCACACACCGGGGACTGTTGTGGGGTGGGGGGAGGGGGAGGGATAGCATCAGGAGATATACCTAATGTAAATGACGAGTTAATGGGTGCAGCACACCAACATGGCACATGTATACATATGTAACAAACCTGCACGTTGTGCACATGTACCTTAAAACTTAAAGTATAATTTAAAAAACGTCAAAACAAGACTCAATTCTTGAATATATAAGAGAACTTTTGTAAGTCAGTAATATAGAGCTAAGCCAAATAAAATAGGGCAAAATATTCGAATAGGCCTTTGCAAAGGAGAGTTTCTTATATGCTGGAAGCCATAAGAAAATATGCTTCATAGGATTGCTCATTAGGCAAATACAAATTAATTCCACACTGAGATAGCACTAACCACTCACCAGTGTATGGCTACTTTTTTTTTTTTTTCTGAGACAGGGTCTCATTCTGTCACGCAAGCTGGAGTGCAATGCTGCGATCTTGACTCACCGCAACATCCCCCTCTGGAGTAGCTGGGACTACAGGTGCATGCCACCATGCCCTGCTAATTTTTGTATTTTGAGTAGAGACAGGGTTTTGCCATGTTGGCCAGCCTGGTCTGAGAGCATAGCTACATTTAACAAAGTTAGTACACCAAATGCTGACAAGAATTTGGTGCCACTTCAACTGTCATCGCTGGCGAAAAAGCATTCTAGAAGACTGGCAATTTATACTGATGTTAAACTTATACTCAGGTCATGACCCAGCAATTGAAGGACTTCCATGAATCTCAAGTGCACACAAAGACTGTTATAAGAATATTCAGCACAAGAAATCAATAACCCCAAAATTGAGAAGTGATCTATGAAACTACGTGGATATATCTCATGAGTATAATGAATGTAACTGGAGAAAAAGGCCAGACACAAAACATATGTACATTCATTCATGTGAACTTTAAGAACCGGCAATTGTAACCTGTGGGAATAGACATCAGAATAGTGATTAACTAAGAAGACACAGGGTGGGAATCACCTGGACAGGGGCTCTAACAGGCCTTTCTCAGATGATGGCAATTTTCTATAACTTGAGCTGGGTGGTGATAACATTGATCAAAACTAAACAAATTGCACTAAAGATTTGTGCACTTTATGTGAACTGTAGCTTCTTTACTGTTCTCATTGCTTGAACCTGGGAGACAGAGGTTGCAGTGAGCCGAGATTGAGCCACGGCACTCCAGCCTGGGTGACAGAACAAGACTACGTCTCAAAAACAATGATAATAGTAATAATTTACTGTTCTCATAAAAATTAGCGCATGGGGAATGGAGGCAAGCCTGTGCAGACCATGACAACTAGTTTAGATTTTATTGTCAACTCATTAAAAACTCGTTCTCGTTTTGTGTTTTTAAAAAATTCCACTGATACAGCCGTTTTCTCTACCGAAAAAGACTATAACCGCATTATTTCACCAGTGGAAGCTACAGACAAAGGGCCCTTGAGAGGCGGCATCTTCACCTACGGGAATTTTTCCTGCTCAATTGTGAGACAAAGAGCATGTCCAAGTTTTCCTATCGGCCAGGCCGCCCCCTAGTTTCTGCGCTGTGGGCTAAACTCCAGAAGCTGGCGCCCTTCGGGGCCAGAGGTTTACTCTGCTCTCTGGAGGCTGCTAGGATTAAAGGCAAAGCAAACGACAGGTCTATTAGCCACAGTCGCAGGCTAGAAAACACTACTGTGACTCAGATTAGAACCGAGGTTGTGGCAACCACAACTACAAGTATTAACTACTACACGACCACAAAGCCTGCTGACAAGCATTGCACTTCTTCTATTTTTTTAATGTAAAAACACTCACACTATTTTATCTGCTTCATTCTTGGACGCCGCCGATTTTCGTGCTTTTCTCTCTTTCATGCGCTTCTCCGTTTCTCTCCCCATTCTGCTACATAATTTTAAAAAAATCTCATCTCCCAGGATCCACCCACTGCCTCTACAACAAGCCTCCTGGGAGGTCTCTTTGTCCCATTGACATCTCTGCCTTCTTTCGCTGCTTTTTTTTTTTTTTTTTTTTTGAAGGAGTCTCGCTCTGTCGCCCAGGTGGAGTGCAGTAGCGCAATCTTGGCTCACTGCAACCTCTGCCTCCTGGGTTCAAGCGATTCTCCTGCCTCAGCCTCCCAAGTAGCCGGAATAGCAGGTGCATGCCACCACATTCGGCTAATTTTTGTATTTTTAGTAGAGACGGGATTTTTCCATGTTAGCCAGGCTGGTCTTGAACTCTTGACCTCAAGCGATCCATCCGCCTCGGCCTCACACAGTGCTGGGATTACAGGCGTGAGCCAACGTGCCCGGCCAAATTTCAGGCCAACACCTGTTGACAGACATTGCCAGACACACGGAATCCCTCGCTGACGATGTGAGCAAATTCGGTTCACGGTGTCTGGGGTACAGCCCTGAGGGTCCACTGGCCACCTCTGCGCAAGGACCAGTCCCCGCCGCTCCCCTCATCTCCACGCAGATTCTTCCCCACACACCTTCCCTTTCTTTGGGCCGCTGAAGCCTCTTGGACCTCTGACGTGACTGTCCTGCCCGCAGCTTCTCTCCTTCCAAGAGCGTCATTTCTTGATCCTCTCTACAGTGGCTCAGCAGTAAGCCCAAGGTCCAGCACGCGAATCAGGAACCTGATGATTCTTCGGGTTTGCAGGGATCCGCCCCGTGAATAGATGAAAGTAACAGGTACCAATATCAAAACTGCAGTGACTCACCGGAAACACTTCGTGCTTGCCACTTTGCTAAGCTGTTTGAGTCCAACAATTGCATGGGTCCTGGGTTAGTGTCCTGAATGTCTCTTGCCGCTACTCTCGTGAGTAATGTTGTCACTTTACCTTGTGGTGGCCAAGCCCCTAAATGCACTATTAGGTTATGCAGTATAATTTTGCAGCGTAAAAGACGGGTAAAGGGCCATAATGAAGTGAAAAAGTCCCTGCTGCATTGGCCGGGAATTGAACGCGGGTCTCCCGCGTGGGAGGCGAGAATACTACCACGGAACCACCAATGCCTCCCCACAGCCACAGCCTGGAGGATAAGAGAAAAGAGTATCCACAAAGACTTAGAAACTTCCAACCGCCTTTTTCAAGTGTCGACTAAAAGCTAACAAAGACATCCAAACCAAATGTTTTTATAGGAAACTTTTACTAGACAAAGTTATAAATATCAAAATAGCTCATTTGGTGGATCAAACTCTTAAGTCTGAAAAAGGTCTTTCTACCTGCATTATAAACCCCTATAATAAAACATCAGAAATTCATTCATGTTTCTTTTTTCTAATCTTAAATCTTCCATCGTCAATCTCAAACTGCTGCCTTAGAGGTTCTGAGAAGGTAACCTAACTGGTAGTTTAGGTAAATAAAGTTCAAATCCAGGGAGGAAATAAGAAGCAGAAGCAGAATTAGAAGAAAGATGAAATAAAAGGACAGAATCAATGTACAGATAATGAAGAAACAAAGGTTGGTCCACTAAGTTAGTCTTTTGTCGCTGGTTTTTTTGGCAAAAGAGTAATGATCGGTCTCGTAATCATTATAATACTATTATTTGTCTGCTTGAGGATGTATAAAGCATTTGAAGGAAATGTGATGTGAAAAGATTAAGAACCCTTGCCGTCAATGTTTCATTGTTTGGGAGAATCCCATTTCCTAAGTTAATATGCTTTGATGTGTTAGCTATGAAAGGAGTAGACTAGTTTAAGGAAATATTGACGGTCAAAATATTAACATATTCGTCTTTTGATGAAGTTCAAATAGTAGAGAGATTTCTTTCCTCAATTTTCAATGGAGACATTCAACTGAAGAGACAAATCCAGAGTTTTCCCCACATGTTGGGTCTGGGAGTCATTATGACTTTTTCAAAGACAGGAGCTGTGACATGGAATCATGCTTCTTCTCTAGCTGAGAAGCCAAGCTAGGTCCAGGCTGCGTCATAAACTTGAGCCCACCAAGGAAATCACCCTTCACATTGACCTCGCAGAGCTTTGGCTGTTCTCTGTTCTTTGCCCAACACCCAAGACACACACCAGCTCTGGCCAACAAACCTTAACATATGATCTATATCCACCAGAGCTATATTTATTCCCAAATCTCCTTCTAAAATACAAACCTGTACTTTCTACTCTCAACTTCTAAATTTACAAAGGCCTCATATGTATCTCAGAGTCACAGATGCTAAAACTTAACCGGTTTTCTGAGGATTATTTGGGGAAGGGGTATGCATTCAAAATCTTTTGTATGTAGATAATTCGTGTGGTTTCAGATTATTGACTCTACGAGTTCCAGATGCAGATTTAGAACCTTTTAAAAAAATATTTTGTTTTTGTCTCGCAAATCAGCCAGATCTGCAACTTATCAGAGTGAAGCGAAGCCAAGCGGGACACTTAGGAAATGCACTAAGATGTCATCCACTTTCAGTGTCAGCCTGTGAAAATTCAGGCGACAGAAGAGAATGAAGAGAATCTTAAGGAATTTCTGGAAGCAAAGCTAATATTAAGCAGGCCTCTTGCTGGCAGACCAGTGGAAACTGTAGCCTGGTCAACGATCTGTCTAGATTGAGGAGGTCTAAAGTGTAGCCACAGGTTCAACTACTTTTCTGTTTGTTTCCCAACCTCGATTAAACTCACTAAATTTAGGGACAAAAAGAAAAACCAAAAAACCATGTTTCCCTCCAGTCTCGAGCCAAGGGTCTTTCACATGTGAGGCAAACATGATAACCACTATACTACAGAAACTGCACATACACTGGAAAAGGCAAAACATAATCATGAAAATCTGAGGTCAGCCATTTCTATTATCGTTTCCAAAGTAAGAAATCCAACTGCATTTTGAAATTTGACTGAAAAAAGCCCAATAAGCACCAGCCATCAAGAAGACTATGGCTCCCAATAGGCCCAGGCTTAGCGTTCTGCACCTACCCCCAACACGAAGACCACGGGGACCCACACCCGGGCTTCGGGATCCCGCATCCTCCCCCGGGTATCCAGTTCCAGAACTAAGCGCCGTGTGCGGGATCCTTCCGGCTGACACTCTTGGCTCCCAGAAGCTGCAGAAGCCGGCGGGATGGGGCACATGTCAGAGCTCTCTTTGGAGGGTCCAGCGGTGGGGTACCAAGGTGGAGCTCCAGTTACAGCATGTACTTCCCCAGGCACAGGGCACCGTCCTCAACAGCTGGCATCATTGCACCTGCAGCATCTGCCCCTTCCCAGAGCCTCTCTCTTACGCTTTTCACATCACTGGAGAAGCAGCTTGCAGGACCACACCGTATTTCACTCTTACGGTGCAAAGCCAGAAGGTGCCCAAAGGAGAAGCACCTACTCCCGTGGTAAGAAGGTGGGCACAGGTGCAGCTGCGACTCACCAAGAGCCAGGCTGCCAGCCACACAGCCAGGGACACCGCAATGGGGGAAGGGGCAGCAAGGATGTGTCAAAGATATTCCTTTCCAAATGACTTTGGTTGAAAGAAATGCTTCCGGTTCGTAACCTGGCCTCACATTTTATAGCTAAATACGAGCCGGGTGCGTTGATGGAGCCATTTTTGACATATTTCAATTGCACTGATTGCCTGACATCATTCAAGTCACCCACGTTTCCCCAGCACAGGCCACACACTCGGGTAGATTCAGTTATTTTCACGAGGACAGCCTCCCCAGCCCTGCAGAAGTCATTGTCTTTTTCTGGGCAGCCCCTGTGGATGGATTCAGCTGCAGTGACCAGCACACATGGTGATTAATGGGAGTTCTAAGAGGGAGAGGCCAGTGAAGGTCGGGGCTCATATGGGAAACCAAGTCATTTCCCACCAGGAACGTTTGGCACACTGACCCCTCACCCAGGCAGCTGATATGATGGCTAAAGGGAACAACAAGTGACCACACCCACTCTTGAGAGCAACTGCAAATTGCATGTGGCCACGAGGGTCTCTGTAATCTGTTTCTGTTTGCTAAATGCCTCTCTACCGGGGGCAGTTAAGACACTCGGAGAGTGGACAAACTTGGAGGATGTTGCTCAGTTCCAGAAAAGGAAAAAAACATATTACACGTACATTGGAGGTAAATCAGCCTGACTGGTTCTCGAGAACTCGACGATCTCAAATGTCCACAAATAATTGTGCAAAGTGGAGACCAACAGGCAGAGAATCCAAGTAGATAGTGACAATAGTAAACACTGTGCTAGGCACTATTTTAAGAGCTTTTGTATATTTTAAGAGCTGTTTGGCTGGGCACAGTGGCTCATGCCTATAATCCCCATACTTTGGAGGCTGAGGTGGGAGGAGTGCTTGAGGCCAGAAGTTCAAAACTAGCCTGGGAAACAGAGCAAGACCCCATCTATATAAAAACATGTTTTAAAAATAGCCAGGTATGGTGGCATGCACCTGTACTCCTAGCTACTCAGGAGGCTGAAATAGGAAGATTCCTTGAGCCCAGGAGGTCAAGGCTGCAGTGAGCTAGCATCTTGCCACTGCACTCCAGCCTGGATGACAGACTGAGACCCTGTCTCTAAAAACAAACAAACAAGAGCTTTATGTATATTAAATGTTTACATGTAATCCTTATTATATAAGGTAAGTACTATTATCCCCGTTTATGGGACAAGTACTAGTATTATCCCCATTTCACTGATGAGGAAATCAAGGCAAGTGAAGTCACATCCCCAAGGTGTGACAGAGCTGGTAAGTGACACAGCTGGGATTTGAACACTCGCTGTCTGGCTTCTGACAAGGATCTGTGTGCTTAACCTTGATGCTAAGTTGAATAAATACGGCACATCTTGCCAAGCAAAGAAAAGAATCTAAAGATGTTCAAACTCTCCCTTCAGCAGAGGGCAAAGGGTGGAAAGTAAGCAGCTAGCACCAGGTGAACGAGAGGAGGCAGGTTGATAAGCCAGCTTCCTTCCCAGGAAACCCCTTCTGTCTTAGAGGACCCTGTAAAACCTTCTTACTTCACCAAAATGAATCTCACAACTGTTGGAAAAACAGAGCCACCCTATCCTGTTCCCCCAAACACTGTCCCCAAGTCTATTATGCAAGCGCCTATTACAGCGAGTTGTGGATGTCTCTTTTGTGGTCATGGTTTTTAACTGCAAATGAAAGAAGAAACCCAAGTCAGGAAGCGTGCATCTTACCAATCCCACATTTGGGGGTGCAGGAGACCCCGAAATGTGGGCTGTCTTTGGAAAGAGTAGAACACTCCGCGTGGGGCTGGCGGGCTGCTGCTGGGAAGGATGAGGTATGGTAAGGGCTGAGACAACCCCAAGATAATCTGGGGGAAAATCCTGGCAGGGGAAGGAAGGGAAGTGAGCCATTAGGGGTGACCCTGGCTCCGGAAGTTGAATCTCTCTCTGAAGAAGGACAGAGTGGCCACACGCGGTTCCTGGGATCCAGCCTCTAACCCTCGGAACAATTGTGAGAAAATGCCCAGGGGCAGTTCCCTGTGCTCTCAGAGGCCCTCTTCCAGCACAAGGCAAGCGCCACAGCCAATCATCCTTCAGCAGGTGATATTTTGTCCCAGGCCTGACTAGGTGAGCCAGTCGTTCCTCACAAAACACGCTGAGAGCATCCCCTGGAATTCCCATGGGCTCCCTGGCCTCTCACACCCTGCTGTGTGTCTTGACTTGAGATGGCGGGCACCTCAAAGACAGGGCACACAGGGAAGCATCCGGGTCCCTGGGGACTCCAACAATGCTTCGAGCTGATACCAGGGAAGGAGAGGGTCAGCCTTGGGGCCGGTGGGGGGGTGCGGGGGCAGAGAGCAGGTGCCTTCGTTGGATTCTCAGTCTGCAATTTGCAGACTGAGACCATGAGCACAGCCCCTTCCTCAGAGAAATGATCATAAGACCTACCCCACTGAATGTGGCAGCTGTAACGGGAGACATTTGTACATTTATTCACCGAATCCTTGAGAACTCACTGTACGTTGAGCCCTGGAAGTGCAAGTGTTTTGAAGTCAGAAGAGCAGCACATTGGCTGGAGGAAAGAGGTGGTCTTATCTTAAGAAGCAGAGCTCTGGCGGGTAGACAGGGGAGAGGCCAGGAGGTCCTGCCATCCTCCAGGAACATGTGCCCAGGCAGCAAGAAGCGCAGGAACTGAGGGCCTCCCACATCACTGGGGCACCAGGTAGCTTCTGCCTACAGGGACCACTGCTTGTTGCGCCTTCAGGTAACTTCTCTGCTGTCAGCCCCTGAGATCCCAGATTGCGCTGGAAGAAATAAAAATATTTCAATAGAAAACATAGGTCATTGACATCTTTTGAGAAGGTTGTTCAGAGAGCCAGCAAACAGAAGATTCCCTGAAGAGCTGTCTTTCGTGGGGGAGATTTGCATCTGCAGAGATGCAATCAGGCCTTCTCCAAGACCTTCCCTTGTCCAGATCTAGGAAAGATTAACCAAGAGTCTGACATGTTTAAAGGTCTAAAAAAGGATTATCCCCGTAATCCCAGCACTTTGGGAGGCCGAGATGAGCAGATCATCTGAGGTCAGGAGATTGAGACCAGCCTGGCCAACATGGTGAAACCCATCTCTACTAAAGATATAAAAATTAGCTGGGCATGGTGACACATGCCTGTAATCTCAGCTACTCAGTAGGCTGAGGCAGGAGAATCACTGGAACCCGGGAGGCGGAGGTTGCAGTGAGCTGAGATGGCACCACTGCACTCCAGCCTGGGCGACAGAGCAAGTCTCCATCTTAAAAAAAAAAAAAAAAAAAAAGAATTATCATCTGTTCTCTTTGAGGGCTGCTATCTGTGGGATTTCCTCTGCATAACAAGATCACCTTTGTTAGCCACGACTCCCTTTCTTCCCCCCAAATAACCTATCTTGCCTCCATAACCTGCTGTTCCACCATAGTCTGGTTTGGGCCATGCTCTGAGCCCCCATTCTCTCTGTAACTGTAGGATGGGATGCAAGCTTCTATACCTCAATGCAGATGGTGGGGTAATCACTCCACGGTTCTCCCCCATGCGCATATTGATCTGTATGCCTTTATTCCAATTAATCTCCTTTTGTGAGCTGATTTTTCAGCAAACCCTCAGAGGAAGAAGGGGGATGTTTTTTCTTTGTCCCCTACAGCATTCTGTCCCTCAGAGCACCCCCTGAACCTGCCTCAGTAAGACCAGCATGTGGAAAGGGGAGAAATCTAGTACACAGCCTCATTCGGTGCCTGTCCCTCCAGCCTGAGCCACCAGCCCCGGAGAGGCCCGGGCCACCAGGGGATGCATACCTGAGAGCTGCCTCCGGGGCGGCATCCATGTTCCCTATACCCCTGAGATGGCTCACCAGGGAGCCCATGGCTGAAATCTGAAGACAATCAGGTCTGAAGACTTCCTGCTTTCCCAGAACACCACCAAGAGATGGCCACGTCCTCAGGTTCTGCATCAGACTGAAGGAAGCTCAAGGATGTTGGTGATTCCAGTGCTGGCAGAGATCATGGCTTGCTCCAGGCGTCTCTCCCCACTTCACAGTGGCCAGCGAGACACCTTGCATGTGGCTCACCAGAAGAAGTCACGTTTTCTCTAGAGGTGACATACACATCTGGAACGTGTCTCCCTCCCAAGGAATTTGTGGTGCCTTCACAGGAGGGTGTGTGGCTGCCAAAGGGCATCAGACTGGACTCTGAAGCACCCTGCTGTCCTCAGGCCAAGACCACTTTCCAGCACAATGAAGCTAGAACTAGGCTCTGAAAATGTCACATCAACCCTTTGCATGAATTGGAAGACTGAGCCCCTCGTCTTCACAACTCACTGGCTCTATGACTTTGGAAGAAGCTCTGAACCTCTTGGTGTCTCCAATTCATCATCCATAAAAGGAGTATCATAACACTGTACTTGCAGGGATCAAACAGAGTCTCAGGCATGAAAATACTATGAAGTACAAGAGCTATGAATGTCAATTGCTAATAGTTGTATGTGAACCACCTTGAGGGAAGGAGGAGAGAAGGTGAAGGGTGCTTTCACCTATTTACAATCCTGAATTCCTGGACTCTGAGCTGGTGTTCGTATTTTCCAGCTAGCCCAAGATGACATGTTCACTTATGACCATTTGGTCTCTAAAAATGAACTCCCATCTGGAATCCAAGACCGTGGCTGGCCTGAACTCTGGACCCACATCACACTTCCAAGAAGGAAGCTAGGGTGGCCCCTAGGGAACAGCCTGTGTCAGGACAGTCACTTTAAACACCCCTGCTCTCTACATTTAGAGCCTGGAAAAACTTAGTCGAAACCTAAAATGAACTGAACCTTGGCCCGTGGATGTTTCCAAGTAAATTGAAACCCTCATCCACACCATTAGCCCAGTGCTTCTGCAACCTAGTGATGCTTACCCACTGTGACTCCTCGCGTCAGTATACCCCGGGATGTGTGGAGGCGTTTAAAGGGCTGATGACTTAGAGCTGGTGGTGACATTTTGGAACCTATGGTGCCAGCCACCATTAGGGAAATCCTACACTGATTCATTGGCTCTTCTAGGTAAGGGTTTCAAGAAGCAAGGTCTTCTTGGTAGGAATCTAAGAGAAGAGGCATCCTGGTTGTGTTGGAAAGAACATGGTCTTTGGAGCCAGACAAATCTTGATTTAGTACGGACTCCAGAATGTCTGTGTAGACAGGATTTGGGGCAGCAATAATCTCAATGAAAGGGAGATGACAGGGAAGCACATATTGAAGCTACATTTTTGCCTCCTGTAGGCTCTTCCGACTTAGATTGTGTGTTTATTTGGGATAATTGTGGAGAAGGGGGCTGCTACAGATGATGGTTACAACGAAAGCCTCCCAAACCACCCCTTGATAATGACACTGTCTGGATTCAAATCAGCATCTACCACTTACCGTCTATGTGACCTTGGGCGAGTAACTTAGCATCTCCGAGCTACTGTTTTCTTATTTGTAAAATGAGAAGAATAATTCCACTCTGGCAGGGCTTTTGTGGGGGATTACATTGGATAACATATGGGAAAGGGCTTAGCACAATGCAGGCATATAATAGGCTCTCAACATATGGAAGTCTCTTTCCTTCTTTCCATCGCTGGTCCCCAGATGTCTCAGGATCCTAATGAAGTATCCAGATGAGGACTGAGATCTAGAAAGCTCTTTTTTTTTAAGTTAGATATTTGTGGGGGGTTGCCTTTGGATTTTGTTGCCCACTGTTAAGTGTATTTCAAGGGGACACTACATCTGCCCTGCACATTGTAAGTCCAGAATACCATGCAGCTGGCCTACTTGAAAGGGAGCCTTCACAGGCTGAACTACACAGGCAGCACCAGTCCTGAGGATGAAAAAGCCACCATAGCAAATGAATTAGGTCAGCGGCTTTCCTAATGTCTAGAGGCAGCAGAATCTTCCTACAGTGGGATTTTTTAATGGTTTTTTTCTCCTGGTTTTTGTAGTGTGTGTGTGTGTGTGTTTCCTTTCTCACTGAACTCCTGGAGGCTGGACAAGACACAGGATGATAGAATAGAAGGAAAAAGAAGGAGACATTATAAGCACATGCCCCAGTACCAAGTTCTTTGCAAGGAATCTCTGGAGACGACTGGTGGAACTCATGGGGTTGGCAGAAAACTACTGACTTTGCATGACCAACACTCATTGGTTCATTCATGCATTCAGGAAGCATTTGCTGAGGGAGGCTGACAGCTCCCTGGGAGATGTTAATACATGACATAGCCCCAGTCCCTACATTCTAATGAGTTGTTCCAAATAACAAGTGTTGGGACTCAGAAAACAATACCCCAAAAGGAAGGCTTAGCCTCAGAAGCAAAAGTTTTTCTCTGATCTTCTCCTGCCCTCCTATCTCTTGCCCCTCATTCTCCCCGAGGCCAGCCATAGAAACCAGAATCCCTCTTCCCCAAGGCGGATATAAAAACCAGAACCCCTTTTCCCCAAAGCCAGCCATAAAACCTAAAATACAACTCTAGCTTTCCTTCCACCTTTCTGTGTAAAAACTGGCCATAAAGACCTCATCTAACCTATCTTATTTGACTGTAGGTCATAAGACCCCCACTCCAGAAAGGATCCTGTCCCATACCCAGAAGGAAGGAATGCTGCATGGATGCCTGGAAGAATCTAGGCAGACAGGCCTTGCTGCGCTTTCCACTCAGTCTAGTCTAGCATTCCATCAGACCCTTTTTGTCCAGTCATATTTCTATGTGACTATCCATACTGTCTTGAACCTAAGTGTAAAAGTGGACAATTTCCCCTCTATCTTTGGGTCTTCATTCTGAAGGCTCCTGTGTATACACGTTAAATAAATGTGTATGCCTTTTTTCCTATTAATCAATCTTCTTCATGTCAGTGATTTTCCAGTGAACCTTTGGGAAGAAATGCTGGCTCAATTAGAAATAGAAATTTGCAAGCCAGGTGCGGTGGCTCACGCCTGGAATCCTAGCACTTTGGGAAGCCAAGGTCAGGATCACCTGAAGTCAGGAGTTTGAGACTAGCCTGGCCAACATGGTGAAACCCTGTCTCTACCAAATATACAAAATTAGCCAGGCTTGGTGTTGCCTGCCTGTAGTCCCCACTACTCAGGAGACTGAGACAGGAGAATCGCTTGAACCTGGGAGGCAGAGGTTGCAGTGAGCCAAGATCACACCACTGCACTCCAGCCTGGGTGACAAGACCAAAACTCCATCAAAAAAAAAAAAAAGCAAGGAAAGAAAGAAAGAAAAAAGAAGGGAAGGAAGGAAAGAAGGAAGGAAGGAAGAAAGAAAAGAAAAGAAAAGAAAAGAAAAGAAAAGAAAAGAAAAGAAAAGAAAAAAGAAAAGAAAAGAAAAGAAAAGAAAAATAAATAAATTTGCAAAAAGATCCGCTATTAGACCTAGGCCAGTGGATCATGAAGCCACACACACCACACTTTGTTTCCTTGCAGGGATCCAGTCCCTCCCCTGAGAATGCAGGCTCCTGACTTCTGATCTCCCACACCCTCGGTGCTATGCAGTGTTAGCCCAGTATCTGGCTCACAGCAGTCCTAGTGAGCATCTCTTGGGGAGTCCCCTTTACCACCTGTGTATTACAGCTTCCCAAGGATTAGGAGTAAGGGGAAGAAGCCATTTAAACAAAATTGCTTTTGAAGCACAGATGGGTTCACAATACAGAAAAAATGGTGCTTAGCAAGAAATGTTTAGGATTTGGCAGATTCTGAAGTTCATTTCATTGTTTGATGCTTTAAACCAGCTGCTTCTCCCATTCCCTAAACATCAGCTCCCAAGAGAGCAAGTCAGCCTAGGACTCTCCAGGCAATGATATTTCCTTGGATAATATGCAACCTTTTCTGGAAGGTCTGTTCCATCAGCACTCAGCTCAGCACCCATCCAGAGCATCTCACTTCCCTTCTCACCATGGTTTCCCTAACAATGGATTCCACACGCACATACGGCTATAGAGGGTCAGTTCAACTGAGCGTGTTTCCCAGCAATTGACACAATAGATTCCTCTCTGGGGAGCGAAGGAGTCTACTTACCTGGGATTCCCCTTGTCTCTACTGAGCCACTGGGGGCCATGGTACAAGCAGCCAATCCTAAGGACCCTCCTGCTCTCCTCTTGTTGTCCAGCTTGTTTTCTTAGTATGCGCACTACTTGGTTTATGGTGCCTGGAGAACCTCAAGCCAACAAGATGCTTGCTCCTGACTTCTCTGATTCCAGGGTTCCTTACTTCCTAGTCTCCACCCCTGGTTCATAAGCAGCTTGAAGGAAGACACAACCAAGACCCTACCTTTGCAACAGCTGTGAAATGGGATCAGAGAATTCCGGTAAAAGTTTGTCAAGCTAAGTGGGATGTATCCAAGGCTTCGTAAGAAAGGAGGCTGGATCCAGCTCCAGAGCCACTTCTGGAGGCTTGGATAAGAATGGGAAAAGTAAGCCTCCCATTTGCAATTCGCAGACCCATGCTGTGTGGTCTTAAAGCCTCAGGATCAGTGAGGAGGCCCCAGGTCAAAATCCTGGCTGAAACTGTGGGCCCAAACACATAGGCTTTCATTATGGTACAAAAAAAAATGTGTCAAGTGTAGTGGGTGTTTGTTTTGGTTTTCAGAATATTAATATGGTTTAATACCGTTGTCTGGAGGGTTTAGAAGAATGGCATACATTGCAGAGTTCCTGGCACCTAGCAGAAACTCAATAAATGGTAGCTATTGAATTTCCCCCTTGTCTGTACAGCAGTAAGTCCAGACCTGCCCACTCTGGGCCTGCCTCCTTGGGAGCCTGAAGCATTTTGCAGAGGGGCTGCCCTTCCCCCGACTCAGTCACCTCAGTGTTGGTTGTGCCCCCCGCACCTGTAACTGGGTCATCTCTTACTTATCGCCCGCACTCAGCAGAAGAAATCAAATGAGTGTTAATTCAGAGCTGGGTTCGTCAAAACTACTGCTCTTTTCTGGTGTGCTTTATTTAAGTGTAAGCCAATCCAAGCTTACCATGGGGTTTCTGTGTAACTGAGAGTTCCCAGTGCTTTGTGGCAGGGCTCGCATTCATTCCAGACAAAGCATAATGAACCACAATCTCACATTACCTAATCACATGGAGGCAGCGCGGATCACAATGCCGCATTTGGCATTTCTGTGGTGCGCTCCATCTGAGGAGCTCAAAGGGCTTAAAGAAAACCCTTTCTTTATTTGGGAAGTATTATTATCTGGGTTTTACAGAGAGAGATACCGAGAGGTGAAGTGACCTGCTTTAAGACCACACAGCACGACGTCTCTGGGCTGAGATGGAGCCCAAGCAGCTGACAGGCGCTCCTTGGCCAGACATCACAGGCTCAAAACAGAAAGCTGCTCCCACAGAGCCTGTCCTCACCAGGCCCCGTGGGGGACTCACGGAGGAGACCGAACTCAATAGCAGAGACGAAGACAGAGGGAATTTAAAAGCATCAGCCAGAGGAAAGGTGTGCAAAGACCTGGCTCAGCCTCAAGAGAGCTGACTGCAGGATGAGACTTGCTCAGATAGAACATGAAGCCATGAACTCTGTTCAGCAGATATTTCTCCAGCTTTCTTCATGGATTGACCCCCAGAGAGAATCCTTTTATCACCTTGCTTCTCTGTGACAACATTATTTTTAGTAGTAGCCATGAAACGAAACAACAAAAATAATGGATAGAAGAGGAAAGCAGTGATATTTCTCTCTTACTGACCCTTCTGTGGATGGTTATGCCCATAAAATAGAAAAATAAATAATACAGTAAATATTACAGTACCAAAAAAGTAGTAGATTAGCACCTTTAACTACATTTTTGTAGTTAACTTTTTTTTTTTTTAAAGGAAATACGCTTAGAGTTAAATATTGGTCTATTGTAGTCATGAGGAATGACATCATGGTCTCTGTTTTTAACACTTAACTACTTTAATTTGTCCATGACCTAGAAGAAAAATTGATCTTCATCGTTTCATGTTCATTGAGCAGTTGTCCATCTACTTTTGTTCCTGGTTAATCACAGAACACTGTTTACTGATTTTAATTTTGAAAAGCGTCTTTCACATAAAGCAATAGACACATAAATTGTTACAAAAAATCTTAAGCAACAGAATATGTATGGCAAAGATTCATCAAAGTCCAATTTTACAATAAATTCTATAAATTGCAATAGTGCCCACATCTCTGTTTCTCCAGGATCGATTTTGTTGTCTTTCAAATGTCTCCATGGCTGAAAATTATGAACACAAATAAAAATGCCAAGTGATTACACAGATTGGCAGAACTGGAGTAACTCAAGTTTTATATAAAGACACACAGAGAGACAATATCGTGGTAAAATATACAAAAATAAAGCAAATTGAGAGCTTGGGAAGAGAAGTAAGAGGGAGAAGCCAAGCCAGGGAGGGAAAGGCACCTTCAGTTATCTGCACACTGACATAGTTGCTATGGTTGGACCGTAAAGTTAGCTCAACAGTCCAGGCTTCCTGGCACCCGAAGAAAAAAGGGAGATGTGGCCAGTCATGCCATTCATATTGACGGAAAAGCAGCCACTTTGGGAGAGCCCGAAGAACAGCCTGGTGAACCCATGTGGAGGCTTCCATGCAGGGGCTGGCGGAGCCCACGGAGGGATGTCAGGAGCTACAGCACACTTGGATTCTATTTGTTTTCATTTTGGTTTCAGACCAGGAGAAGGTGAACTTGAAAAAGAGGTCCCAGATGCCCTGTGAACAACCGTTAGAAAGTAAGTGATTTAAAAGATTAATTTTACTAAGAAACTAGAAAATTTGTGTTCAACACATTTTAGAACTGAGATTAGATAAATGGCAATGCTTGACTAGATCCAGAATAATGAAGATGATGAAGAAGAGAGCTGGAGAGCAAGAGGGCTTCACATTCCTTTTCTACTCCACATTTGGCGGCCTGTACTCCAACATGGCAACTCCCCCTGCCACGCAGCGGTGTGGGCTCTGGAGTCTGGGTGTGCACAGACCTGTGCCTAAATCCTGGTTCCAGGGGATGTCCCCTGGTGGTAAGGATAGATTGGCTTATCAGACGCCCTTCGTGCCAAGAACACTGGATAATGTGGACAAAACATCTTTTTCAAATCTATTTGAAGGCATCAAAAACCACCAGCTAATAGTAGCCTGTAGTCCCTGCTACTCAGGAGGCTGAGGTGGGAGGGTCACTTGAGCCCAGGAGTTTGAGGCCAGCCTGAGCAACATAGCAAGACCTCTGTCTCCTAAATAAATGAATAAGAATTTAAAAAAAAAAAAAACTACTAACGCAATGAGAAACTAAGGCACTAAGATCCCAGAAACAAGGCGTGAGCGGAGAGGTGCCAGCCACTTTTCTCCTTGGCGTGCATGGATTCCCCAGCAGTGGCTCGGAAACTGAGAAGTTGAGCAGAGTTGCCAGGACTCTCATGGGGCTGAGGCACAGAAAGGAATTCAGAGCCCAGCAAGGAGGAAGAGCTGGGTTAAATACCACTGGTCTTCTGTTGAGACTCCCCACAAAGGGGTGATCCAGGAAGAACTCAGCCTGCAGAAAGCCTGAACCATCTTTAAAGAGCTCAGTTCTTGGTCGGATTAAGGTGATGTAAAATGAACTAATACATATCTAAACAACCCATGAGTCAAAATAAGAATTACCGTGGAAATTAGGAAATATTTCAATAAAAAGGTAATAAAACTAAAACATATCAAAATGTAAGGGATGCAGCCAAAGAATGCTTAAGAGAAATTTAAAACCTTGAATGCTTTACAAGAAAAGAAGAAAAGATGAAGAAACAATGAAATAAGTTTCCATCTCAAGATTTTAATAAAAAAACAGCATATTAAATCCTAAGATAGCATAAGAATGGAAATAATAAATAGCAGGAATTAATAAAGTAGAAAACAATAATACAACAAAGAAAACCAACAAAGTGAAAAAATAAAAATAAAAACAAGTCTTTAAAAAAGACAAATACAGGGACAGGTGCTGTGGCTCATGCCTGTAATCCCAGCACTTTGGGAGGCCAAGGTGGGGCGGATCACCTGAGGTCAGGAGTTTGAGACCAGCCTGACCGACATGGAGAAATCTGCTAAAAAAACAAAAAAGTAGCCAGGCATGGTGGCAGGCGCCTGTAATCCCAGCTACCTGGGAGGCTGAGGCAGGAGAATCGCTTGAACCTGGGAGGCTGAGGTTGCAGTGAACCAAGATCACGCCATTGCACTCCAGCCTGGGCAACAAGAGCGAAACTCCATCTCAAACAAACAAACAAACAACAAAAGAGATTAATACAACCGATAAGCCCATAAGATTAATTTTTTTTAAGAAGAGTCCCAAATATTATCAGGAATGGAAAGGAAGCCCTAACAATAGAATCTGTGGCTCCTAAATAAGACAAAAAGCTGTTCAGAACCAATTTATGATGATAAATGTTTAAATCTAGGTGAAATAGACAAATTCTTTGGAAAACACAACTTATTAAAACTGACCCAAATAAAAAAAGAATATCTGATATAATAGCCTTGTACCTATTAAAGAAATAAAATCCATAATGAAAAACCTTTCCACCAAAACAAAAACAAAAACAAACCTCCAGGCCCAGATGGCTTCATCAGTGAATTCTTCAAAACCTTTAAAGATGAAATAACATCAGTCTTTACAAAAGCTCTTCTAGAAAATAAAAATGACTTCTTGACTCATTTTTGAGAGCTTTATAACCTTAATACCTGACAAGGAAAGAAAATGGTGATTTCTTTCTCCTGAACATGGATGCTAATCCTAAACAAAATGTTATCAAACTGAATTCAGCAATATATAAACAGGACAATACATCACAAACAAGATGATATTTTTTTCCAGAAATGCAAGATTATTTCAGTGTTCGGAAATCAGTCTATGTAATTTACCACAGTAACAGAATAAAGAAGAAGATCGTTGATCAGCTCAATAGATTCAGAAAAGGCATTTGATAAAATTCAACCCCTGGCGATAGTAAAAGGAAAAAAGAAGTATTTAGGAAAGTACGACTAAAAGGGAAATGCCTTAACATGATAGAGTATCTACAAAAAAACCCTCCAGCAAATATCATATAAATGTTCAAATATTGATACTTTTCCCCTAATACTGAGAATAAAAGAAAGATGCTTCCTATCTATCACCACTTCTATTCATTATTGTTTTGGAGGTCCTAGCCTTTGCAGTAAAGCAAGAAAACAAATAAAATTTTAAGAAATAGAAAGAAAAAAAACTGCCATTATTGACAGACTATATCACTGCATATGCAGAAAATACAAAATAATTTATAGAAAAACTAACAGAATTAATAAGTAAATTCAGCAAGGTTCTTGGATTGAAATATCAATATACAAAGTCAGTTGTACTTATATATAACAGAAACAAAAACAGAATCAAAAAAGAAAACATTGAAAAATTGGACTACATTAAAATTTGAGTCTTCTTTTCACCAAAAGATACTATTAAGAATGAAAAGAAAAGCCATAGAGAAGACGTTTACAATCCATATAAATGACAAATGATTCATAACCGGA
This sequence comes from Homo sapiens, assembly GCF_000001405.40. Classification (NCBI taxonomy): domain Eukaryota; kingdom Metazoa; phylum Chordata; class Mammalia; order Primates; family Hominidae; genus Homo; species Homo sapiens. Next base: position 737,076 of record NW_025791756.1, read on the forward strand.
AAATATAAAGAACTCCTACAAATCACCTGGAAAGACAGAAAACCCAGTAGAAAAACAGGCAAGAGACCTGAATAAGCCAGTAGATATCCAAATGGCCAATAGCATTTGAAAAGCTGCTCAATTTCATTAGTCATCAGGGAAATGCAAACTGAAACACATTCATCAGGATGGCAAAAGTAAAAAGAGACCAACAGTATCAAGTGTTGGTGAGGATGTGGATCCCCCAGGACTCTCATAGCTGAAAGTGAACTGGTACAGCCACTTTGCAAAACTATGTAAACAGTATCTACTAAAGCTGAAAATCCACACACCTTATGACCCATCAATTACATTTCTTGGTATATCCTATGCCGAAATATGTACACCAAGACACATGTACAGGTGACCCTTGAGCAACATGGGTTTGAACTGCGTGGGTCCACTTATACACAGATTTTCCTCCACCTCTGCCATCCCTGAGACAAGACCAACCCCTCCTCTTCCTCCTCCTCGTCAGCCTACTCAATGTGAAGACGGTGAGGATGAAGACCTTTATGATGATTCACTTTTACTTAATGAATAGTAAATATATTTTCTCATTCTTATAATTTTCTTAAAAGTATTTTCTATTTTCTAGCTCACTTTACTGTAAGAATACAGTATATACATTCAAAATATGTGTTAATCAATTATTTATGTCATCAGTAAGGGTTCTGGTCAATAGTAAGCTATTACTAGTTAAGTTTGGGAGAGCCAAAAGTTATACATGAATTTTTTACTGCTCCGACCCTCATTGTTCAAGGGTCAACTATCCAAGAACATTCCAAGTAGCATTATTTGTCATGGGGCAAAATTAAAATCTACTCAAATAACCAGCAAAATGAAAAATGTATAAATAAATTGTGATACATTCATACTATGAACATCTTTATAGCATTAAAAATGACCAAACTACTTGTACATGAATGACATTAGATCAGCATTACAGATGTCATACTGAGTGGAGAAAAAAGTCAGACAAAAAGAACATATAATGTAGAATTCTGTTTTTATAAAATTCACAAACTAGCCATCTAATACTCGGTGACAAAAATGGTCACCATTGGGGAAGAGGAGGTTATTGGAGAGGGTCTGGGATTTTTCTGAGGCTGGTAATAGTCTAGCTCTTGATTTGGGTGGATGGTTACACAGGTATGTTCACTTTTATGATAACCCACTTAGTTGTACACTATGCCTGTCTTTATGTACATAATACTTCAATTTTTTAAAGTTTATTTACTAGCTAGCTGTGTGATAGTGGCAAGGTACTTAACCAGCAGAAGTCTCTGACCTCATCCATAAAACTGATATAAACATGACTGCTTCAAAGGATTGCTCTGAAATATAAATGAAATAATGTAGGTGAAAAGCTTAGCACAGGTCCTGGCTGATAAACAATAGTACTTTATAATCACCATTGAGGAGTTTATTTTATTGTTTATTTCCGGGATTATCAGGGTTTGGCCACTTGCAGACAGCAGCCAGGTCTCTTCCTGGCACACCTGTCAGCAGCAAACCTGAGATTTTTCAAGGCCTCCTGGGATACCAGCCTCAGGCTGTGTTTAGGGCTTGGTGTGGTGGCTCACGCCTTTAATACTAGCACTTTGGGAGACCGAGGTGGGCAGATCACTTGAGGTCAGGAGTTTGAGACCAGCCTGGCCAACATGGTGAAACCCCGTCTCTACTAAAAATACAAAAATTAGCCAGAAATCTCTTGAACCCAGGAGGCAGAGGTTGCAGTGAGTGGAGATGGTACCACTGCACTCCAGCTTGGACAACAGAGCAAGACTCCATCTCAAGAAAAAAAGAAAAAGAAAAAAACCCTGTTTAGAGGCCCCCGGTCCTCACACTTGCAGAGGCTCCCCTCCTAATACCAAGAGTGTTGGGGGATCGAACTGCTTGGAGATGGAGATTGAGCTTCTGTTGTCCAGACAAGTTCATGCCTCTGTGACCCCCCCCTTCCCAGAGGTAGGCCTTTAGGATGCTGAGATTGAGCTTCTGTTGTCCAGACAAGCTCATGCCTCTAGACCCTGCTTCCCAGAGGCAGGCCTTTAGGGTGCCCCAAGGCAGGAAAATGCAATCATGTGAACCAGAGGAAGTCCCATAGAGCTGAGGCATCCCTGAGAGAGGGAGGGAGTTCAGGCACCCGCCCCTGCAGCCCCTCAGCCTCAGAGAAGGGAGAAGGGAGAGTGTCCAAGGCAAACCTGACCTGAGGCTTTGGGTGGCAGGGGAGTGCATAATGAATGCCTCGCTGGAGCACCTCAGTGATAATGTGGGTATTGTGGGGGCATCCCGAGTGGCACACAGACTCCATTCATCCTGTGCACAAACAGGACTCTGCAGACCCAGCTGCTTCTTTGGAAGCCATGGGAGGTTATTAAATATGAGCTACAGCTGCTTTTTTGCCAATTCACATTTTGTAAAGGCTCATGTTGTTTTTGCTCTTGCCTTTTTGACTTAGAGCCCCTGTCTTGGACTTGGCTTTGTCCAGGTATTTCTTCATTTTGAGAGACAGCATCTTCAAATGCAGACATTGCCCAAATCTTTCCTGATTATAAAAATCACCTGGGTTTCTGTTAAAAATACAGATTTCTGGGCCTCAACCCAGACACACTAAATGCAATGTCTAAGACTGGGGCTCTAGGAACTTATAGTTTTAAAAAGAGTACCAGGTGATTCTTATAATTATTCAAATTGGGAAACCATCCTTCAACCTGGTTCCTTCAAATTCCAGGGAATCTCCTCTGGTAACTGTTCCCATTTGGGCTCCCTTTACTTTCTTCCATTTTTTTTTTAAACTCAAATTTCTCTTTTTCTATGCAATAAGCTCTTCATAGTAGTTCCACGTTCTATCCACCCCAAGTTTCTTACCCTTTCCTTTTGTTCAGGCTCAACACCTCAAACTCTAAAGCTGTGGTACCCTCTCTGCAATTCCCATGATGCTGAGATAATGCCCCAAGCCATGGCTTCTCACTCCTATGGGGATTGGGGGCAGGAGGAAATCTGGCTAAATGACATATTATTTAACTCAAATTAAGGTGGATTTCTTCTGAAAACTATCCAATGATTGATAACACCCAGAGGTAACTCAAAGCCGTTCTGCAAAATCACTACAAACTTCCAAAACAGTATTTTGAGAGTTACAAGCACTACCTTAAACCTTGTAACTTGCCTTAAAGTTACAACCTTGCCTTAAAACACCACAATATGCCATTTAAGAGTATTTTTTCTGGTCAGTATTTCTCCATAATCCTTTATCCAGGGGCCACTGCTCAGAATTTGGAGTTAGAACATCTGAGTCTTGTCTGAGTTCTGATTTCAATGTGTGGTAGGAGATATCTCCATCTAATTGGGTTTCTTCATATTTCGTATACACTGATGATAATTTCATATACACTGATGATAATGGCTTACCTGTTTTCCAGAGTTCTTGATCATCTCGTGGGGCTGTAGAAAGAGCCCAGAGCGTGGATGACAGGGGTTTCATTGAATGAATGAATGAGTGACTGAATGAATGAGGTAATGGGTGCCACATCAAGAAAGGCAGTTTTACTAAGAATAATTAGGAACAAATGTTGGATCTTTTTTAAAAAAATAAATCCCATAAGGTGTGAGGCTGAGATCCTGTGAAGTGGTGCCGAATTTGGAGGCAGAGTCCTGCCAGGAGAATGTTCTTCTCTGCTGGTGTCTGTGCTGACCCTCTGCTCAATCTGCTAGTTGCCCAAAAAGACACGTTGGTGATCTTCACTTGAGTTTCTGCTTCTTTTGTCTTTCAGAGTATTGTTGGATCCGGGCTGCCAGGAAGCAGAATTTGATGACAGTTTTTGGGTTTGACTTGCCAGTGAGCACGTTTGGCTGGGTGTAGGGCTTCCGTGGTGTAGCTGGCCCATGGCCTTGAATTTCTTCCAGTGGGCCCACTGCATTTCCCAAATGGACTCTTGCAAAGGGCATCTTACAAGTCAGAGAGTGTGTGTAAGTGTACGTGCATGCACATGTAGAGAACAGACCTCCTCTTGGATGTCCGGCCTTTAAAACGACATCAAATCATCCTCGTCACCATCTGCAAATATGCCTTGAGCACTCAGTATATGCAAAGCACCGTTCTAGATGTTATGAGGAATGCAACAAAATAGAGTTCCTTCCATGGCTTTCAGAAATTTATAGACTCGGTTAGGCAGATAAAATCAATAATATCCCATTTATATCAGTCTGGTTTCTTGGTTGCATGCCTTAGAAATCAACTCTGGTTAAGCTGTATTCCAGGTGGGAGGACCTGATAAGCCCTCTTCCAGGTGGCACCAGATGTATGTGTCCAGAACGGAGCTTGAGGAAGTGAATCATGCCTGGAAAAGGGTGTGTCTAAGGACCCAAGAGGGAAAGTGTGCACTCGCAGAATATGACTACAAAAAAATATGTAGAACAAATGCTCATCTTTGAAGAAGTGTGAAGGAGAGTGTTTTGACTAGTTGAAACTTATGGAGCTGAAAGAGCAATTTTAAGAGGATGCGAAGGAACTGTTCACGTATGACCCCCTCACTGCCCAGAAATCACAGATGCAAGCCCCCACTGGACACAGAGGGCAGGGTGGGGCCCAATGAGCAGGATGGCACTGATGATGATGGTTGAGAGCCTGGCCTCTGAGAGCAGAAATGAGTGTGCCTGCAAAAGAACTCCTTGCCCTTCAGCAAGAAAGGCACATGGTGCCAGCAGAAAAAGAGGCAGGACCCAAAACGCTTACTTACCTCAATTCGTTGTTCTGTAAAATGAAGATTCTGGACCCTTCCCTGCCAAAAGCAAATGGATGTTGATAATAAACCAAGATAAGATTAGTATAGAGAAAAGAGTGCAGTATATGAGAAGACATGGGATCTGGTGCTACAACCATGATTTACTAGCTATGCGACCTTGGGCAAGGCATTTAACTTTTCCAAGTCTATTTGCTCTTCAATAAAATGAAGTTGGTAATTCTGGGTAGGTAGAAAACAATTGAGATACAATGCATGTGAAACTCTTTGACAAATTATATAAAGTGCACTGCCAGGGTAAGGAACTATGCTTATTCTCCTTTAAAAAATGCATGTGGATGTTGTTATCAGTAAAAGACCATGAAGAGTTTTAAGGATGTTCGGCCGGGCGCGGTGGCCCACGCCTGTAATCCCAGCACTTTGGGAGGCCAAGGCCGGTGGATCATGAGGTCAGGAGATCAAGACCATCCTGGCTAACACGGTGAAACCCAGTCTCTACTAAAAACACAAAAAAGAATTAGCTGGCCATGGTGGCGGGCGCCTGTAGTCCCAGCTACTCGGGAGGCTGAGGTGGCAGAATGGTGTGAACCTGGAAGGAGGAGCTTGCAGTGAGCCGAGATCGCCTCACTGCACTCCAGCCTGGGCGACAGAGTGAGACTCCATCTCAAAACAAACAAACAAACAAACAAACAAACAAACAAACAAACAGAGTTTTAAGGATGTTCATCAATAACTGATTCCTACGGTTACTTCCCCTGCCTTACACTCAGGCTGCTGGCCTGCCCTGCAAAGGTTCTGCTGGGACTCTGCTTGTCTCCAGAATAAGCCAGTGGCCAGAGAATCCTTTGAGCCAACCTCTCCGTGGGCCGGCATGGAGGTGATAAATCTTTTGTATTGACCCAGGAGAAAGCCCCAGCAACAAAGACCAATTTATTTTCTTAGTAAATCACAAAATGTTCCTGCAGCAAACTCCTGGGACTATGCAAAGCATCACAGTCCCTAGGAGGAAAAAGGGATGGGCTGGCTGGACAGGAGCTGAAATATGTCCATCTGGCCCAGTGAATGTCAGAGTGCACCCCAGCTGACCACATGAAACAGTCTCTATGAAATGCAGATGTTTGGTAGGGTTGGGTGTTGCTTCCCCCGCAATTTAAAAGCCTTCCATGCCTGCTGCTTACTTATAGACTTCTTCCTCCCCACACTGTTTGGCTCAGTGGGTTCGAGAGGGTGTTTTGGGGTGTTTGGATAACAGTGCATTGTGGTGGTGGGATTTATTAACAACAGCCATTCTTCCCCACTCCTGCAAGTTGCTGCCTCATAGTCCGTATTTAATGTTTAAATTAAGGTGAATTAAAATTAATTTTGTTGGAGGAATTCTGCAGCTCCCGCTTGAGATAAGTGGAGACACCCTGGGGTGATATAAAATTGAGGTTAGGAATTGCTGCATTGGAGTGCTGTGCTAATGAGGTGAAGGTCAGGGGTTCAATTCCCTTGTGAAGGGAGCAGTTAATTTCACTCTCCCTCACGGCCTCAGATTCCACCCTTAACCCTGGCCGTCTGCCTCCAAGAGGAGCCACTGGTCACCAGCAGGACAAAGTGAGATAGAGGACCAGATCTATACAAATCCACCAAACCCGTTAGAATGACAACCCAAAGCATGACCCATGAGTAATGTGCCAGGATTTTTAATTTTGCAAATGACAGCACTATTATATTATTACTTTATATTAGAGTAAACATGTACAAATATGGACAATACCAATGAATCAGATGTCATGGGTTCCAAATTCTCTAAGGCATTACTCTTACTTCCCAAGTGTTTAGCTACCTTGTTAGAGAGACAGCTTAATAAATGTATTGTGTATATCATGGTCACAGTCAATTCTTCTTGAGCCTTAAGAGGGAGAGAAGTGGTGTGGATCTCTCCAAACAAAAGATAGTACCAATATCACTCATATTTAGTTTGGAAAAGATGATACAATTTAGGGACAGCAGATTGCCCTCCTTAATTATGTTTTTCTTTAGCTAATAGTAATATTAGTTTGCATTCCCCTGAACATGTTGACGGATGGCAGAAAAGAGAGCCCAAATGCTCAAAAAGGGAGGAAGTTCAGGATTAAGCATTTGTCAGGGATAATCCACAGAATAGAGATAATCCAACTTCATTAATCAAAAGCTATCTCTATCCTACTAATTATCAACTTACCATTGTCCTTGTTAGAAAATAGAATTTTAGGCCGTTGAATTTTCTCTAATTCACTCCCCTCTCTTGTGTATCTAGGTTCTACTCCAGCCCAAAGGCCAACCTAAGTGACACCTTCTAGCCAGGGCAACACTGGCCTCCGCTGCCTGGGGCCTTCTGCAGCACTTATGGTATATGCTAAATTGTGGTTTAGAAAGTGTGTTTCCTTAGTGCTTGAGGGCAAGGCTCAAATTTTTAGGTTCCTATATGTCTCACAGGGCCTAGCACAACACTGAACATCCAATAGGTGCTTAATAATAGCATGCTCATTAACATTGACAGACTAATTACAGTAAGGAATAATGAAGAATTACCACCCTCTTGCCCCATTTGACAAAATTCAACACCCATTCATTAGAAAACCTCTCAGAAAAATAGGAATAGAGGGGGACTTCCTCAACTTACTAAAAAGCATCTATAAAACCCTATAGCTAACATTATACTTGATGATGAAAGGCTGAATGCTTTCCACATAAGATCAAGGAGAGGCAAGAATGACCACTCTACCACTCCTATTCAACTTCCTACTGGAAGTTCTGCCAGTGCAATAAAATAAGAAAATAAAATAAAAGCAGATAGTTTGGAAAGGAAGAAATAAAACCATCCCTATGATTGTGAACATAGACAATCCCAAAGAATCTATAAAACAAACCAAAAAAAAACCCTAGAACTAATGAGTTCAGCAATGTTACAGAATAAGAGATAAACACATGAACTCAATTCTATTTCTGTATACTGCAATGAACAAGTGGACACCAAAATTACAAATGCAATGCCATTTGCAGTCACTCAAGAGAAATGAAATACGTAGGTGTAAATCTAACAAAATATGTGCAGTACTTGTGTGCTTAAAATTCCTACAAAAGAAACCAAATAAGAGCTAAAATACATGAAGAAGCATTACAAATTCATGAATCAGAAGACTCAACAGTAAAGATGTCAATTCTCCCCATCTTGATATATGGGTCAATATAACTGCAAACAAAATCCCAGCAATATTATTGCATAGATCTAGACAAGATTATCCTAAATGTATATAAAATGGCAGAGAAACTAGAATAGCTAAAACAATTTTGAAAAAGAAAAATGAAATGGGATAGATTAGTCTACCTAATGTCAAGATTTACTGTATAGCTACAGTGATCAAGGCTACATGCTATTAGTGAAGGGATAGATACACAGACCAGTGGAAGTTAATAGAAATAGGCCCACGCAAAATTTCCAACTGACTTTAGATAAGGGTACAAAGGCAATTCAATGGAGGAAAGATACCCTTTTCAACAAATGGTATGGAAGCAATCGATATTCATAAGCAAAAAATAAATAAATAAACCTCAATCTAGTCTCACGCTTCATGCAGAAATTAACTCCAAATTGATCATGGATTTATATGTAAAACATAAAACGATAAAACTTATAGAGAAAAAAAGAGAAAATATTTGAAAGCTAGGGCCAGGCAAGGAATTCTTAGACTTGATGCCAAAAGCATGAGCCATAAGAGGAAAAATGGTTAAATTAGACTTCATCAAAGTTAAACATTTGCTCTATGAAAGACCCTGTTAAGAGGATGAAAAGTCAAGCTACAGACTGGGAGAAAATACTTGCAAACTGCCTATCTGACAAAGGACTAGTATGTAGAATATAGAAAGAACTCTCAAAACTCCACAGTAAAAAAAATAAAAAATAAATAAATAAGAATTTTTAAATTTGAAGAAATGAGAAAAGACATGAAGAGATATTTAACTGAAGAGGAAAATATACAGGTGGCAAATAAGCATATGAAGAGGTAATTTAAAATCATTAGCCATTAGGAAAATACAAATTACAACCACAATGAGATATCATTACATGACTATTGAATGGCTAAAAGAGTGACAACCACAAATGCTGGCAAGGATGTGGAGAAACTGGATCCCTCATACATTGTTGGTGAGAATGTAAAATGGTGCAATCACTCTAGAAAACAGTCTGACAGTTTCTTATAAAACTAAACATGCAAGGTCTGTGCAACCTGGCATGCACTCCTGAGCATTCATCCCAGGAAAAAAAAAAAAACAAAACAAAAAACTTAGGTTCACACAAAAACCCACATGTGAATGTCTGCAGCAGCTTTGTTTGTAATCCCCCCAAAGTGGAAAAAACCAGCTGCCCTTCAGGTGGAAGGTGAGTGGTTAAACAAACTGCAGTACATCTCTATCATGGAATACTACTCAGCAACAAAAGAGAAAACTATTGACACATGCCACAACCTGGGTGAACCTCCAGATGGTTGTGCTGAGTAAGAAAAGTCAAGGTTGCATGCTGTGTAATTCCATTCATATGAAATTCTTGACATGACAAAATTATAACTTTAGTTATACAAAGAACAGTTTAGTAGTTATACAAAGAACAGTTTAGTAGTTATACAAAGAACAGTTTAGTAGTTGTCAGGAGTTAAAGATGGGGCAGAGATGGGGAGAGTAAGAGGACGCAGGTGCGGCCACAAAAGGGCAACATGAGGGACCTTGGTGATGACGGACATGTTCTGAATCTGGACTCTATCAATGTCAGTGTCCTGTTTGTGAAATCATACAATAGTTTTGAAGGTATTACCTTTGGGAGAAACTGTATAAAAGGTACATAGGTCTCCACATCATTTCTTACATTTGCATGTGAACCTACAATTTCTCTCAAAATGAAAAGTCCAACTAAATAATAATCACCCTTATCTGTCCATGCTGGAGAGAGGTGTTACGCTGCCAGAGTTTCAGATCTGCTCTGAGCACCATGATCTGGGTTTACCATCATCCTCATAATATACTCCCTCTTGTATTCCAGATAGAAACAATAAGTACCGAAGAGTCAGCAAGCTGTGCTCAGGAATTGCACCAAAATGATAATGCTCCGGGTGTTGAATTTGCCAGCACAGGGACTCTGGGTGGCAAATAGCGGCCGTGCAAGTACGGATATAGGGCAAGGAACTCAATATGGAGCCAAGTTTCAGGAGGAAGATCAGAGAATTAGATTAGGGAATAGATCTAATCTATTAGAGATTAGCAAGCAAGCAAGCACGAGAATAATCAGGAGTCTAAAAGTATTTATTGATCAGGAATAAGGGCTGGGCACCTCACTTGGGACTCAAGGCCATGACTTGGCCAAGCAACAAAGATAACACTTAAGGCCATGCTCATGGTAGGCAGAAGAGGCATTCCCTTATATATCTCCTAGTTCATTCAACAAATGTTTAGTGAGAAATTCTCAGAGGTCGCTCACCAAGGCAGGTGCCCAAGACACAGACCTGGTCAGCTAAAGTTCCCTGGCTTCTAGAGGAAGCAGAATAGCAAGAATGCTTGGGAACACATCAGGAGGAACATCATTTCCAGGGTTGTGTAGTCAGATAACACGTTATATGAGGAAGTGGTGTGGAAGTGTGGGGTGCAGAGGAGGCGAGATTCATGCAGAGAGAAGGTCTCATGGCCCTGAGCTGAGAGGTTACAGGACCATTAGCACAGCTGGGGTTCTTCTGTAAAGACAGGAAAGCAGAAGTCAGGAATTGAGGGATACGGCTGGTGTTTGTGGGCTATGCTGGTTATGAGCAAAGGCTCAAGTCAGGGAAATACCACACAGCAGGCGATTGTGGACACTCTCACTCCATGGATCACAAAGAACCACAGGCCAAGATAGGCCAGAACACTGGATCATCTTTCCCTGGAGGAGTCAGAGCCCTATAATCTATGAGGCCCTCATGGGTTCTTTCATCCCCAGAGCTCCAGGTGTAGCTGATGTTCCTCCTCCCTCTGCTGGAACCCTCTGACTCTCAAATAGGCTTCACACATGAAGCCGGGAGATTGTTTTATACTCTAAATAACTTTCTGTTTCTACAACAGATGGGAAGACTGTATCTTCTAGCCTAATTGGAGGCTCACAATTCCAGGGAGAATTTCGGCTGGGCAGGAGCTCTCTTCCTCTGAGATTTTATTTCCCAGGGACATTCCATACTTGGCCCATGACAGAGGCTGCAGTTGCCCAAGGGAACAATGCGTCAAGGGCCACTCATCCTTTGGAAAGCAGAAGTCCAGATACCAGAGTAAAACCATAACTCATTAACACTTCCAACAAGTATTTATTATGTGTTGAGCAATCTGTGCCAGCCCTGATGACCTAATGGTGAGCAAAACCATGTTCTGTCTTCCTGCAACCTGCAATCTGGCAAGTGGGTCAAAGAGCCTAAAGAAGGTATTAGTTAGAATACAGGTGCAGCAATTCTAACAGAACCTCAAAATACTAGGGTTCAGATAAGATGGAACTGCATTTACCTTTCACAAGGGTGGGCAGTCGAGACCCAGGTACCTTCCACCTTGTTGCTCCAGCATCCTGAGTGTGTGGCCCTCATCCATGTGGTCCAAGGTGGTTCACCATCACCATGATAGCCACACTCCAACAAGGAGGAAGGAAGAGAAAGGTGGGAGAATGGAAGGAATAAACCCCTCTTTTCAAAGGTCCAGAAGTCACACCACACTGAAGCTCAAACTCTTCTTGCAGAAATCAGTCCCATGACCACACCAGCCTGCAAGGGATACTAGGGAAAGCAGTTTTTAAGTAGACAGCCGTGTGCCGGACACTCTTTCAATTATCGTGGAAGAAGGTGAGCATGGATACTGCAGGTGAGTAGCAATCTCTAATGAAGCAGGTGGGTGAGTAAAGAGAGGACGCAGCTCTCCAAAAACAAAAGCAAATAAGTGATCAGAGCTGAGCAGAAAGGGAAAAACCCACAAATGCACAAGATCTAAAGGGCAGGAGGAAAGGAGGGGAAATATCAAAAAACAAAGGGAACACAGATTCCGAACCTGGGCTTTGGAATATCTAGGCACTGCATCTATATTTCCTCCCAAGACAGGCATCACCCCACACGTACAGGCGGGAAAGGTATGAAGAGAAGAGTGTTTGCCTGCAGCAGGTCTGATGAAATGAGCTCCTCCAGGGCTCACGCTTTTAGCTCCAGACTGTCCATTTTGAAAAATCACTAAGAAGACTAATGGTGCTGCCCATCAGTAGTGCCAACCTATTGCCTTGCCAACCATCCTAATGGCCACAATGATGCTAATGATGATGGCAGTGTTGATGCTGGATATGTTATTTGTCTCACTGGAGCAGCAGTGGATTCCCTTGACATCCTTGGCTGAAACGTGCGGTGAAGTAGAAACCTTAATTGGCGCAATGCTGGTAGGCAAGGGGGAAATTCACAGCAAACCTAAGCCCTTCCTCTGTAGGACGGGAGGCGAAACAATAGCAAAGGCACTCTGAGAGTGCATGGTCCTAGGACTCTCAGAACGTGCTCATCTCCCCTCACTCAGTCCCCAACATGTTTCAGGTTTATTTAGCTTTTCATATTTTCATGAAAAAGGCACAATAACAGCCAAGTACATTTTCCAACCATTGAGTTCTACCCACTCTGTGCCAGCCACTGTGCTGAGTGTTCAGCAGCATTTCAAAATGCTTTCATGACATCTCCTTTGGGTCTTTACTCTGTGAGGTAAGGGCAGTAGATATCAGAGACATTTCCACGTAACACGGAAGGAAAACATGATGGGTGATTTGTCCAAGATCGCGCAGCCAATCCACAGCCAAGGCTGGTCCAGTTTCCCTCCTCCCTGTCTGTTGCATCTGCTGAACCCATCTCTTGTCACACAATCCAATTTATTTCGGGGATGACTTCTCCAGTGCCACTTGGTGCACTGCACAGTGATTCTCTAATATAGGTCAAATCCCACGACAGGTATATTTCACTCCTTCTCCCCTCTTCCCCTCTCCTCCTCCCCCCTTACCCCTCCTTTCCTCCCCTTCCTCTCCCTCACCCCCTTCCCCCCTCCTCCTCCCCTTCCTCCCCTTCTCCTCCTACCCCTACTCCCCCTGCTCTCCTCTTCCCCCTCTCCTCCTCCCCCTCCTACCCTCTTCCCACTCCCCGCCTTTCCCCTTCCCCCCTTCCTCCTCCCCCTCTCCTTGCTTGGCTGCAGCCCACCTGCCCGGCTCTCCTCCTGCCTCCTTGCTTGCTCCCTATCTCCTTTGCAGGTTCCTCCTCTTCTCCCCAAACACCTCAGACCTCAGTCTTCAGACCTCCTGCTTCTCTGTCCACACTTGCTGCCCCCATCAATGAGCTCATCCAGAGTCATGATTGTAGCTGCCTCACCAACACTGATGATGCCAAAGTCCAATCTCCAGCCCACATCACCCCCTCAACTCCAGGCTCAGAGAGCCAGCCAGCCACTTGTCTTCTCCACTGGAACGTCTACCTGCAACTCCAATGGATTGTGTCCAAAACAGAGTCCCTGATTTTCCCTCCCAAATACTGTTCACCCCCAACCCCCAGCCATCCTATCTCAGGGAACATGATATGGTTTGTATCTGTGTCCCCACTCAGACCTCATGTTCACTGTAATCCCCAATGTTGGAGGTGGGGCCTGGTGGGAGGCGATTGTATCATGGGGGCAGATTTCTCATGAATGGTTTAGCACCATCTCTCTTGGTGCCATCCTGCAGATAGAGAGAGAGTTCTCATGAGATCTGGTTGTTTAAAAGTGTGTGGCACCTCCCCCCTTGCTGTCTTGCTCCTGCTCTGGCCATGTGACATGCCCACTCTCCCTCTGCCTTCCACCATGATTGGAAGCTTCCTGAGGCCTCCCCAGAAGGAAAGCAGATGCCAGCACCATGCTTCCTGTACAGCCTGCAGAACCGTGAGCCAATTAAACCTCTGTTCTTTATAGACTTCCCAGTCTCTGGTATTTCTTTATGGCAATGCTGGAACAGCCTAATGCAGAACGTTAACTCTTTTTTCCCAGTTGCTGAGGACAACACTTGGTCTGGCACCTCACATCCAATCTTTGCCAATGTTGGCAAATCCTACTGGCTCTATTTTCAAAACATTTCCAAAACCTGACTCTGCTGCTGCCCTGATTTAGACTGCCATCCCCCTTGCCTGGACTAGCCATAGCCTCCTAATCCATGCCCCTGACTCCACCCTCATCCCTCAGTCCACTCTCAGCCTAGAGCCCAGAAGGACCCTGCAGAAACTGAAATTGGATTATGTCACTTCTCTGCTCAGAGAATGGCTCCCGTATCCTCAGGATGGCCTCTGGGGCCCTCCATAATCTGTCACCCCCCAACACACCCTTACTCTGTCTCATCTTATCTTCCCCACATCCCCTCCCACCTGCAGCAGCGCTGGTCTTCGTGTTCCCAGAACACTCTGGCCACCCTCATGCTTGGGTCTGGGCCTAGCCCCTCTTCCCGGAGGTCTCTGCTTGGCCAGTCTTCCACCTCCTTCAGGTTTGTTTGCAAATGTCACCTTCATGGTGGGAGCTTCCTCAGCAGTAGGCATATCCCTCTGCCCACCAGCCCTTCCCTTCCCCTCCACCTTCTCCACTTTTCCTCCTTGGCACTTAACAACCTCTGGCATGCTGTGTATTTTATCTTGTGTGTTGCTCTGCTTCCCCCATTAGAAGTGAAGCTCCCGGAGAGCAGGAATTCTCGTCCATTTTGCTCACTGCTATTTTCCCGATACCTGGAATAGTGCCAGGGGCTTGGCCTATAGCAGGTTGGCAATGAATATTTGTTGAATAAATAAATTAAATGAATGGCTTTACCCCATTCTAGCCTTGAGCAAGATGCCTACTCTCTCTGAGTGTTAATTTTCACCTCTGTGAAAGGAACATGACAATGGCCATCCCACATCGTCCTTATAGGGATGAAAGATAGTGTGTGCAAAAAAACCAGGGCAGTGCCTGATGGGACATCATTCATTGCTATTGCTATGATTTCAGAGGAAGGTTGAGCCACTTAAAACACGTAACCCAAACCCAGTAGATGGAGATGGTGTTGTAGATCTCAAAGCCCTCTTGGCCTGGCTGACCTCCAGGTTGGTAATCACTTTCCCTGCCGGAGGAGGGGGTTCCAAGCTAGTAAGGAGCCTCCTTGCCACTGTGTTCAACAACTCACTTGCAATTCATCCATTCATGCAGTCAACAGTATTGACGGTATCTCAGAAGCTGGGCATTCACAGACTTCGGGTCTCCCCTCACGGAGTCCATTGCCCTTCAAAGGACATGAACAGAGAGAGCTGACGTCAGAGAATGTGATCAGCTCTGGAAGATCAGGGCCAGTCTGTTGCCTGCTCCCACCCACATCTCCATCCTATAGCCTGGCATACTCAGCATCATCTCAAGGTGCCAGACAATCATAAGCAAAGCAAAACAAAAAGTGAACAACATTGGCACGTCCTGACAGTAAAAATGTCAGCTGAGGAATTTGGCCTCTTGTCTTTGAGACCATAAACAAGAGCACAAACTTTCAAGGGTCCCTCACGGTATCAGGGCTGAGTGCCTCTACCTCAGGGCCTCCCCTGCAGGCCACAGGCTTGCACTGAGGTGAGCTGGATCCAAAGGCAATGAAGGGTCAGAAGGAAAGAGGTCCTGTGGGCCTCTCTCAGCCTCTCCAGGTCAACCAAGAACTCACGGGAGCTTAAACAAAGGCCGAGGATGCTCTTGGCCTGGACCAGCCTCCGTGATTGAATGGGAAGGGCACCCTGCATTCTGGAGTTTCTGGACCACAACTTCCTTCCCCCGCTGTCTCCTGAGGGGCAACTTCCGGCCAGGTTCCAGAAGAGTCATGTTCAGGATCATGGAGAAGGACAGGCTCGAGGCTGGAGCCCACCCCCATGTGCCTTGGCCCTGCTCCAAAGCGTACCTCCACCCCTTCACCTCTCCGTTGCCATTTCTCCTGGGGACGAAGTTTTCCCTCAAATGGGTGCTCCTGAAACAGATTCACCCAAAGGATGTGGGAGGGCCTTGGAAGGGCCTTGGGTGAGAGGGCATTTGGCTCCCCTGTAAAGGCTTCAGCAAGGAGTGAATCCTGAGACCATAGTGGGCAGGGGCGGGGGCAGGGCTGGCTCTTCCCTCTATGCCAAGGCACAGGAGAGCCTGTGTTTGACTGGGGTGTTTTCCCCGATGGTGGCCGAGCTGCCAGCAGTTCCTGCAAGACCCCACTTGATGAGGCAGGGCTGAGAGGAGGTGATTAGGAGGTGCAGATTTCAGGTTGGCGAGTGGCAAGTGGCAGAACATTCTGGCCCCTAAGTCCCCTTGTTGGCATGCTCGAGTGTCTTTTCTCCCAAAGAGCTCTTCCACGAGCATGTCCAGAGAGTGTCTGCCTGGCCCCATGACCAACTCTCCTTTGCAGCAGTGGAGAGGGGACAACTTCCTCCAGGGAGCTCAGAGGCTTTCCTGAGCCACCCCTAAAATGGCAGGTGCTCCTGGGACGCAGTCTGTATCCTATGACCTCAGGTCACCACATCACACACAGGGCCTGTTCTGAACTCACCAGCTAGGCTTCCTTCGGAGCCACACACGCAGACAGTCTCCTCAGCTGGGAAATGCACCCCCAGAGAAGGCCAGGTGTGCACACGACAGGTAGGGGCTGGGGAGGAACCCCAGCTTACACCTTCACCATCAACCCAGGATCAACAATGTGGTAAGAGCTAGGGCCTTGGATGCAAGGAGACTGTGCTGGGATCTTCACAGCCACCTGACACTGGACAAGTGTCACCTCTTTGAGTTTCATCTGAGAAATGGAGGTGACGATGTGACAGTGTTGTTGTGAGGCTGGAGGAGGTACCATGTGTCCAGCATCTACCAGTGCCAGGGAGGTAGGAATTGCTTGAGAGATAATGGACACCGCCCTTGCTCATGTGGGGAGAAACGGGAGAAGGTGGCAAGCCATACCCCAAGCCACGTGTAACCCTGATGTGTGGAGAGGCTTCTCTCTTGTTGTCCACCGCAGAGTGCACGACCCCGCCTTCATTTACCAAACCCCAAAGTATCCCTGCAGGCCCAGCTCCTTCTGTGCACCTGAATTCCTGGGGCAGAGCCCACGCCCCTCCTGCTGCTTCTGCTTTGGACACTGTGTGTTTGCATTCTGAGTGTTTGCATTTGTCTCTCCACCTGTCAGCAACTGCTTGGGGATAAGGATTCTGCCTTGCTCAGTGCCCCCTCCTCAGCTCCCGTCCCCTTCCCCGGTGCAGAGGTGCCCAGTGAACGACAATCTAGCCCTCAGCCCCGGCTCTGTCTCAGAAGGTGCCAGTAGCCCCAGGGGTGACCCAAGGCACGGAGGCACATCTGAGGAAGGCCGTGGCAACAAGGCAACTTCTTCTTTCCTCCCTCCCTGTCCTGGTCACTCACTCTTTTCATTCCTGTGGAGCGCTGATGGCTGGTGAGATCGTTGTTTGTCAGCCAGAGCACAAACGACATGCAGGAAGGGCAGACGATATGTCAAAGGTCACCCGCTAAACCTACGGCAGAACCAAGATGAAAATGTGTCACCGCCTCAAGTTCAGACCAGGGATTGGCCTACCCCACACGAGCTCCATGAACAACAGACAACCTCGCACCATTCAGAAAAGATGGTGGACGCTCCGAGTGCTCAACTCGGGTCACCTCCTTGGGCAAAGTGTCTTGTCTTTAAAACTGGAACCAAGCGAGGGTATGTCCAGTCCTGGCTTCAGCTGGGAGTGTCCTGGAAGGCTCTGCCTGACCCCACGTTGAAGTTAGGTTTCCCCGACTCTACCCTGTCATGTCTCCCTGTGGTTTTCTGTGACAGCACTTGTCACATAAATCAATGTCTGTTTTATTTGTAAAATTATTTGTTCAATGTCCAATTCTCCTCCACACTGATAGATAGGAGGACAGGGATGTATCCAAAGGGTTTAGCATACTACCGAGTGTATAATAAGCTCTCAGAGTATGCATCCAACAAGTAGTTATTAAGGTCTTCCACATGCAACATATTGTTCTTGGTGTTAGCAGACTAAAATGATACACAGGTGGATTGATGGAGAGTTTGTTAAAATAATACAAGATGCCAAACTGGGCTATGTGACTGCAATGCTTCCTATTGCTGCTGTAACCAATTATCAAATTTAGGAGCTTAAAACAACATCAACTGACTTGTCATGAAGAAAAAAATCAGTCTCACCGGGCTAGGATTGAAGCGTCCAGCAGGGTCAGCTCCTTCCAGAGGCTCTGAAGGGAAAATCTATTTCCTTGCCTGTTCCAGTTTCTAGAAGCTGCCTGCTTTCCTCTTCTAGATCCTCCCTCCATCCTCCAACCCCTCGCGCTCTGATCTCTGCTTCAGCCATCACGTCTCCTTCTCTAACTCTGACCCTCCTGCCTCCCTCCTGTAAGGACCCTTGTGATTCTTAGAAGATCCATTCAGAGAATCCAGGATCATCTCATCTCAAATCCTGAATTTAAACACATCTGTAAAGTCCCTTTTGTCATGCAAGGTAACATAGTCACAGGCTCCCGGGATTACAGCACGGACATCTTTGAGCGCTCATTATTCAGTCTACCCTGGTGACTCATGGAATATGTCTTTTGGAATCTTTTAATGAGGAAGTCTTCCTAAACTGCAGCAGTCTCTTACTCTAAGCCTCAAAACGTTTTAGTCAATTCTGCACTCTACATTTTGGAATCACATCTTACCCAAATCAGAGATTTTGGGTTCTCGTCTGCTCAGCATGTTTACGACATGTGCGTGTGATATGACTACCCGCCTAGTAGCAAGGGGACCTCTCCTGTGGTGGGTTGAATTGAGTCCCCAGCCCCAAAAGATATGCTGATGTCCTAACTCTGATGCCTGTGAATATGACCCTATTAGAAAATAGGATATAATTGCAGATGTAATCAAGTTAAAATAAGATCCTACTGGATTAGGGCAAGCCCTAAATCCAATGACTGGTGTTCTCACAAAGAGAAAAAGATTTGAATACGGAGACAGAGACAGAGACAGAGGGAAGATGGCCACACGACAGCAAAGGCAGAGACTGGAGAGATGCAACCGCCGGCCGAGAACTGCCAAGGACTGCTGGCAAGCGCCAGAAGCCAGAAAGCGGCAAGGAAGAAGTGTGGTCCTGCGACACATTGATTTCAGACTTCCAGCCTCCAGAAATGTGAGACAATACATTTCTGTTGTTTTAAGGCCCCCAGTTTGTGGTAATTTGTTACAGCATCCCCGGGAAATGAACACACCCAGTCCCCCTCCCCCGCCCCTACACCGTGGGTTCCCGTAAGCTCTCCCTGAAGACCTGCTACGGCAACTGCAGAGCACCCCTGTTTCCCAAGCTACGGCCCGTTTTTTTCACTGTCCCTGACACCGGGTGACAGGGAAAGGCTTTGCCATGGGAATGAACCATCCACTCACACTGCTTTCTGCAGACAGACTCAAAGTCACCACTGTGCAGTCAGTTTTTTCCTTGTTTCTTGGAAAGCACCTCTCAGGACCGTTTCAAGAAAAACAAATTGTGAGGTTAAGGATCTATTTAAAGTGAATCATCAGCTCTAGTTCCAATAACAAAGCAGGCCAGTCGGGTCGCTGGGACAAGACTGGAACCACTGTGAGCGTGCACTAACTGTGGGTCAGGCATGAGCGGGTCTCTGCACACACGTCACCTGGAGTGCCCCCTCCCCCTGTTCACTCGGCAGGCGGCCTTGGTGGCTGCCTTCCCAATCCTCTGCCCAAAAGGGACACAGAACAGCATGCTCACCAAGTAAGAATTTTCAAGCAGCTTTGAAGTGCGGTTCACCATCTTGGGGAGCTTAAGAGGAACAGTTTGAACCCATTTAACCCCTTGCACTATTAATCCCCAGTTGCTTGGTGAGAACTGGTTGTATGTGTGCAAAGCTCCCTGCTAGCCCTCCGGGAGCGTTGAGTCCTCAGAGTCCATGAGCAGCCTGAATCTGGATGCATCACAGATGCCTGTGTCCAGCTGGGGCTCAGAGGAAGCCAAGCACTTCTTTCATTTCAACATTCCTGACCTGTCTTCCCATAGGTGGTGGCAGTAGAATGAACCACTCATCAACTTTTTTTTTTTTTGAGATGGAGTCTCGCTCTGTCTCCCAGGCTGGAGTGCAGTGGTGCGGTCTCAGCTCACTGCAATCCCTGTCTCCCAGGTTCAAGCGATTCTCCTGCCTCAGCCTCCCAGAGTAGCTGGGATTACAGGCACTCACCACCACACCCAGCTAACTTTTGTATTTTTAGTAGAGACAGGGTTTCACCATGTTGTCCAGGCTGGTCTCGAACTCCTGACCTCAGGTGATCTGCCCGCCTTTGCCTCCCAAAGTGCTGAGATTACAGGTGTGAGCCACCACACCCAGCCCACTCATCAAGTCTTTATTTGAGCACCCCTATATGCCAGGCTCTGGCAATGCAGTGGTTAACCCATTTCTCCATGGAGCATCTGTTGAAGTGGGGGGAAGTAAAGAAAAGATTAAAACAAAATGTAAGCAGACAAGTAAATAAAAGAACTGTGGGCTGAAATAATTGTCATAAAGAAACTTAGGAGCTAAAACAGAGAACAGACGAGGCCTGACTTTTCACCAGGTGAGCAGGAAATGGCCCTGTGAGGTTACACTCAAGCTGAGACCTAAAGGAAATGAAGGAGCCAGTCAGGGGAAGACTCAGGAAACAGTATTCCTGCCAGTAGAAGACCAGGTGCGAAGGTCCTGGGGCAGCAAAGAGCTTAGCCGGCATTCAAGGACCTGGAAGAAGACCAGGGTGACAGGAGAGTTGTGAGCACAGAGGCTCCCAAGCAAGAGGAGGCTGGAGAGGTTTGCAGGGGCCAAATCATGCAGAGCTTTACTCAAGCGTGGATTTTATTCTAAGTACAATGGGAAGCTCTTGAAGGGTTTTCGTGGTGTGTGTGTGTGTGTGTGTGTGTCTGTGTGTGTGTGTGTGTGTGTGTGTGTGTGTGTGCAGGGGAAGGGTGAAGGGATGACATAACATCATCTCCTCCTCTTTTCCCCCTCTTCCTCCTTCTTCTTCTTCCTCCTCTTCTTCTTTTTCTTCATCTTCGCCTTCTTCATCTCTTCCTTCTTCTCCTCTTCCTCCCCCTTCTTCTCAGACGTCCACTTTTGCAGCTATGTGGGGAAAGTCGATGTGAGGTAGGCAAGCTTGCAGGGGAAGGCCTTTTAGGAAGGATGTAGCAGGAACCTGGACTTGGGTGATGGCGGTCACAAGGGAGAGAAGGCATGATCAGATATCTACTCCAGACGGGATTGATAGGATGTGCTGATAGATTGCAGGGAATGGGAGTGTTGGGGAGGGTCCTGGGTGACTGAGTGTCTGCTTGCTCTTTACAGGGGTTTCTGTCCCACCACGGAGTGGCATACCTGGCTCCTGGGCTCCTGGGTGACCCTAAGAAGCTGTCCCAAGATGACCATCAGGGCCCCTTCCATCCCTCACTTGGGTCTGGTGCAAGATGTCTCAGTGACTCTTACCTCTTGTGCAATAGGCAGTACTTTTTTCCAAATTTGATATTCTCCTTTGCATCTGACAGGGCCACTCTCCATTTTCTAATTACCGCAGAACAGTCTTGCCTGAAAGTGCCTTCCTAAGCTGGGGTCCTACCTCAGAATCAGTAGTGAGTTAGTAAATCAGATCTCTGGATGGTGAAAAATGAAACCCTAATTTGTAACATGTACCAATTTCTATGGTATAAATACCCCTGCCATGGCGACTTTGAAGCTATCAATAGTTAACCAACTCAAAAAAATCCTGAACAGTTAACACTTGGCTTTCACCAGCCTATAGGAGCCAGGCCTAGCTCAGTATCGCATGACTGCTGGCCTAGAACAGTATGCCAAACAATTTCCTCCAGCTTCTCAAAATGCACAGTTGTCCAGCGTAGAAGCAGAGTATGCAGGAGGCTTGGTGAGCTGATGTGCTGAGTCCATAGGTCTGGGAATGAATCCAGTCAGTGACTCACTGCATGCTCAAGTGTGTCTGAATAGGTTAACTTCAAAACCAAACCGAATACTCAAGGCAACTTCTCTCTACTGGTGATGTAGAACAGCCTGGCAGAACATTCCCCATGGGTAGGTTTTCTGGAATGAATGGGGAGTCGGGAAATCTGGGTGACAACTCTGGGGCTGCTGCTAGTTGGCTCAATGACCTCAGACATGTTGCCTGACCTCTCTGAGTCTCAACCTTCACATCCCCAAAATGAGAGGCAGATGATCTCTAATAGTCAGTCACTGAGTGTCTTCCAAGTGACAATCAGTGTCACTTGGTTAATGCAACACCAAGTTGCCTGAGGAACCTGTTTCTGACCCAGGCAACTATGCAGGTTGTGAAGCCAGAGGGGAGTTTGAGCACCAAGTTCAAGAAGGCAGTCTTGCAAGACTTTCCTCGAAGCAGCTCCTACAGACTGGCTCTTTCACCTTAAACGCCATAGTTTTGGATACAGGTAAGAGTCATGGGGACAGAAAAGGAAGGGAGACAGAGACAACCTGGGGAAGAATGATGACACTTGGTGACTGGAAGAGTATGGGAAATGCAGACAAACAAGAGATCAAAGAGAGCTCCCAAAGTTGTGCCAATGCCGTAGTTTCCCACACCACGCAGAACAGCAGGAGCAGCAGCTTTTGGGCTTCTCTGGCTGGTAGACTGTGTTTAATGACTGCAGAGGCTGCACCTTCCTAAGCTGATGAAGAACTTCCTAGAATGTCCCCTAGGACCCCTCCTATGAAATGGTACCAACACCACTCTGTGACTTTGTCCAGGGTCTGTGTGTGGCAAACACTGCCTACTGTGTGGGCCATGAGAGGCCATGAAGGGAGCTGCACAGACATCCCCCACCCACAGATCACAGACCACCCTCACGGACAAACATCCCCTTTGCCATTCATTCCATCTCCTCCCCAAGCACATCCTGAAATGCCTTCCTCATTCTATAGCAGGCATAGCTAATATCCTCTTTTATAACCCCAGTTCTCTCCATTTGAGGCCATATAGGTGAACATAGTTGAGAAGTCAGAGGAGGGGGCTGAGAAATGCTTAAATACCCGCAGAGCAAGGACCAGACCCTTTTCTTCCTTCCTTGTTCTCAGGCTTTTCTGCACATACCGGGGGCATTGGCTGTTGACACGTGAAATATTGAGGCAGCCTTGTCTATGCGCTGGGCACTTTATTTGGGTGAATGTACCTTTTCAAAATCAAGATATTCTGGGGTTTTTAAAAAATAAAAAGTATGAAAATATCCCAAAACAGAAAAGAGTACTGAGGATAACCATATAAAAACAATTTAAGCTGAGAAAAATAACCCAGTCCTGTCGAGTCCTAAAGAGAACCTTGGTTTCCATGGGACGTTAGCAAAGTGCAGAGCTCCTAGCAGTGGGTAGGATGGAATGTTTGCAGCCTTTCCAAATAAGCAAATATCCCCCAGAATCCAGCATCCGTGCCCCACATGCTGTGGTTCCAATTTGCTTCCTGTTTTCAGGCCTCCCAGAAATACATCTCACAGACTTTTTATTTTCATCTCCCCACCTTGAAAAGCACAGATTTGCAAGTGTGAGTGTCTTAGCAGGGAGACAAATCCAGCAGGCATTCAAGACATTCAGGCAGGAAGAAATGCATCTCATCGGAAATTTTCCATCGCCAGCACTTTTTAAAAAATTCCCAATATAAATGGGCTTTTACTTGTAGGACGAAGGGCTCCATTATTTTTCAAATACTTTGCTGCTTCTAAGGAGCCAAGAAAATTGGTCATGCACCTGGCCAGCCGATCCAACCTCAAAAATCTTCTGACCTCAATGAAAAGGCTCTAATTTTTCCTTGCCTTTAATAAATGTTTCTTCTCTTCTCCCCAGCAGTATTCAGCATGTGGGGTGGGCAGGCAGGGTGCCCAGTTAATGTAAACAGGCAGGAACACCTGATTCATCAGGATTCTTCCCACTGCTCCAATCCAGGGGTCTCTGCTTCAGACAGAACCCCTAGGAAGAGAAGCATGTGACTTAGGACTTCAGGGGGACTCGAAGTGCAAATACATTATGGCACAGATTTAAATGTTTACCTGTATATGTGTATGTTAAAAAATCAATTTCTTAGAGATGGTTTCAAGGTGTCAGAAAAGCTAATTCAGGTAGAAAACATGTCCTTGCTCTGTAGATGCCTCCATTCTGTCTTCCAGAACCTGAGAGAGAAGAGCAAGGATTTGGACTGTGGCCTAGAGAGGGAATTTGCAGCTCTCTTTCCCAAGGAATGAATTGCAGCCCCTCAGGCTGGAACAGGCAGGTGCTGCGAAATCTGGCTGACAGGTCAGCTTCAAGGTGATGTGCTTGCTGAGTCTTCTCTCCTTTCAGCTAAGCTCTCATCACGCCCCTGGTGCCTGGTAAAAGTAAATAATGATGACTGAGCGTATGAAGCAGGAGGGTCTCTACACACCTGTAATTACTACCTAGCAAGTCCCTGCAGAACCCAGGAGTTCCCCCAGAGAGCCAGTGGGGCCGTTTCTGGAGAGAGTAAGTCAACGTGGGTCCTCCAGGCAAGATCTAGCTGGAGGAAGTAGAATTAAAACTTCTATCACTGGACGGATGTTTTGTCACTTGGCGGGAAAGTTCCAAGTCAAAGTTCCCAGTTTCCTAAGCTGTTATAAACCCGGTTGAAATGCTCACATACACCTGTGAGTGTCTCAAAACAAACAAAGCATAATCGCCTTAGAGCAGCACTGTCTCATAGAAATATAATGTGAACTACATGTTATTTAAAATTCTCTAGAAGCCACTGTTAAAAAGAAACAGGTGAGATGAATTTTAATAATACGTTTAACTTAACCAACCCAAAACATTATCACTTCCTCATGTAATCAATATAAAAAATTGCTGGTGAGATATTTTACCAAGTCTTCAAAATCTGGATGTATATTACATTTTCGGCACATCTCACTGTGGACGAGGCATGCTTCAGGTGCTAAGAGCCACACAAGCTGTGTGCCATGTTGGACACTGCAGCCTTTGAGGCTGACATTTACACCTCACCACCTTTTGAGAGCACCTGATGCATGATAGATTTCCCACAAACATTTCATATAGAAGAGTGAACCTGTTATATGTGAAGTTTTACTTGATCTGAATATACTAGTGCTCTTAATAAAATAAGAATTACTAAAAAATTTCCTTTGAATAGTGCCAGGCGGGTCTGAAACCCAGCCTTGACTGATATTTTCATGTGCTGATAACAGCAACCAAAGTATCGTGACTTCGGTTAATAATTGATTGCTCCTTGCAGGGGAAAAATAAATAAAACCGGAATCTGACTGCTCCACCCCTTAGGGCAGCTTACTAACGTCTGGATGAGCATGCTTGTGTTCTTGCACTCTCTGGGAATTAGACACAAAAACTGCCCTCAAGGACAGCACAGCCCAGGGACAGCCAGGCAGACCAATGCCTAATACTGCATGTGTGCAGGGGGTTGTGTTGGCAACAACATGAGTGGCTTTCCTGGAGTGGAGGCTCCAGCTCTGCATCCTGAAGAGGGACTAGGAGGTCCTCAGGGAGGAGGGCAGGAAGGAAACATCCAGTGGAGGAAGCGGTAGGCACAGAAGTTTGCAGCCACTTGAAAAGCAGGGAGGCACAGGACCTTAGGACCCTTCTATAGCAGTCCTGTAAGCCCAGAGGGAACCATTTCAGAGTGGGACAATCTACGGCAGCATTGTCCGACCAAAATACTTGCAAGCCACATGTGTGATGGATTTCAGGAGCCACTGAAGGGTCAAAAGACAGAGATACAATTAATTGTAATGACCTGTTTTTAGCTTAACCCACGTTGTCCAAAGCTTTATCATGTCACCGTGTGAGATACCTCACGTTCTTTTTCATGAAGTCTTTGAAATGTGAGGTGTCCTTGACACCAAGAAGGCATGCATGAGTCTAGATGCAGTGTGTATATATAGTGAGTAGTAACCTCTGCTCACGTTCCTGGGTCCAAAAGAGAGATCAGGACAGCTTCAAGGGAGAGGGCTAGGGATGAAAAAGGAGATAATGTCGCCCACCACTTCTGAGGGGACAACAGACTGCGCCAGGCGCTGTAACCCGGGGGAAACGGAGGCAGCAGCTTCTCCCACGTGCTCCCAAAGGTGTCCGTGTCAACAGCATTAACTACCAAACAGAGCACTGAGGAACATTTGCTAAATGCTGCCAAGTGCCCGGACACCAGATCACAAGGCTGGCCCAGAAAAGAGCAAGTGCACCTGTGGGGGAGGAGGGCAAGTCCCCGTCGTCGGTCATCCCAGGTCACAGGGGTGCCTTTCCCTCCACTGCCAGGGAAATGCACATGCAGGCTGCCTAATGTGGAAATGTTTGGATCTGGAACAGAGAGGCTCTCAGGCCGGCGGGGAGGAGGCAGGGTGACAGTAACCAGCCGCACCGGAATGACGATGGGGAGCGCTGCACCTACGGCTTGCCAAGACCCCAGCAATATCTTTCCTACTAAGTCTAGCAGTGCCTGAGGCTCGCCTCCGAAGAACAGCCTCTCCCTTCCGCCTCTGTCTTCTTTAAGGGAGAGGGAGTGCAAGCCAAACCCAGCAAGCACTTGGACGCCGCCCTGCTCTCCCCGGGGCTCTGGGCTCTGCAACAGATCCGCTTTGTGAATGAAAGAGGCATCTCTCCAAGATGGCGCGCTCTACCCTGAGGGCACACCATGCACACGCCACTCCTCCAGCTGGTCTCGGGGACTGCAGTCCTTCTCTCCTGGATGGGTTGGGGGTGGGGGGCTGTTGAGAGCTTTCCTCCTCCTTTTCTTCTTCCTCCTCCTCCTGTCTCCCTAACCCTGGAAGGGGGCCATCCACTGAACTTCGGAAAGAGGTCACCCTCCCTGAAAAGGGGACTTGGATTGCTGCATCCAGAGCCACCCCCTGTGGTCCCTCAATCTAGCCACACTCAGTTGCTAAAGCAGGGAGAGGTTTCCTAGTCCGGTGTTCCGGCCCCACGCAAACGGAGCTCAGGATGACGCCACATGTGTGTTTGAGTCAAAGCGCTTTTAACTGTGGCTCCAAGAACAGCCTGTACAGCCACTTGAGGTTCCCCGTAACAAGGAATGTACAATAGATGAGACTTTACTGGCAAAACAATTTTTAAAAATAAAGGGAGAAGCAGCAGCCCAGCCTTGTCTCTTTATAGGGTCCTAGAGAACCGGTGGTGGCTGGGTTGAAAAGCACAGCGCTTAGCCATTCAGCAGTTTATGACCTCAGTTTACCAAGTCCTTGTAACAAGGTTACCGGAGGGGTTTTGCAAGCTTGTAGACCCAGGTGTGGCTGAAGTTGAGCTGCTCAGGGACAGTGGTTTTCTTGCCATTGGGAGAAGGTTACCAAGAATAATTTTCCTGCCCCAGGACTTGTAGATGATTAACGTGTTTCTTTCGCTTAACCAGAGAGTTAATGGTTATTCAAAGCACTCTTTGATGATGGAGGGTGGAGGGGAGAAAATGAATGCGTTAACCATTAATCCAGGGAAATGCCATAAAAATTAAAATGGAAAACACTCAACCTGGGAAAGGAATTCACTGGCTGGAAGGGTCAGCCAGGCAAACCTGGTGAGGAAGGAGGAAGAGAGGAGGCCAGAGGGAGGCCTTACAGTTCACGTATACTTAGAGCTGGGTTTTGTTATTTTTTGTTCCGTTTCCTTGTTTCATTGCTCTGAGGAAACAGAGTAGAAATAACAAAATCACAAACATGGGAACATTACAAATAAAGTCAGTTTTATTGGTCTTTTTCCTCCAGCCTCCCACAGCTGAGCCTGTCTGACTTATCCCCTGTCTGACTTGTTCCCCGGCCTCTTTGGGGAGCAGGAGGGGAGCTCAGGCAATCCATGCTTGGAGAAAGTCGAGAGTGTTTTTAGGAGGCTGGTGCTGACAGAGGGCATGCAGCTCTGGCTCCCGGCCTCTTCTTGGGGCCACACTGGCCAGCACCCAGGCACAGCCATCATGGCGCCTGCCCCAGTCACCCTGCTGGCCCCTGGGGCAGCATCCTCAATGTCTTGCAGCCAGCCCGGTGCAATAAACAGGAAGACTTCGGGGAAAAACTCCTGCTTGGCATAGGCTACTCCCAGTCACCATCTGGGACACGTCATGATGAGCTATGAGCTGGCACCAGTGGGAATCTCTGATGAAGGTTGGGACTCCCCGAAGCATCACACATGTGTGGAGCATTCTCTAGTAGGAAGACCTTTTTAGAGTACAAAGGCCAGATCCTGCCCTCAAGGGGTTTACAGGCCATTAGGGAGATAAAACAACCCAGGGCAAGTGCTGGAGATGCAGCATCAGCCAACTGCTGAATACACTCAAAAAAATGAGAGCCCACTGGATTGTCTGGGAGCCTCCTAGGAAAGCTGAGTCCAAGCTGGGCTGGGAGGTTGGATAAGGCTGTGGCCGGGAGAAAAGGGAGAGGCAAGGCAGAGAGAGAAAGGAATGGCAGAAAGGTGTAAGGAAGAGACCTATTTGAAGAAGAGGAGAGAAAAGAAATTAACACTTGGAAGATAGGTTTGGGTCTGTCTGTGGGAGCCTCGTTGCCCAGCTGCATTTATACCCCATCACTGGCACTGTGGGGAGTTTTGAGAGGAGAGTGAAATTAACAAAGTGGGGCATGGGAGGAGGGGGGGTCATGAAGGATGAGAGCAAGCAAGTCACCATGTAGTTACAACAGTGGCCCAAGGGTGCTCTCCAGGAACATGTGGGGCATGGGAGCCCAGGGCAGGAGGAGGGCTCCGCTTCCTCTGTGCTCTAAAAAGGGAAGGGATCAAGGGGTGAAGATTCCAGCCCCTTTGGAAGTGGAGGAGGCTAGGGAAGAGCTCTTACTACAGGGAATCCTGTTCTCATGGACCTGGAGGCCAGGGCCTTTGCTGAGAACATGGCAGGGGAGGGCAAGGGCTCACAGAGGGAAAATTCAAAAACTCCAACAACTACTGGGAAGGAAGTGGAGTGAGGAAGGGATGAAGAGAGTGAATTTGTGGGTTCGGTGGACAAGGTTTTCTGGCTCTTCCTAGCATCCCAGGAGTTCAGAAAGCACAGGGTAAAAGCCACTTACTTTCTCCCTCTACTTTGATGGAGGGTTGACTATGGGCTAGTGCTGGTCTAGGAACTGAGGGGAGATGAAGGGCCTCAGATACATGTTCTCTGTCTTCACCAAGCTTGTTGCAGAGTGAAGGTAAGAAACATAATACAATTGCAATAAAGAGAAATGGACATGGGTCCTGCCCATTTGAATCAGAGATTGTTAGAAATACAGACTTCTGCCAACTGATTAAATCCCACCACCACCACCACCGCCACCATTATCAGAAACTTTCTTGGCACAGGGCACAAGCTTGTGTCTTTTTTTCAAGGCTAGTTCTAACACACGGTGTAACATCCATGAGTCAGATTGTCTTGGTTTCTATCCCAACTTTACCACTTACTGACTCTATGTGTGTGTGACTGCTCTTGCCTCAGTTTGTTCATCTAAAAAATAGGATAATAGCAGTACCTACTTCGTAGGATTAAATGTGATCTTTCTTATAAAGTCCTAAGAAACAGCCTAACACAGCAGGTGCTTAGTAACTGTTGGCTGTTCGCTAAAGGGCATGACTAGGGTTGTGGTAGGGGAAAAACACGGTGCTGTGGGAATCCAGGTGGGGGATCTAACCTGGACCTGAGGGTCAGGGAAGGCTTTCTGGAAGAGGTGACTTCCAAGCTGAGACATGCAGGAGAATGAGGAGTGAACCAGGTCGCATGGGTGAAAGCGAGAGTTTAAGCAGAGAGAACAGCAGGTGCAAAGTTCCCAGACAAGAGATCCAAAACCATGGAAGGGACTGACTGTGGTTTGGTGGGGCTGGAATGCAGGGCGAGGCAGGGCTGTGGAGGGGCAGGAGATGTCCAGATCCTGGAAGTGTTTGAATTCTATCCTGAGAGCCACAGGAAGCTGCTGCAGGGCTTTAAGGAGAGAGGGATCTGATCTGTGATTTGAGGCATCCCTCTTGCTACGGTTTGAAGAGTCGGTTGAAGGCACAAGCCCAGAGCCAGAGGCGAGTGAGGAAGAGGTTGACATGATCCCAACAAGGGAGACAGAAGGTCTGAACTAGGAAAAGGGCTGTGGAGAGGGAGAAAGTGGGCAAACTGACAAGCACCTGGGTGGCCGATGGAAGTGGGGGGCTCAGGAAGATGAGCGTGCCAAGGGTGGCTCTGGACTTGGGTTTGAGCAACATTTCCACTGGATGGATGTTGAGAAAGGGAAGATGGAAATGGAGCACATTTGGGGAGAGAAATATAAATTCAGGTTTCAGTACATTGAGATTTTTAGTGCTTATGAGATGTCCCAGTGGAGATGTCTGTCCACTGGGCAACTGGACATCAGGCTTTGGTGCTCAGGACCTATGGTGGGTTGTAAATATGTTTTTGGAAACCATGAGCATTTAGAGCTGAGGCTGAGAATTGACATAATGTTCAGTGAAGACTAGGAGATGCAGGAGGGGGTTCATAGGCTCAAGGAAGCAGTAAAGGAATTGAGTATATGAAACTTCATACATATGTTGCAGTCAACATAGTCATATAATTAGTTAAGATGAAGTCATCCTGGAGGAGTGGCTCCCACTCCTGCTGCTTCTGACTCAATACTTAGGGGTCCCTGGTGAGTGCCCCCAACCCTGATCCCCATCTGCCTTCAGGAGGGGGTTGGCCCTATTCTCCTATTCTGGGATGAGAAAAAAGTCGGGGAGCCAGAGGCTCAGTGGGCATGGGGCAGTGACCTTGGCCTCTTGAGCACAGCTGGGAAGCCCTAGGAACACACAGACACGGCCCACTTAGGCCTCTATTAGCACGTCTGCTCTAGCACTGAAGCAGTGTTAGGACCACACAGATGCACGCACACAGCAGGAAATGACCCCTCCTGAGCCTGATCTACCCCTCTAACCTAGCGTATGCCTTTGTGCAGGTGAGAGCCCAGATTTGGAGTCTGAATGCCTAGCCAGGGCCCCTGGCTGGGTAATGTGATGGCTCTGAGCCTTAGCATTCTCATTTGAGAGATGAGATGGGGCAAGCTCCATCACCCACTGCTCTCACAGAGCGTATGTGTTAGATCTGAGCCCGGTGCCTGGGCCACTACACAGAGGCACCGGTGATAACTACCAAGTCTGGGCCTGCTTCCCAGGGGAAATTTTTTTGACAAGTATCTGTGCAGGGGGGCTAGACTGGCCCTTGAAAGTGCATACAGGGTCCATCCCAGAAGCCTTGTAGCTTTGATCCCCTGAATGAACAAAGTGTGGACATGCCAATACACATTACTGACATGTATGCCCACCTGACCTGCACCCACTCATGCCCACTCTGCAGGGCAGCGCTCGCCATCGAATGACTTCCAGGTGCTCCGGGGCACAGAGCTACAGCACCTGCTACATGCGGTGGTGCCCGGGCCTTGGCAGGAGGATGTGGCAGATGCTGAAGAGTGTGCTGGTCGCTGTGGGCCCTTAATGGACTGCTGGTGAGTGGCCACTGGGCATAGATAAGACTGGGGGCAGGGGAGCCTGGGCCGTGGCGTTACCCTGTGCCTTCTTCTCTCCAGGGCGTTCCACTACAATGTGAGCAGCCATGGTTGCCAACTGCTGCCATGGACTCAACACTCGCCCCACTCAAGGCTGTGGCATTCTGGGCGCTGTGACCTCTTCCAGGAGAAAGGCGAGTGGGGGTGGAGAGGGGCAGGGTGGGAGACAGGGGACCTCAGCCCAAGTTGATCTTCTGTCTCTTGCTCCCAGACTACATACGGACCTGCATCATGAACAATGGGGTTGGGTACCGGGGCACCATGGCCACGACCGTGGGTGGCCTGTCCTGCCAGGCTTGGAGCCACAAGTTCCCGAACGATCACAAGTGAGACAAACACCTTCCCTCCGTCCCGGCCTGGGACCTTCCCCCAGCACACACTATAGTGATGCTCTGGGCCCTCAGGTACATGCCCACGCTCCGGAATGGCCTGGAAGAGAACTTCTGCCGTAACCCTGATGGCGACCCCGGAGGTCCTTGGTGCCACACAACAGACCCTGCCGTGCGCTTCCAGAGCTGCAGCATCAAATCCTGCCGGGTGGGTAAGCGGCGCCGGGTCAAGCTGGGAGAGTGGAGGGGCAAGCCCACGCCCATCCACGAACCCACTGGCTCTTTGTCTCCAGCCGCGTGTGTCTGGTGCAATGGCGAGGAATACCGCGGCGCGGTAGACCGCACCGAGTCAGGGCGCGAGTGCCAGCGCTGGGATCTTCAGCACCCGCACCAGCACCCCTTCGAGCCGGGCAAGTACGCGTAGGCGGTATCGGCGCCCTGGGGGCCGGGCTAGGGAAGGTCCAGGACTCCAGGGGCAGGGCTCCGTGTAGGGCAACTGGGCGGGGCCAGATAAGCCAGGGTCCCAGGGTCTTCTTCACGCCCCATTACCGCCCCCAGGTTCCTCGACCAAGGTCTGGACGACAACTATTGCCGGAATCCTGACGGCTCCGAGCGGCCATGGTGCTACACTACGGATCCGCAGATCGAGCGAGAGTTCTGTGACCTCCCCCGCTGCGGTAGGCGGCGGGGACCAGGCCTGGGAGGGTACCTGGGAACCTTGGGGAGGGGCGTGGCTTGGCCGGGGAGGTCAGAGGGGCTGGGCGTGACCTGAGAGCATATCCCGTGGAGTACCGTACACCTGGGAAAGGCGGGTTTGGTCCCAGCCCCAGAGGGATCTCAGCTCTCGCTCGGGGCCCGACCTATCTCGGTCCATCTAAGGGTCCGAGGCACAGCCCCGCCAAGAGGCCACAAGTGTCAGCTGCTTCCGCGGGAAGGGTGAGGGCTACCGGGGCACAGCCAATACCACCACCGCGGGCGTACCTTGCCAGCGTTGGGACGCGCAAATCCCGCATCAGCACCGATTTACGCCAGAAAAATACGCGTGCAAGTGAGGTGGGCGGGGGGGCGGGCGTTGGGACGTGCTGCTGCGGGTGAGACGGGAGGAGGGTAGTCACGGGCTTAGGGCTGGAGGCTGGCGGGCTAGGGCTGAGTGGAGCGCCTGCTTAGAGACCTTCGGGAGAACTTCTGCTGGAACCTCGACGGCTCAGAGGCGCCCTGGTGCTTCACACTGCGGCCCGGCACGCGCGTGGGCTTTTGCTACCAGATCCGGCGTTGTACAGACGACGTGCGGCCCCAGGGTGAGGCCCAAGCTTGGGGGCTACAGAGCCGGGGCTGGAAGCCTGGAACCGGAGGGCCGGGGCGAGGTCTCGGCCTGATGGCTGCCCGCACCGGCCGCAGACTGCTACCACGGCGCGGGGGAGCAGTACCGCGGCACGGTCAGCAAGACCCGCAAGGGTGTCCAGTGCCAGCGCTGGTCCGCTGAGACGCCGCACAAGCTGCAGTGAGTCCCTGGTGCTCCCGGCCCCGCCAGGGCCCTAACCCTGGGGCGGCATGCTTTGGTGTCTGGGACCAGAGCCTGGAAATGGTTGAGACTACCCTGCCACGATTTTGCTCCCGCTCCCGCCTCGGTTCACATTTACCTCCGAACCGCATGCACAACTGGAGGAGAACTTCTGCCAGACCCAGATGGGGATAGCCATGGGCCCTGGTGCTACACGATGGACCCAAGGACCCCATTCGACTACTGTGCCCTGCGACGCTGCGGTGAGCACTAGTGACGCTTGCCCCATGACCCTGCCTCAGCCCTCACCACCAAAGGCTGGCTCCCTTAACCCCAGTGAACTTTGTCTTTCAGCTGATGACCAGCCGCCATCAATCCTGGACCCCCCCAGGTTAGGAGTTGGGCCAGTTATGGGTCAGGCCCTTTAGCCCACGACATCCACACAGTCTGGGTTTCATCCAGCCCACCCCATCCTACAGACCAGGTGCAGTTTGAGAAGTGTGGCAAGAGGGTGGATCGGCTGGATCAGCGTCGTTCCAAGCTGCGCGTGGCTGGGGGCCATCCGGGCAACTCACCCTGGACAGTCAGCTTGGGGAATCGGTGAGGCACAACTGCCTGTCTCCCACAGAGAGGAGCTGAGGTTGTGTCCTCTGTGGTTATGCCACTGGGGGCTGGGAATCTATCCCTGCCCCCAGAGGTCCTAGCCAGAAGATGGCAGGTCTAGCATCTGTCCCAGGAGTCTGTTTCCTGTCCTAATTCCCCACTCCTCTAGGCAGGGCCAGCATTTCTGCGCGGGGTCTCTAGTAAAGGAGCAGTGGATACTGACTGCCCGGCAGTGCTTCTCCTCCTGGTGAGCCTCCCTTGTGTTTGGGGACCCAGTCTCATCCCACTTTCCCCTTTCCCCAGGCAAGCTAACAAGTGAGCCTTGGGGCAACGGACTGAGAGTCACAAATGACCTAGCAGAGCTTCTCTCCCAGCCATATGCCTCTCACGGGCTATGAGGTATGGTTGGGCACCCTGTTCCAGAACCCACAACATGGAGAGCCAGGCCTACAGCGGGTCCCAGTAGCCAAGATGCTGTGTGGGCCCTCAGGCTCCCAGCTTGTCCTGCTCAAGCTGGAGAGGTATGTGGACAACCTGGGAGGATGTGAGGTGGGGCTGAGCCTTGTGGCCTCAGACCCTGAGTGCCCCCATTCTTGTTAAAGATCTGTGACCCTGAACCAGCGTGTGGCCCTGATCTGCCTGCCGCCTGAATGGTATGTGGTGCCTCCAGGGACCAAGTGTGAGATTGCAGGCTGGGGTGAGACCAAAGGTAAGAGCATAGTGCACAGGACTGCTGGTGGCCAGGAGGCCCAGCCCTGGATCTTCCTCCAGGACCGTCTCCTTCTCCCCATTCCCCTCACTGCAGATACGGGTAATGACACAGTCCTAAATGTGGCCTTGCTGAACGTCATCTCCAACCAGGAGTGTAACATCAAGCACCGAGGACATGTGCGGGAGAGCGAGATGTGCACTGAGGGACTGTTGGCCCCTGTGGGGGCCTGTGAGGTTGGTGGCAGGGCCCTGGGCCAGCCCTGGAAGGGTATGGGGGGCTAGAAATGAACTATTTTATCATGAAGCAGGCTAGTCATGGCTGTGGCCCGGGGCCCTCATCAGTTCTCCTACCTGCCAGAGTGACTACGGGGGCCTACTTGCCTGCTTTACCCACAACTGCTGGGTCCTGAAAGGAATTAGAATCCCCAACCGAGTATGCACAAGGTCGCGCTGGCCAGCCGTCTTCACGCGTGTCTCTGTGTTTGTGGACTGGATTCACAAGGTCATGAGACTGGGTTAGGCCCAGCCTTGACGCCATATGCTTTGGGGAGGACAAAACTTGTAAGTACAGTCAAGGACAAGACTTGTACTCAAGGTTGAGATTTAATAAAATTAATATTTTTACTACTTCACCAAGGACTTTCTTAAATGAAAATGGTTTTTCCCCCTACAAGTAAACAGTAATGAAGAAGAGAATTATTCCTAGTGCAGTTTGTTTTCATGGTCTTAATTTTTGCTAAGACTCCACTGTTTTTGCCTTATCAATACAAGTGCCAACACAGTGAAAAGGCAAATATCATCTTAGTATTACTCTGAAAATAGTTCTGAGCTAATGGCCTACTGAAAGGAAAAGAGTGGCTCCTGCTATTCTATTAGACTTATTACAATTATCTTAAGTATTCTTTCTACCCTCCTTTAATTGAATGGAAACAGGGATGGATTGGAAGAGCTGTTTTTCTCCTTTCTTTCCCCCGGCAATATTTACCATTTAATGCCACTTACTAACACTCAAAGAAACAAAACCAAACTTCTCAATTGACAGTGCAGTGACCCAACAAAGACACGGGTTCTTGAATTCAAAGTGGAGCAGGAGAGACGGTAAATACACATTTACTTTAATATATATATATTTATTATTTATGTGTTTAAAGCACAAATTAGTTTGGTAAAAAACATCTCATGTCTGTTTTATTTCCACATCCCTGAGACTGACAATGGGATGCCTATCAATTAATTCATTTAGAGAGCCATACACCACAAGAAACAAATTATTTGTCCTCTGGAGCTTGTCACAGGGAGATTTTTAAAAAACCATTAAACAGAAAGACAACTGTGCATCTTAGAAAGATAAAAGGCCAATTCTTCCTCTCCAGCTGATAGGTTCTTAATAATAGTGATATCTACTAATAAGGTGTTTTACATAGTGTAAAGCATGTTCACATACAAATTACTTAGCCTCTTTGAGCCTCAGTTTTCTTATATGTAAAACTGGATTAATAGTACATTTTGTGTTTAAAAAGATAATGTATATGAAGTGTTTACCATATTTCTTGGCATCTAGTTCAGTTCTCAGTAACTGATGTGGTGGTGGTGGTGGTCATAGTAGCAGTAAGATCCGTAGTAATAGTAGCAGCAGTTGTTTTAGAAATTAGTAACTGAGGCCTGGCAAAGTTAAAGGCTCTTTCATTAACACCCAGAGGGGAAGAAATGAAGCTGGTCTTCAGAGGCAGGCTATTTTCACTCTGTGTCCCAAATTTTCCCCCCTAGACCGTTTTTATACTTCTGGGGCCTCAGAAAATATTCTCAGCTATTCTGTTAGCTTGATCTCCTACCATCTGAGAGTGGGCTTCCTTCAAACAACCAAATTTCCAGGTATTTCTAAACTGCCCTTCCCCTACACCATTCTTTGGTTCAGTATTTCAAGACCCCTAAGAGAAATGGTACATTTACATGTAAGCACAGGATAGTGAAGTATTTACAACAAGTGCTTTGGAGCCAGCAAATATGAATCAGAATCCAGCTTTCCTTTCCTACATACATGACATTGGGCAGCTAATTTCTAAGATTTTACTTCTTTATCTATGAAAGTGGAGTACTAGTACTTGCTCTGTGCAACTGTGATGGTTGTTACATGAGGTAGCATCTAGAAGCAGCTTGCACATTGCCAGACACCCAGTGGAAGGTCAATGAATGACTATTTGAGGACTAACTATTACAGAAATGTTTACTCTTCTGAGTCCTGATTTCTAGTCTCCTGGACTAAATAGGTTCACTGTTTTCCTCCCGGTTCAGTTTCCAGACACATCACAGAATTATAAGAATATTAAAAACTCAGGCTTATACCTACACAGGATTTTCTATAACCCTCTTTCTGCTTTGAGCTCCTAAAGGTATTTCATAGAAAAATGACCTTATTTTTAAATAGAGGGGGCAGTTGAAAATCAGTGAACGGGCCTACCCCCTAATGATTTTTTTCTCAGACCTAATTATAATAATTAGCATTATAAAGTGCTAATTATCTTTGGACACAGAGGACCTGCACACCAGAGACAGAGGTCCGCATTAAGTAAAGTGGATTTCACTTTCTTCAGTTGTGAGATTTCTCTTTTTTCTTCTTTGTAATGATGCAAAGATATATCTTCCACCAAGCCTCATTTAAAAGCTTTTTCCAGTTAAGGAAACTATCTCTTGGCCATCCACAGCCAGACTGTATATTGAGATTATGGATATTCAAAGAAATTGTCTTTCCTTTGTATATTGTCATAACTTTTTGTGAAATGTTTGTTTTATAGTTCCAGGCCAGCACCTAGAACCTGGCTAGAATAAAAAACTGCAGAAATCATGAGTTTCTTGTTTGGATGAAAGAGCACACCTATTAACAAATGATAGACGGCTATCCTACTGTGAGTCCTGAAAACTGGTGATGTGATTGTTGAATGGGTTAGGGGTATAGCAGAGAAACTCAGTGTGGGCTACATACAATTTCAGCTTGAATCACACTTAACAGATCCTCTGTTCCAACCATTTAAATTTACAAAGAAGAAACTAAGGCACAGAACTACTTGAGAAGAGAAGCAGAATTGAAAACTAGAGCTCCTGATTGTTCTCAAAATAATTTTTATCATACTGCATCGGGTTCTAAGTGAGAGGGCTTCTTATTTAGTAATGCCAAGGTCATGTGTTAACATGTAAAAAAAATTAGACGAGGAATGGGGCATTGGTGTAAGATTATACAGAGTGTAAAGTTGGGCTTTCTCTTATCATCTGTTGTCAACAACAGGATGATTGTTACTGTTA
Source organism: Homo sapiens (assembly GCF_000001405.40). NCBI lineage: Eukaryota > Metazoa > Chordata > Mammalia > Primates > Hominidae > Homo > Homo sapiens. Next base: position 774,886 of record NW_025791756.1, read on the forward strand.
CCCACTCCTTACCATCATTCACACAGAGACATTGGATATTGAGGAGAGACTTTAAAACAGAATATTAGTAATGCAGAGCTATAAAGAGCCACGATCATATTAATACAATCCTCCATACACATAGTGACCTGTCTGCAGCTCCAGCCTAGAGAAACCCAGTTATTCACTTGTAGTGGGCAGCCCCATTATCAGAAAGCGCTATTCAATTGGAAATGCTCATCCGTGTTAGGTCAAAAACGACTTCCTCTAAATATCCATTCTGTGTATTGAAGTATAAATGAGTCCCACTTAAGAAAAAACAAAACAAACCAACTTCCAATGATTTAAAAATACTAACGTGACCCTCTTACGTTTACCTAAAGCTAGTGTTTCTCAAACATCAGCTGTATCAGAATCCCTGAAGGACTTGTTAAAACAAATTGCTGGTCTCTACTCTGAGCTTCTGATTCATTAAATGTGGGATGGTACCTGAGAATCTGCATTTCTAACACGTTCCCAGGTGACCCTGATGCTGTTGCTCTGAGAACCACTTTGAGATCCACATCTCTAAGCTCATCAGTCTGTCCGTTACACCTTACAAGACATACTTTCCTAATCTGACACCCTTCTATTTGTCTTTTTTTGGAATGCTTTAGAAATTTAGCAGTTATCTTTTTTATGTATTTTACATTTGTTACAGCTTTCCTTGGTGGACAGATATGAGTTTTCTACTTGAAAATAAACACGTTTTTCTTTAAAATATCATTAAATAAGAGTGTAATTAGTGATATAAAGCAAGATGACTAAAAAGAATCTCATTATTATGTTTGCACAGCCTGTATACAAATTATTTGAACTAGAAAGGATTTGCTAAATAAATTATTTCTATTTCCCTCACTTAATAGTGAATATTATGGTGATTAGGGGAAAAAATAAGCTTTCTTTTTTCTTTTGAGATGGAGTCTCACTCTGTCACCCAGGCTGGAGTGCAGTGGCGCGATGTCGGCTCACTCTGTCACCCAGGCTGGAGTGCAGTGGCGCCATCTCGGATCACTAAGCCATCTCGGCCTCCCCAGCTCAAGCGATTCTACTGCCTCAGCCTCCCAAGTAGCTGGAATTACAGGTGTCCGCCACCATGCCCAGCTAATTTTTGTATTTTTAGTAGAGATCACCATGTCGGCCAGGCTGGTCTCGAACTCCTGACCTCAAGTGATCCGCCTGTCTTGGCCTCCCAATATGCTGCGATTACAGGCATGAGCCACCACGCCCAGCTAAAAGAAGCTTTTCTGATAGTAACTTTGTTTTCCCATTCTGGAGTTTATGGCAGTATGAAAAAGACTGAATTTATAAGCAGAAGATCTGTTTTTGAAATCCGGGGACCTGTATTTCACAATGGCTTTGATGTGTTTTGATTGTGCACCTTTAGACAACTTATCAGTTTCCTCATTTTTATACAGCAATAAAATAGTAACAGCTACCCATTAAATTCTGTACAGAAGCTAGGGACAGACGCAATAACACTTGCATATCTATAAAGGCTTTGTAAATGTGGGTATTATATCTAATGTTTATGCACATGCTGTTTGATTATTTTCATTTGGAATTCCACTCCATTAAAGGAAAAGTAACATACGAATTCAGATTCTTGTAAGTCTTCAGGCATGAGGCCTCCATTGACTAAGTACATTGCCTACATAATTTCTCCTAACCCAAATGAATCTCCAGTTAAACCAAGCTGGTGGTTATGTACTGTCTCCAGAGGATGCCAAGCATAAAGTCCTTGAGTATATTCATCTTGGATCCTCTGATTGGACAACTGCGGTATTGAGACTTCAAGTTCCCCCTTGAAGGACCCAGACGGTACCTGTAATTTTACTCAAGTTTTAAATGTATGCTCTTTGTTAAGAAAGAGTGACAATGATTTGATTTATTTTCCGTGACTGGGGTTAGGGATGGGGGAGACTCTAGGAATGTGACTTACCAGTGAGGTTCTAGTTTTATAAATCATAGGACAAGTTTTGATAGGCAAATGTTGGACTATAGGGCTGAGGTTGTTTTCCACCACAACATATAGACTTCTACTAGCCCTTGAAGGAAAAAACACGAGAAAATCAGTTGGGTCAGCTGAGTATTCCTTTACGAGTATGGAACAGACTTACATAACAATTCTGCAGGTAATGGCTCTGGAAAGGTCAACCACTTAGTTTTGGACAACTCTTTTCTATTCTGTATAACCACTTTTTCACCAAAATGATACTAAATAAATATGCTATAGGAAGCTATATTTTGACATGACTGTTTTAGGCAAAGATACACTCACCAACTTACTCCACAAGAGTTTCTAATCAGAGAATATCATATGGATCTATTTGAATTGCTCCCATGCTTGGCTGAGCCCAAAATAATTTACTGTGCATATGTACACCAAGTGAGAAGGTTGAGGAGGTGTCACTTGTACATCTCTTTATTCTTTTTTTTTTGTATGTGTGTGTTATTTTCATGTGTTTTGAAAGGCTCTCTTGCTTAGCTTTTATTTTGCCATTAAAGATTTTTTTCTGTGCTATAACTGTATTTTTAAGTCTGGTTTGAGTTCAAGAAATCCACAAATTCACAAAAGATTAGGAATAATTTGTGAACAAAATGATGCAGAAATAAAAAATGCATTTTCCAAATAACTCCCTTGCAGTCCTTCTCGCCCAACTACCACTTTCTATTAAGTTTCTTCTTCCTACTCTATGAAGTGCCATGAGCTTTCAATTCATTGTATTTTAAGTATAAGCTATACTTACTAACCTTCACGTTATTCTTTGCTACTTAAATAAGCTTGCTTTCATAGTTCAATTGACGTATTGTTTAACTGATATTTTTAATTGGTATATTTTGATATATATTGATAATTGATAGATACATAATTCATTTGAGATATTTTGGGTATGGAGGGTTGGAAGGAATCCTTTCATAATTTTTCTACTTAAAAGAAATCTTTTTTCATTTAACAGCTTTTCCCATGGGGATAGAGTTTTCATGAATAAATCAAAGTCATTAAATGAGGTATATGGTACATCTTTTAAGAGTCACAGAAAGAAGCAACAACAATTTACCCAGGCAGAGGGTATAAGTTTAGACCTTGGTTGCCTGATTTGTGGGACAAGTTCTTTAATTTTTTTTCTTTATATTTTGACTTTTTTTTGGACTCTCTCCTCCCCTTCCAGGCTCCAGGTCAAATACTTGACACCTGAATGATGTTCAATTATTTAAAAGATGGATTGGCCAGCTCAGCTCCTGTCTCAGACAGACTGTCTTTAAATGTATTTTCAACATGTCTTCAGACAGTTATTTTTCCTCTGTTCAATTTTGTTCATCTTCTTACTTAACCGTTCAAGTGCTCCTATTTCCTTTTTAAATGTAGTATTGAGAAGTGCAAACATTATTGGAAAAGAGAGTCTCACTAGCATAATTGTGCATTATCTTCCTCTTATATCGCCGGCCTCCCTGCACCCCCATGCCCACCTCCTCCTCGCGCCTCCATGCCGCCTCCCACTGCTCCAGCTCCTTGCAGCTGCGAGTCCAGTCACTGGTCACCTTTCGTATCTCCTCACTCAGAGCCTGGTTGGCCAAACCTGCCTGGTCCAGCTGTTCTCAGAGCATGGCATTCACCTGGGCCAGGCTGGCACTCCTGAATGGTGCACAGGGGATCAGTAGGCGCTCGCCCAGGGGGCCATGCTGCCAGCCCTGGCCCTCCCTGCTGTTCCTCCTCCAGCCAGATGAGGGCACTCTCCAGGTCTTGGCTGTGCTCTGTGTCCTGGGTGGCAGAGAGGTTAAAGCATCAGGCTGGGCAGGTGGAGGGCAGGGCCTGCCTCTGCCCCACCGTGGCACCCACCCTCAGCTGCTGCTGCTCCAGCTCTCCGGATCTCTCCAACAGCTGCTCCAGCTCCGAGAACCTCTTCTTGTACTGGAGAATCTGGGGATTGGGAGCTTATGGTGAGCCCCAGGGGTGGGGGCAGAGCGAAGTGAACACGTGGGAGGGAAAGAGCAGGAATGGGTGGCCCTGACCTTGCCCTGCAGCCGCTGCACAAGCTGGGCCTGCCGCTGCTGGCCCTCCAGGTAGGCCTGCAGCTTGCGCCACTAGGAGGCCTGCTCCTCCTGCAGCTGCCTCCGCAACTCCACGCTCTGGGGTACCAGCCCCCTGGGCTCTTGCGTCTCCAGCTCACCAGATTCCAGCCACAGAGCCTGCTCCAGCTGCAGGGAAGGGCCCTGGGTGAGAGTCCTGGGCCTCCTGGGAAGGCAGGCTCAGGCCTCTGTAGGGGGTGGCAGGCTGGGCCCAGACCCACAATGCCTTGTAGGCTGATAGCCTGGCGCCCTGGGGAGCAGCACATGTGGGCAAGCCCAGGGGCAGTGCACGTGTGTATGGGGTGATGCAGCCATGCACGGGCACGCAGATGGGGCATGTATGGACACATGCAGGTGAGCCCACAAACCCAAACCATGCAAGCAAAACTCAAAGGTGCACCTGAGGTCTACGTCAGGGGCGTCAGTACACCATGCGCCTCTCCTCCAGAACACTTAGCCTTGTCGTGGTTTCTGTTTATTACATGGATGCCTGTGTCTTCCCACCATGCCCCCACCCCAGTGTGAGCTCAGAAAGCCTCGATTTTTTCTTCATCATTGTACCTTAGTACTATAATGGTGGCTGTGGAATGGCATGGCTCACGCTCAGTAAATATTTCTTGTGATGGTGAATTAATGGCATGAGCTCATGGGAATACATTCAAACAGAGGTGTCAATCCGCCTATGCATATCTGAGCTTAAAGATATGCACACACATAACACATACAGGCAACCTCAAACATCCCCAGGGGGACACGAAGGAACCCCCTCATATACACAGCATTAAGATTTGTAAGAGGTGCACACAGATGTTGCCCTATATGGCGCCTGCATATTAATGCCCGCTTCTGGCTGGGTGCAGTGGCTCATGCCTATAATCCCAGCACTTTGGGAGGTCAAGGAGGGTGGATCACTTGAAGTCAGGGGTTCGAGACCAGCCTGGCCAGCATGATGAAATCCCGTCTCTACTAAAAATCGAAAAATTAGCCGGGTGTGGTGGCATGCACCTGTAATCCCAGTTACTCAGGAGGCTGAGGCAGGAGAATCACTTGAACCTGGGAGGCAGAGGTTGAAGTGAGCCAAGATCGCACCACTGCACTCCACCCTGGGCGACAGAGCAAGACTCCATCTTTTATTTATTTATGTATTCATTTATTTGTCTCATGGGCTGAGCGAGGGGACCCCGGCTGGTGGAGGGACAGCTGCGCCCTGCAGGCCGCTGCGTCCGGGCAGACCCCGGCCTCTTGTCGTGCCCCCGGCCCGCGACAACCCGGGCAGGATGGGCAGCAGGACGCGGCGGGGCATCCGCGGAGCCCGTCGGGAACGCTCTCTTGGCCTCCGGTGCCGGGCAGCGGTGGGTGCGGCACCCACAGTGCCCACAGCGCCCCCAGCCCTGGGACGTGGCCCCAGCCCGCCCCCAGGCAGGCGGCCTCCTTCGCCGGGAGCACGTCGCCTGGGCAACATGGAGAAACTTCAACTCTTAAAAAAACAAAACAACCACCACAACAACAAAAACAAGAACAGATATTAGCCGGCTGTGGTGACTCGTGCCTCTGCTACTCCAGAGGCTGAGGTGGGAGGATCGATTCAACCAAGATGCCACCAGATACAGTGAGACTGTCTCTCAGAGAATAAGTCAAACAAACAAAAAAAGAGGCTGTGTAAGAGGTGACTCTGGGGACAGTGGAAAAACACTAAGGTTTTCAAGTGGTGTTAAAAGCCACTAGGCCTTGGGGACCATTGAGCAATCTACAAAGCACGGAAGCCTAGATCCCTGAGCTCTGCCTGCCAAGTACCACCACAGCTAACATGGGAGACCTCCCCGACAGAGACTGAAATTTGCCTCCCGAGGAAACAAGTGACTACAGACATCTGTCCCAGGACAGTAAACAAGAAAACAAGGTCTCACAAAAACAAAAACAGCTGACCACAGCATACAATCACTGAGACCGAGCCTGCGACTATAGGTGAAAAAAAAATGCTGTCCATTATTCATACCATGAAAGACCAGGGGAAAGTGGGAACGCAGTCCCCTACTACTGTTGTGGGAATCAGGAGAACAGAGAGACCAATGGGTGGAACAGGAGGATTTATTGACTGCACTGAGGCCCAGCAGATGAAAATCCAAAGGCTGAGCCCCGAACAAAGACAGGGCTTGAGTTTATAGACACTTCTGAAAGGGGGTTGGCTAGTTTGAATGGCGCCGCGGGAATTTGATGGCATGAAACTCGGGGGCAGGCAAGAGGGCTTATAGAAGCAGAACAAAGGCAGCTAATCAAACTGTCACAGGTCTTGCAATGCAAGTATAGCTGGTGACCTTGCAGCTGCACTGAAGGGAAATCAGGAACTTAACAAAACTTGAATAATTAGAAATGGAAAGGGGGAAAGAGAAGGTAGTAAAGGCATTTGTTGTTTTTTCCTCTTATCTTTGCTAGGGGCTGACTGTGTTGAGAGAGTCTCCGGAACTCATTCCTCGGGGCTCTGACTTTTCAGATAGTGTTACCGAGGATCTGCTAGGGCTCTATCTATGGCAGGTCTTGGAGTCAGCCAAGTACAGGAAAACGTGTCTTTTCCTTTTAACTTCTGCCTTATTACTACAAGTTGTACAGCACACCATGCCTGGTTTTCGTCAGCAATGTTTCCTGAGGTTACAGAAAGATTTCTAATCCTGGGAGGAAACACTCCCTTGAAGCAAAAGTGTTCTCCCCCAAAAAATGCAAGGAGCTATCTTCTTGATAGCCAGGCAGATAATTCTCAGGTTTTGCCCCACAGAATCTCTATCTAAAATAGAGCAGTGGTCATGCCTAGTGAAAAGTTTGAGGGAACTTGCCCACTGTTGGGTTTCTTCAGAGCCATATATATAGATATAACCAAATATCCTAAAAGACACTGCCCTTCATCATTCCATGCTGTTAGACATTTACAGGACCATGGATGGTGATCTCCTCCAGACAAAAATAAATGCTGGTGCAGAATAGGTAAGTGTATTATAATTTGAGGACATCAGCTTTTGGGCATTTTAAACCATGGGTCAGACATGTTAGAGCAAGAGGCCAGGTTGATAGCAAGAGGGAGTGTTTTTCTTTTAATTTGCCAATAGCAAAGTGATGTTTGCCACTGTCATTTCAGAGTGAGGTGGCAATTTGTTGTTGTTTGGTTTTGTGGGTTTTTGTTTGTTTGTTTGTTTGTTTTTGAGACAAGGTCTCACTGTCACCCAGGCTGGAGTGCAGTGGCATGATCAGGGTTTACTCCTGCCTTGACCTCATGAATTCAAGCAAACCTCCTTACTAATCCTCCTGAGTAGCTGGGACTACAGGCACGTGACCCCACACCCTGGGGTGTGAACTGGGATTTGATGTTTTCAGTTGGCTCTCTCATGGAATAGGTTCCCTTACTCTTGTAGAATCAGATTGTCTTCATGATTATCATTCTTGTGTGCATTATATTTCTACTACCCTGCTGTTTTTTTTTCTATTTTTCTTTTTTCTTTTTATTTTTTTCGTTGTGAGACAGAGTCTCGCTCTGTCTCCCAGGCCGTATTGCAGTGGCAGGATCTCAGCTCACTGCAACCTCCACTTCCTGGGTTCAAGCAATTCTTTTGCTTCAGCCTCCTGAGTAGCCACCTGGCTAATTTTTGTATTTTTAGTGGAGACAGGGTTTCACCATGTTGGCAGGCTGGTCTCAAACTCCTGACCTCAAGTGTTTCACCCGCCTCAGCCTCCCAAAGTGCTGGGATTACAGGCATGAACTACCACACCTGGATCTCAAACCATTTTAGTTAAGCAAAGACAGATTTGTCTGGCTTTTTAGTACAATGCTGAATTATCCTCCAATCTATATTTTTAGGAAGGACCTGGGGAATGGCAACTTGGAGATATTTGGTGAAAATGTGAACCTTTCATGTTCTGCTTCAGTCCCTTTTTGAAAATCCTTCCAATTTACCTTTTGCAACCAGTTAGTGGCCTTCCCTTCTTCACCAGCATGTGAATTAATTGATAAAGATCAGAATATTTGGGCTCAAAGGTTTCAACAGTTAAGTCAAATTTTCTGCCAAAGCCTACAGGATCTTGGAGCCTGCTTTAGAAACAGAAGAGTGAAATGTATTTAAGTGTAGATCAGGGAAGTCCTTTATAATATTCTTAATTCACGTTTTGGTGAAGTGGTATACACAACGGTAGGCTCCCCTCTTCCTGTGGGTTTGGGTTTTACCTTGAAAGGGGCTGTCAGAACAGAAGTTTCAGGGAAGGGACCAGATCCCTGGGGACTTTCCTTAGGTGATGGTGATGGAAGAAGAGGCAAGGCAGGACAGGAAGGCTCAGGTAAGAAAGACTATGCAGGTGCAGGGGCAGGAGGAGAAGGAGCAGTTGGAGGTGAAAGAGAGAAAGCCTCCTCGATATTTCTCAATTCAGAAAACATGACAGTTTACCTCCTTCAGCTTACTTCCTCAATGGAGGCAATTTTCTCAGTTCTTTTAGAAATTTTAGAAATTTAGACATTTCTAGGTCTCATTGGAATTAAGTCTCCTATTTAATTTGTCTGGTTCGAAAACCAAATTTCTCTCTCTCTTTTTTTTTTTTTTTTGAGACAGGGTCACCCAGACTGGAGTGCAGTGGTGTGATCTCCGCTTACTGCACTCACCGCTTGCTGCATGACAGCCAATAAGTCGAGGGTTGAGGTGTAGGGGCAGGGAAGGTGACTTTATTCCAGAGAGCCACCAAACTTAACAGATGGTGAAGTAACATCCTGAAGAACCATCTTAAATTAATACAATTTTCAGGCTCCTTGTACGTTAGGGAAGGGAGGAAGAAGGAGGCGATTGAGGTGAAGAGGTCTGACAATGACAGACATGGGCTGCAGTGGGAGCCCAAGGGGATGGTGAAAATTGTTCATCCTTTGTCAGGTCACACTGCTCTTATAAATCTTCAGCATAACACTGTTACTTGTGTATACAACCTCTCTATCTTCTCAGGAGTTAGTTTGGGGAAGGGATTATTATCATCTGTGCTTTAAAGTTAAACTGTAGGCTAAATCCCTCCCATAGATAGCTTGGCCTATGTGCAGAAATAAGAAAAAGCAGTTAGCCTGGAAGATGTCACCACAGGGTAGGAAGGGTTAGGAGCAAAATGCAGTCAGTCATGCTAGGCCTCCTTTTCATTGCCATATATTTAATGTATTTGAACACATAATTTTAATTTTTTATACTTTATTTTTATTTATTTATTAGTTTTTTGAGGCAGAGTCTCACTCTGTTGCCCCCCCAGGCTGGAGTGCAATGGCGTGATCTTGGCTCACTGCGACCTCTGCCTCCTGAGTTCAAGCAATTCTCCTGCCTCAGCCTTCTGAGAAGCTGGGATTACAGGAGCCCCCCACCATGCCCGGCTAATTTTTGTATTTTTAGTAGAGACAGGGTTTCACCATGTTGGCCAGGCTGGTCTCAAACTCCTGACCTCGGGCTCCCAAAGTGCTGGGACTACAGGCATGAGCCACCATGCCCAGCCTAACCAAGATTATTAAACCATTCTAATTTGTCAAAAGAGTCATACTGATTTTTAAAAAATAATGTAATGGGCCAGGTGCAGTGGCTCATGCCTGTAACCCCAGCACTTTGGGAAGCCATAGCAGGAGGATCATGAGGTCAGGAGTTCAAGACAGCCTGACCAACATGGTGAAACCCTGTGTCTACTAAAAATACAAAAATTAGCCAGGTGTGGTGGTGTGCGCCTGTAATCCCAGCTACTCAGGAGGCTGAGACAGGAGAATTGCTTGAACCCGGGAAGCAGAGGTTGCAGTGAGCCAAGATTGCACCACTGCACTCTAGCTTAGGCGACAGAGTGAGACTACATCTCAAAATAAATAAATAAATAAATGCATATAATAATAATGTAATGAACTTTTTCATGTCTTTATATAATAAATATTACATTATTTAAATTGTTCAAAAGCATCAAAGATTCCTCTCTGCTATCAATTTCATTTCATTTATTTTATTGTACCAAACTACCAGGACCATTAATTTAATCTACAGCTAAATCTATTATTCTTTCGTGTTAGAAATTCAACAAGAAAATTTTTCCCTAATGAAACCTCACATTTCAAGCATAAGCAGCCTGGGTGAGGTGGCTCATACCTGTAATCCCAGCACTTTGGGAGGCCGAGACAGGTGCATCACTTGAGGTCAGGAGTTTGAGACTAGCCTGGCAAACATGATGAAACCCTGTCTCTACTAAACATATAAAAATTAGCTGGGCGTGGTGGCGTGCGCCTGTAATCCCAGCTACTCTGGAGGCTGAGGCAGGGAAATAGCTTCAACCTGGGAGGTAGAGCTTGCAGTGAGCTGAGATGGCACCACTGCACTCTAGCCTGGGCTACAGAGCAAGACTCTGTCTCAAAAATAAATAAATAGATAAATAAGCATAAGTAGTAAAAAAATAACATAAATTAAAAAATAAGGCACAGGGTCTTGCTCTGTTATCCAGGCTAGAGTGCAGCGGGGCAATCATAGCTGACCAACTTGGAACTTCTGGGCTCAGGCAATCCTCCTGGCTCAGCTTGCCTTGTATTTTTTTAGAGATGAGGTCTTGCCCTGTTCCCCAGGCTGGTCTCCAACCGCTGGCCTAAAGCAATCCTTCCGCCTCAGCCTGTTGAGTTGCTGGGAGTACAGGTGCAAGACATGCAGCCTAGCATTGTAGTAAAACAATTTTCAACAAATTCTTAATTTTCTTTCTTTTTCTTTTTTTTTTCTTTTTTTTTTGAGTTGGGAGTCTCATTCTGTCACTCAGGCTGGAGGGCAGTGGCACAATCATAGTTCACTGCAGCCTGAGATTACAGTCATGCATTATCATGCCCGGCCAACTTTCAAAAATTAGCTAATACTTAAAAATTTGTAGAGACAGGGGTTTCACTATGTTGCCCAGGCTGGTCTCCAACTCTTAAAGTGCTGGGACTGTAGCTATGAGCCACCATACCTGGCTTAATTTTCTTATTTTAATTTTATATAAGTGATTATTATTGTTCCTAAGATAATTGGGGCAGTGACTCCTTTACAATTTTAGAGATCTAATTTGTCTATTCACTTCACTGAAAGAGTATGCCAATTTGTTTCATGAGAAAATATCCTATATTTATAAAGCAGGAAAATTCCTTCCACCAAACTAGGGTGCATTCTAAAGAAACGAATTGTGCTAAGTAACATCACTTAAAGTGAAAACAGAGGCAATGGTATCTATTAACAATGTTTATCAGTGAAGGAAATAAACTGAAAAGATGAACATCATTAGATCCTTGGAGGGCCTTCATTGCTGAAAATCTGAGTAACAGTGTGATACTCTTTTGAGTCTGGCAGGACATTCTCTTTCCAGGGCATGTAACAGTGGGTGAATAATTTCTTTTCATTCATTTCCATTAAGGGCTGAACTTCCTTAATGTTCTGGAGATTATTAAATTTGATTTGTATAGTTGTGAAAAGTACTCATATTGCTGATTCCATTGCTTATATGTGATCATATAAATCTTTTCTCTTTTGGTAGTGTGGTTTAAACTTAATCCTTAAAGGGCATGTATTTGAATTTTTCAGCTGGTTAGAAACCTGAATATACCAATCAAATAAAACTGCTCCTTACATGCTACAGATTCAGTTTTCTTCCTGTACTAAGATGTCTTTTAGACACAGTAAATTCGTTAAAGCCAAGAGCCCCTAGGAAACGAAGTTGGGTGGGAGGGGGGACATCGAGTAGTAAGATCACTCTTGTAACAGAGATGCCACTCTTGCAGATATTGACAACAATTGGGCCTATAAAATTTTTACCAAACATTGGAAAGACAAGATCTGAACAACTTATCATTGCTGCAGTCTCAAATATCAGGAAATGCCATTATTCTCAGGACAATAAATAGACAATAAAGAAGACTCACAGAGCAGATTAGCTGTCATGTATCACCAAACAGGGACTGGATCCTTGTCAACACGACCCAACAGAGATTGTCCCCAGAAATTCACTTCATAACCTCCAAACCAAAAACCCACACTGATGGCAAAAAATAATGATGCAAAGAATGAGAGAGAGAGAGAGAGAGAGAGAGAGAGAGAGAGAGACCTGTCCTATAGCCATACTCAGTGGGTAAAAGCCAAAGAGCTCAATTTCTGCTCATGATACTTAATAGAACATAGGGAACATGAGCCAATAGCTCAATGGGTTCAGATCTGCACCAAGTGCCTGTTGGACGCAGGATTCTACTGTCTCCAATAATATGTCTCAGATGCACTAATTTTTTTTCTCTTTTTGAGACAGAGTCTTACTCTGTTGCCCAAGCTGCGGTGCAATGGCGCGATCTCGGCTCACAGTAACCTCCACCTCCCGGGTTCAAGTGATTCTCCTGCCTCAGCCTCCCGAGTAGTTGGGATTACAGACACACACCACTGCGCCTGGCAATTATTATTATTATCATTATTATTATTATTGTTATTATTATTATTGTGCTTGTGTATGTGTTTGTAGTAGAGACGGAGTTTTGCCATGTTGGTCAGGCTGGTCTTGAACTCCTGACCTCAGCTGATCAAAAGTAGGTGAGGTCAGAAAACATACCCTGGGAGAGGCTGGCACAATGCCCAGAACCGCCATCACTAGGCCTGGGGTTTTCCTCTGTAGTGGGATAGTAGTATTCATGTAGTGCAGGGACAAAACCAATTAGATAGTTCTGGGAGTTAAAAAGAGATGATTTACAGTGCTATTTGAGAAGGGGTATTAAGGAATTTGCCAGGGCACTGACGTGTGTCAGGTGTAAACCTCAGGTTGAGAGAGAGCTAAGTATTTTCTGTCCATGAGGGTGATAAGCGAGGGCCTGAAGAAAGAGGGACTGGGGAGGACACTGGCACCAGAAATAGGAAAGGGCTTGTTGGGGGTGGGAAGGATGGGTCAGGGTGCTATCTAGATAGTTGCCTGGCAATGGATGTAGGATGTGGGAGTGAGACATCAAACATGAAGCAGTCGCTTAAAGTCTGAAGAAAGACTAGATATATGAACTGCAGGAGATAGTAGGGAAACTGGACCGGCTCCTCATAAAACTTCCCGCCTTCTATCTCCGGGAGGATCGCAGGGCATTTCCGCCAAGACAGGTGAGACTGCGGTTCTGACCTGCGGGCCTCCGTGCATATGCGCTAGGGCACCTGGGGGCCGGCAGAGCCGTTCCCCTACGCAAAGTAAGCGTGTTATGTCTACAACCCAACGGGGACACTGAGAGCCCCAAAGGCCCTGCTTTCTTCCCAGAGAACAGCGCCCATCTGCGTAGTTTCTACCTGGCTCTATGAGGTGAGAACACACTCCCCGCTAGCACAGAAATCCTACAAACTCCTGTGGGGGCTGCGCTTGGAAGCAGAGGCTGTGTAAGAGGTGACTTGGGGGTAGGGAAAAACACGAAGATTTTCACACAGGGTGAGAACCCAAGAGACTGGAGACCACGGACCAATCCCTGCAAAAAGCAGCCAGGGTAGAAAGGGAAGAGCTGAGCGGACTTCACGATAGCTAATTTGTGTTACAAAGACGATACGGCTGATGTTCGCTTTTTCTCCTATGGCGTGCAGGCCACATGTTACTTCCTATTCCCCAACCGTCTACTGTAGGATTAACACCTAAGACGCCAACCAAGACACAAACCAATACAAGAAAAGATATGACCCTTGGCGTACAGTCTGTTTTTGAAACTCCAGAAAGTCAGGGGAAAGCGCGAACGCAGTCCCCCACTACCACAAATTATGCAGTCGAGTTTCCCACATTTGGGGAAATCGCAGGGGTCAGCACATCCGGAGTGCAATGGATAAGCCTCGCCCTGGGAAAACCACCTTCGTGATCATGGTATCTCCCCTGCCAGGTAAGTATGAGATCTTGGGCCTCTGCCCCGACACAGCCTCATACGCCTCACTCTTTACACACACGGTCACTTGCCCCGCGCACTCCCGAGCCCTTTCCAGCCCTGACACACAGCTGGGATTCTCACTTCCGATCAGCGGTCCTGAACCCGCTCCCAGGGCACGGGAACTCCTTCGTGGTGAAGCAGCAAGTGGCGAAGCAGCAGCCTCTGCGCTGCCTCATCTACATAGAAGTCGCCCTGTCCGTGATGTCACCGACAGTGCCTTGCCCAGTCCCCGTCTGCCTTTCTGCCACTCAACCGACCAATCTGCTGCCAGAGCCGCCAAAGGGAAGTGACGTCTGCCTCTCCCTTTTTCCCTCCCGCCCCTGCGTCTGTTCTCTCCCAAAGAAGCTGGTCCTTAGCCTGTGTTAAGGAGCAACCTTTCGGTGGCCAGATGGAGCCGGGGCATCCTTCTTCAAATAATGGCTTTTAATTCGCAGACTAGAATGTTTCGGATTACAAAAGAAACCGTTTCTCTTCACATCCTTATCCTTGTGATGCAGCATTCCGCTTGCAATTGGAAGCCGTTTAATATCAGAGAGAAGCCATATTTATGAAAGTAAAGAGGCTGCTCAGATGACTGCAAACCAGCCTTCCTTACTGGTTTTATCACTGGTAATGTTATAAAGACAGTTGTCCAGTTTCATGAATCTTGTAGGTTTTTTTTTTTGATGTTGTTTTTTTTCAAAAATCCGTATTGTAGAAAAATATGCTGTCCCAGAAGAGATGATTGGACACTCTCAAGCGTGGTGCTGGAGTTTGTCATCTCTTGCACAGCCATCTCCACACCTTAGTGCTTACCTCAAGTTAGTTTTTTATATTCTGCAAAGACGAAACCAAAATAATCCAAATTTGACACAAATACCTGGGCTACATCTTATTTGAGATGTTTAACAAATGTCTGGATCATCTTTTCTTATATATTACGCAGGAAACACTGTGAAGTAAGCAAAGTTGGAATGCCCAAGTGAAAGACCATTTGAATATTTACAAGTAGATTTCAGACAGGAATACTACAGGGTGGTCACAGGATAACAAATTCTAGGCAGCAGATTTACATGACTTGAGGCTGTGGGCTGTTAAGACGCTGAAAAACCAGGGTGTGGACCAAGCTGGCTAAGGCTGAGTGGACCCAACGTGGTGCTGGATTGGATGGAGGTTTTACCTAGGCCCTCATTATATGCTCATTAACATACTAAATCACACACCCTCCAGTGCCATGACAGTTCTGAGACCAGTGTTTGATGTAAAAATGGCACCACAGTTCCAAGAAATCTCCACCTTTACCCAGGAATTTTCGTGAACATTCCACTCCTTGGTTAAAGAAACCCATCAAGATGAAACCCCAGAACCCATTATTCTCTCTTGGGTATGCCCAAGCTCCCCTTTCTTGAGAGTGTACTTTTTGCTTTGCAATAAATCTCTTCTTTCACTATCTGCTGACTCATCTTTGACTTTGTTCTCGCGATGGTGTCAAGAGCCTGGACACCACGGCTGGGGTCGAGATCCCACCAGTGTCCAGGGACCTCCCCCAGCCCACCAGTATCAGATTCTATTCCATTGCTCAAATCACAAAACATCGAGTGGAGAGTTCTCCTTGGAGACCATAAAGTAAAGATTCTGTGGCATGGTGGCCAGTTAGGCCACTGGAAGCATGGCAAAATATTGAAAATGAGGGATTAGGTGACAGCGTAGTAACTGCTGAATACTAAATACTTGATCCAGGCCCCATTCCCTGGAGATTGACAGGGAGACACATTGTCCAGGTAGTAGTGGAGAAATGCTTTCTGGGTATCTGACCAGCCTTTGTGGAAAGAACTGGCACCATCCTGCAGATGTAACCGCCTGATGGGTTCTTCCTGACCAATGTACACAAAAATTCAATTCATGGAGACCATGGCACTGCAGGCAAGAGTTTCATTGACACAGGCCAGCCATGACATGTGGGAGACAGAGTTATTACTCAAAGCAATCTCACTGAAGGCTTGGAGGTAAGGGGTTTTTCAAAGATAGTTTGGTGGGGAGGGGGCTAGGGCTTGCGTGGTGCTGATTGTTGGGGATGAAATCACAGGGGCGTGGAAAATGGTCCTCCTGCATGGAGTCAGCTTCTGGGTGGGGGCTAAGGGACTGGTTGATTTTCGGGCCAGATGGTGCCTTCCAGCAGTCAGAAATGCAAAAGCCTGAAAAGACATCTCAAGAGGCCAATCTTAGGTTCTACAATAGTGATGTTCTTCACAGCAGTAATTGGGGAAGCTGCCAATCTTGTGACTTCTGGAATAATGGCTGGTAATTATTTAACGAGGCATACATCTTAGTAGAAATCAGGCCCCTTTCATCCTTCTAACTTGGTAGCCTTTCATTCATTTTACAGGGGTAATTTAGTTTTGGGGAAGGTTATCATTTAAAGCAGCCTTTTTGGCTGTCCTCAACCTTTTTGTCACCAGGGACTGGTTTCATGGAAGACAATTTTTCCATGGAAGGGGGTGGTGGATGTTTTCCAGATGAAACTGTTCCACCTCAGGTCATCAGGCATCAGTTACAGTCTCATAAGGAGTGCGCAATCTGGACCACTCACATGAGCTGTATCACCACTCAGCTCTCACTCCAGCCTCAGGTATCAGCAAGACCTCACCAAAGATTACTGTTTAATTGTCTCTGTGTGTGTTTTTGTTTGTTTCAGGTAACAACTAATGTTGGAACTATGAAAAGCTCTTCTCTACTTTTAACAAAGCTTAGTCACAAACAGTTCCCCAGTTGATAAGAAAAACTAAAACAACAGAACAATTGAAAGTCCGAATCTGCAAGTTCATCTCTGAGAACCGAATTTTACAGCCACTCCAGATTTGTACTCCAAATGGATAGTTTGATTGTAGAAATCACATCCCTTCAGTCTGCCAATGTGATAACTGCCCAAGAGAAAGTGATGCCTACATTCATAGATAATCCCCTTTCCCCCATCCTATATATAACTGGAGTCAACAGCAGCTGGAGGAAAATGGCAAGAACTTGGAATCAAGATTAGGTTAGAATAACACTGCTGTAGACAGTTTATCAGCTCTTCAGCATATGTCCATTTTCCTTGAAGGATGAGCCTTTAGAAACCTCTGACAATAAAGTTTATTTTGCATCCATTCCCTTGCCTATGATTTTTTCATACAAATCACAATTATAAAACTTTCTTGCTCCAGCTAAAAGCAGGAAACTCAATCATGAATGTGTTCACTAAATATATACCACAGAATGATAGCAACCAGTCTGAATGCATCACTTGATTCCAAAATTAAATGTTAGCCCTCAGTGGTGCAACTACATGTATCTCCAACTCTGGAAGCCACAGGCAACATATTCCTGTTTCCTTGCAGGGAAACAGATCTATAAGCAGGGCGGCAGTCTCACACATGTACATTCCTGGGAAACCCAAGGAAACAATGATAGTGACGCAGGGCAGGCAAGCCCCCAAACTGAAAGACTTTTGCTAATGTCGCGATTGGCTTTCTATGTTATTGGAAGACTGAGATCTCCATGAGGAATGAAGATAGGTAATGCCTAAGGCTGAGGCATGACCTCACTGGGTCACCTTAGCTGTGAAGTGAGGTCAGTTGTCACCTTGCAAACCTTTTGGTAATCCAAATCTTGGAATGATTTCTTTAAGAATTTAGACACTTCCAGTACTTTTCCTGTCCTTGTGGGGAAAGCTTCTATCCACCTGTTGAAAGTGCCTATAAATACTAGCAAATCTTGTAGTTCCCTGTAAGGTGGCATCTGGGTTAAGTCTGTCTGCCAGTCTTCACCATGGTATGTTCCTTGGTGTTGTACAGGTTTAAGCAGGGATCGGGGTATGGGGTGGCTTCCTGAGTGGTAACCCTTTTTATAGTTTAGAACAGTCCCTTCCCGAAGAATATTTAGGAAACTAATTTGAATGGAAAATCCCGTCCCAAATGTGAGGAATCATGAAAATGTTTAATTATTTCCCATCTGTCAGCCTCAGGAATAGAGTTTGTTCTTTTCTACCAACCATCCAGAGGGTCTCCCTGGAAGCCTTTTACTCAGTCCCTTTAATTTCCTTAGGGGTATAGTATGGTGTCACTGACACGGATGCAGTACCTGGTAGTAGCGCAGCAGCTTGAAATACCAGGGTTTCCTTAGTTGTGGCCTTAGCTGCTCTTTCCACCAGGGAATTTCCTCTAATAATAAAAGTGTCTCCCTTCTGGTGTCCCCTGCAGTGAGTAATTGTTATTTCTTTGGGAGTTGGACAGCATCTAAAAGTTCCAAGATCTGAGTAAAGTTGTATGGGGCATCCCTTGGCTTTTGATAGTTCCCTTTCCTTCCCTATGGCTGCATGAGCATAGAGCACCAGGAACCCACATTTAGAGTCAGTCAACACATTGACTCTTGAGGGTTTTGGTTTTCTTCTTCTTTTTTTGAAACAGAGTCTTGCTGTGTCGCCCAGGCTGGAGTGCAGTGGCATGATCTCAGCTCACTGCAAACTCGGGGATTCTCATGTCCCAGCCTCCCAAGTAGCTGGGATTACAGGAGCCCCCCACCACACCCAGCTAATTTTTGTATTTTTAGTAGAGACGGGGTTTCGCCATGTTGGCTAGGCCGGTCTCGAACTCCCAACCTCAGGTGATCCACCCACCTTGGCCTCCCAAAGTGCTGGGATTACAGGGGTGAGCCACCGTGCCCAGCTTAAGTCTTTTCATGGTTGGAAGGCCCTAATTAGCGCAGCTAATTCTGCTTTTTGAGCAGAAGTCTGAGAAGGTAAACCCTTGGCCTCAATGATTTCTTGTTGGCTAAGCTTCCTTTCTTACTCCCTCATGAATATAGCTATTTCCATCTCTAAAGCACTCAACATTTGGGTTAGACAAGAGCTTGTCTTCAAGGTTGGGCCTTCTAGAGTAGAGCTCTTCCGTGGTTTCCACACAGGAGTCAATGAATTGGGGAGCTCTTTCTTGAGACGTGAGGTGCAGCAACAGAGTAGCAGGGTTTAAAAATCAGCATATTTTCAGGGTAACATCTCGGGTGTCAAGCAGAAGGGTCTGATATTTAAGTAACTGGCCCTCTGTTAGCCATTGCTGTACTTTTGCCTCTAGGACCCTCTGTACTGTACTTCATGGGGTGGCAGGGGGTGGGGGTGGGGTGGTATGGCATCTAATTGTTGTCCCAAGGTAAACTTAGTGGTTTCTTCTAACAATAGAGTGATGGTAGCCACAGATCTCAAGCTTCCTGGTCACCCAGCTGCCACCTGGTCTAGCTGTTTAGAGAAATAAGCCACTGGTCCAAAGTAATTCCTCAGTCTTTGAGTTAGAAAATCCAAAGCTGTCCCTTGTTATTCATCCACATAGAGGGTGAAAGGTTTTTCTAAGTCTGAGAGTCCTGAGGCAAGGGATGTCCCTGGCTTTTCTTTTAAGGCTAAGAATGCCTTTTGACAGGTTCCAAGCTCCGACTCCTGGGTTCACACCATGCTCCCACCTCAGCCTCCTGAGTAGCTGGGACTAGAGGCACCCACCACCACAGCCAGCTAATTTTTTGTATTCTTAGTAGAGACGGGGTTTCACTGTGTTAGCCAGGATGGTCTGGATCTCCTGACCTCCTGATCCACCCGCCTCGGCCTCCCAAATTGCTGGGATTACAGACGTGAGCCACCGCACCCGGCCAACAATTTTTTTTTTCTTTAATGAACAGAGCATCAGTGAATGATAGTGCAAGTTTAAGACACCTAATAGACAAGTTAAAGGAGTCCTCCAGGCAGAAGGAAAGTGACACGGGATGAAAATCTGGATGAAAAAAAAAAGACACTAGAAATGACATCTACAAAGGCAAATATGTAATTTTAACATCTGACTGTTTAGCCGGGCACGATGGCTCACGCCTGGAATCCGGCACTTTGGGAGGCCGAGGAAGGCGGATCACTTGAGGTCAGGAGTTCGAGACCAGCCTGGCCAATATGGTGAACCTTCCTCTCTATGAAAAATTCAAAAATTAGTCAGATGTGGTGGCCCAAGCCTGTAATCTCTGCTACTCAGGAGTCTGAGTCAGAAGAATGACTGGAATCCGGAAAGCAGAGGTTGCGGTAAGCCAAGACTGTGCCACTGCACTCCAGCCTGTCCGATAGAGTAAGACTCGTCTTAAAAACACCACCACCAACAACAAAAAAACCCAAAAACAAACAAAGAAAAACACATCTGACTCTTGAAACAAAAGTAATAGAGATGGATTGTAAGGTTTATAACAGGTGTAAAGTAAAATGCATGACACTAGCATAAAGGCAGGGAGAGGAGTCATGTGAAGAGGTATGATGCCACTTGAAGGCAGACTGTGATGGGTTAATTTTTGTGGAAAGCAAGGCAGAATTTTTGAAGTTTGTGTCTTCAAATACTTTGTTTCCCATACATACAAGCTAGTTTGTGCTGCAGAGATCTTATTTTCTAGGAGGCTCGAAGGGGGACCTTCTGCTGTCTGTCCTCATGGGATGCACAAGACACAAGGGAACAGTCTTTCACTTTTAAATACAGTGATAGGTCTGAGGAGATAGATACAGCTGCAATTTTTTTTTTTTTTAAATGAGATGCGATTCTCACTGGTCTTGAACTTCTGAGCTCAGTGGAGGCTTCCCCTACGTCGGCCTATCAAAGTGTTGGGATTAATAGGCGTGAGGCACTGCACCCGGCCACAACCACCAACATTTAAAATCACGTCCTTGGGTGGTCTCGAACCACCAACCTTCCGGTTAACAGCCGAACGCGCTAACCGACTGCGCCACAGAGACAACGTCGATTGTCTGTTTTCATCTCTATATACATTAAGCAATCACAAAACCCTAGGGGTTGCCATTCGCTTTCTGCGGGACAACTGTGCAGACTACAAAGCTTCGGAAAACCGGAGAGGCTGAGTCGACTAATCGTCTTGCTGCACGTTAGAAACGCGTGCATTGCGTGACTCTGAAGCCAGGAGGGCGGCCGAATGGCCTTCACCCTGCGTTCACCCTCGCCTGCTTCAGAAGCCAGTGCCTCTGGAAATGCCTGGATCTGCGACCCCAGCCTGAGCCAAGTGGGGCCCAAGGGAAGCTGAACTCCCCGACGGCTCTCACGGTAGCTCTTTCTGTTTTTTTGCGCCGCCTTCAGGCAGTCATCTGCTCCGCTTGCTCTCCCTTCACTCAACTCGGCTTCAGTAGATGGGGTCGGTGGGGCGGGAGCGGGAAAGAGGCAGGGGAGTCAAAAGGGAAAACGTGAAAAGGAGGAGGGAGAAGCAGGGGAGACCAGGACTAGACAATGGGACAGCCCAGGATGCCCGTGCAGAGGGCACCGGCTGGATGCAGAGAAGATGGGACATGTATCAGAATGGAGAGGGGGAAATGGGGAGAAGATGTGAGAGAAAATCACAAGAACCTGTAGCTGCCCAAGAATAAAGAAGTAAAAATCGCATAATGTTTTTACATTAATAAAAATAAAATCGGGGGACCAGGGGCAGTGGCTCACGCCTGTAATCCCAGCACTTTGGGAGGCCGAGGTGGGTGGATCACTCACTTGAAGTCAGGAGTTCGAGACCAGCGGGACCAACTCTACTACAAATACAAAAATTAGTTGGGCGTGGTGGCGCACGCTTGTAGTCTCAGCTACTCAGGAGGCTGAGACAGGAGAATCGCTTGAACCTAAGAGGCGGAGGTAGCAGTGAGCCGAGATCGTGCCACTGCCCTCCAGCCTGGGCGACAATGCGAAATTCTGTCTCTCAAAATATATATTTAAATAAATAATAGAGGGGTGGGGAAGCAAAACGATGGGCAGTAGGTGTGGGGCGCCTTGGGATTCTCTAGTGGTTAGTAGTCTGCATTGTGCCTGCAGCAACCTCTGTTCTAATCCAAATCCTGGTACAGTCAGACTCTATCTTGGACCCACTGGGGCGAACCCACGTGTCTTTTGGTTTGCTTTTGATTCCTGCAGCAGCTGCGGCCTTTATCTGCAGCCAGAAAGCCGGAAAGCAGGGTTTACCGCTGGCCCCACAGCGCCATACTGTCTGGGGAAAAGAAGGAAACCCAAGAGTACACAAACAGTGGCCCAAAGAGAAACCTTCCAAGTGCTCTATGCCTCACCGTTTAGCAGAAAATATCAAGCAACTCTCAACCTAGCTGGTCTGTAGCTTTCACGAATGAAATAATGTATTTATTGCAGTCTTTCTGGTTGAGATATTTCAAATATTTGGTGGAGCTTTTAATGAGAGAGAGAGACACTCTCGAGTGTGGAAGAAAAAATGAGGGGATGTGAAGATGAGGCGACTTTAGGACAGAAAAAAAAAGAGACAAGCCATGTAAACGTTTTCGGGTGGGCGTGAGGCGATGTCAGTCTTGAACCCCCTTATGTCAGGTAAAGAGCGCAGCCTCTTCTAGCACAAACACCGTTTCCCACATGGAGGAAATCACAGGAATCAGCAACTCTAGAGTGCGATGAAGAAGCTTCACTCTGGGAGAACCCCCTTCGTGACCACGGTCTCTCCCCTGCCAGGTAAAGTGGAAATGAGCACATGGCCTGCAGGGACAGCACAGCCTCCTCGCCCTGGCCGGTCACTCAGGGTCACCACCCTCCCCAGTGCCGCCCCTCGCCAGTCTTCCAAACCACTCTCCACCAAAGATTCCACCGACAGTCACCCCACAAGACAACCCAGGGCGCCTCTCAGCAGCGGCTCCCGCCCCGCAGCCACCGCGCCCTCTCACCCCCCCGCGGTTCTGCCCGCCGCCGCTGCCGAGTCTGCGCACTTCACCTCCCTGGCTCCCGCTCTCCCGAGCTTACAGTGGACTCGGGGTTCTTCCGAACCCCTCTTGGGAGTACTGAATGGAAAAGGGGGAGCGTGCGCAAGTGCTTGGTAGAGTGTAGACGTCGTGGGATTTGACTGTGGTACCATCGCTTCGACGTCCTAGTGCTGATTTTTCCACCTGCCTTCTGCTTAGGGCACCGGCAGCAGTTTTCCATCTGTGCCTACTCCACCTGCTGTCCTTGTTGGGTCAGCGAACATCGCCTCCCTCTACCGCTCAAACAGCAAACGGGACCGCCCTCGAGGACCTCACCCGCCGCTTACCCCCCTAACAAATTCGCGGGCATGGCCTCCGGTCGCCTCTTCCCAAGGCCTAACGAGCGCCTTCGCTGGCAACGGAGGTGAGGAGGCTCCGCTGACTGGCTGGTGCCCGTGTCCGGGGCTGCCACAAACGCCACGACTTGGCTTGGCCTCTCTCTTAGTTATTCGCAGCTCAGCCCGATGGGCGTCTCCGGGGTGGCGACAGGAAAGAAGGTGGGCTTATTGGGTGCAGCTCCACGGGGGCTGGCATCTCTGCCGGGCTGTGTACACCTGAGCGAGACGCTCAGTCGCTCTCTAAAGCTGCTCCCGCGGATGACGGACACGGAGATAAACAGGAACGGTGTGTCGTGAGAGGTGGTCCACCAGCACTTGCCCTCCTTCGTCCGGCTTTAACCCCGCTGCGGAGACTGTTCTGCTTCTGGCCCTTGGAGCAGGCCGGCTGACAGCGTAGTGAAGGAAGATTCCTGCGGGAGGGCGGCCAGTGTAAAACAATTCCCTGACCGGGAATCGAACCCGGGCCGCGGCGGTGAAAGCGCCGAATCCTAGCCACTAGACCACCAGGGACTCGCAGGAGGGAGCTTTGTCTCCCTTCTTCTGTCAGAAGCGACAGCTTCCCTGAGCTCTGGGAGGACTTGGGCCTTGTGAGGGTCGCTCTTTGCTCCTGGAGTCTCTCACAAGGCCATTCCCTCCCTGCTTTCTTCAAAAAAAGAGCCTGCAAGCGACACACCGAGGGCTCCGCGAGAGACACCGAGGCCACGAGTCCGGAGGCCTGGAGCGAGTTGCAGCGACCCGGCCGCAGCTCACCACTGGACTAGAGATGCGCCTTTGCGAGGTGGCAGCAAGTGACCAGCCGGTCGTGGGTCGCCAGGTCCGGAGTCGCGCACCAGGTTGCCAGGAGGAGGCGAGAGCGCGGAGGCGCCCGGGGTGAGACGGGGGCACCCTCTGCATCATAAAGGACCCAGACGCCAGCACCCTCAACGTCATAAGGAATCAGACGGATGCGGAAACCGAGACGGGCTGGATGGGAAACTCTTTCCAGGAAGGCTCCGGGGCCCTCAGCTGGTCTCCGACCTTCCCCTGCAACCTGTGACACCTGCCATTTTCCCATCTTAGGCGATGGCAACGCCACCCTTCCGTTTGCTCCGGGCAAAACTTCGAGAGTTCCCTCTGACGCTGGAGATTTTTCCTCAGATCCAAGAGCCAACTGGTCATCAATTCGTGATTTCCCATCGGCTAAGTGCGTGGGCATTGAGCTACACGCGAGTCTCTCCACCTCTGCGGAATGGCTACTTCGGGGTAGGGGAGGGGCCCTCCCGTGGATTGTAAGGTGTTTAGCAGCAGCCGTCGCCTCCGCTGACTAGATACATGCCAGGGGGTTAGCATTCTCCCTCCCCGCTTCCCCCATTCGTGACCTAGTGTCCCAGCGGGGATGGGAGAGGCGTGTAAGGGCGAAGTTGCCCCCTCTTGAGAACCACTGATGCGCGTTGTCCTGCTGTCTGAGCTTGTGCAGAGGACTCTCCAGATGAAGGCTCGGGGTCAATCCAGCTTGAGACCCCCTCGCTCCCCCGCACAGTCGGACCTTAGGATTGGAGATTTTTAACATCTCTGCGTCATGAGATTCGAAACCTTTAGGTCTTTTCTTCCGTTCTGTCCTCCAAATCGGCCTCTTCCGAGCCTGTTGACCAGGGCCAGCCAGGCAGAGGGCTGGGTTCGCTCAACGAGGCTCCTCTCGGCCCTCCTGGAGCTTCAGGCCTCTTTCGGTTGCAGAGAAGCTTTATGGGTCACTTCCTTCGGCATCCCCGGGGGCAGGTGCGCGGTGCCCCTGGAAGAAGAGGGTTTGACCGCGGTTCTCGACCCCCGGTGCCCAACTTCCACCTCGGTGCGCGCGCTCTTCCAGGCTCCTGCTGGTCCCACTCGCCGGGAGTTAGGTGTCGGGTCAGCCTGAGTTCCCGAGACGCCCAGGCCCGGAAGGACACGTAGGGGAAACCAGCTGCTCACTTTGGTCTTGTCCGCAACGGACCCCTTTCTGCCGGGAAAGAAAGGCGGCGAGTCCTGTCCTGTTGGGTAGGTGGAAGAGAGATCAAAGGGAAGACAAGAAATATCCTGGGAGGTTTCCGGATCTAAAGTTACCATGAAGTCGACCTAACCTCCTCTGGAGGTCCTCCCAGTCCTCCCGTGGCTGGCGATGGTGAATCGAGTTTCCGTCTCCAGTTTGCCAAGGCGGACAAAGCTGACACAATGGGCCTGTCCAC
Source organism: Homo sapiens (assembly GCF_000001405.40). Classification (NCBI taxonomy): domain Eukaryota; kingdom Metazoa; phylum Chordata; class Mammalia; order Primates; family Hominidae; genus Homo; species Homo sapiens. The sequence goes on from NW_025791756.1 coordinate 800,194, forward strand.
TATCTTCTTTCATATACACAAAATGTCAGCTCTTCCTGTTTCTGACTGGCAATATCCCGCCTGATGACCAGCTTAGCAAATTAGAGACCCTGCACGGGACTTCATCTCTGTCTTAGTTCGGGCTTCTATAACAATGTACCATAAACTGGGTGGCTGATTCATAACAGAAATTGATTTCTCACAGTTCTGGAGGTTGGAAGTCCGAGATCAAGGTGCCGACGTGGTAGGGTTATGGTGAGGACCTTTGGTCTGGTTGTAGACTGCCACCTTCTCATTGTATCCTCAGGGGGCAGAAAGAGGGCGAGAGAGCTCCCCAGGGTCCCTTTTATAAGGGCATTAGTCCCATTCAGACTAATGGGACTAAATCCAGACTCTGTGCTGAGTGTTGTGGATTTTTTGCATGTTCATCCTCCCCGCAGGCAACTGGAGATGTATTGTCCCCAGAGGGTACAATAGAGAATCTTCCGTCACAAGTCAGCAACCAGCATATGTGAGTGACAGCATGTGTCCCACTCAGAAATGAGAGTGTATTAGTCCGTTTTCATGCTGCTGACAAATACATAACAGAGTCCAGGACCAAAAAGAGGTTTAATTGGACTTCCATTTCCATATGACTGGGGAGGCCTCAGAATCATGGCGGGAGGCAAAAGGCACTTCTTACAAGGCAGCAGCAAGAGAAAATGAGGAAGAAGCCAAAGCAGAAACCCCTGAGAAACCCATCAGTTAGTGAGACTTACTCGCTATCAGGAGAATAGCACAGGAAAGACCCGCCCCCATGATTCAATTACCTCCTGCTCAGTCCCTCCCACAACACATGGGAATTCTGGGAGATACAATTCAAGTTGAGATTTGGGTGAGGGCACGGCCAAACTATATCAGAAAAGGATGAAGTGACAGCATATCCTGATGTGTGTGATGGTTTCATGAGTTATTATCTATTTCAAAATTTATTGCAATGTGTGGAAAAGAACAAGGACTTGTACTATCTGACTTTAAGGTTTACTATAAGCTATTAGACACAAGGCATCAGGAGTGACAAACGGATAAACAGCCTGAGTTAGAAGACCTGAAATTGATCCACAGCTATACGGTCAATAAATGGGTTTTCAATAAAAGCAGTTCAATAAAAGAAAATAAGTCATTTCAATTAATGAACTTCTATATGGATGTGGGGAGACCAACAATGTTATTCTCCCTCACACTACACACAAAAGTAATTTCAGCCGCATTACTTAAAAGTTAAAGATATAAAGCATTTCAAGGATACTTTGTGACTTGTTGGCAGGCAAAGATTAGCCTACCAACAAGCAGGACACAGAAAAAATACATATATAAGAAAGACATGATAAATGAGACTTCATCAACATTAGCCACACCTTCTCATCAAAAGATACCACTAAGAAAGCGAAAAGGCAAGCAAGCCACAGACAGAGAGAAAATACCCACAAAACGTATCTGACCTCCACACCCTGCAATTATAATTATAGTGGTCTGGTACACTGCACCCAGTTTCTGCTGGATGGAGTATGTTCTGGGTGTCTCTAATGAGTAAGAGGGCGGATATTCCTTCAGTTCCCAGATGAACAGTGGGAAAGACTCCACATTGACCAACCTCGGGGGCCTGAAAACCCAGGTCCTCAAGGAGGGTAGAGTATACCTGGACCCTGACCCAGACCCCTGGATGGGCTGTGCCAAGAGACCCAGCAAGGGAAGGGATTTCCTCCTGCCTCAGGTTCTCTGTTCTTCTGTGGTTAGGCCACCTGAACCCAACTCCCTCCCCAAGCACTAGAGATGGGCTTTTCCAAGGGCTGGGGATCTTGCTGTCCTGAGGACAGCTGAGCAAGGGGGTCGAGGAGGAGCTTGGGTTGTGGAGGAGAGGAAACCGGGTAAGATGCGTGAAGCAGTTGGCTATACCAGGCACAGAGAGGACCCGCTGGGACCCAAGAGCCTGCATGTGAAGCCAGGCCTTGGGCCACCTTGTCTGTCAAGGGGGTGCCTACTTCCATGGTGTCTTCAAAGGGACTGTGGAAAGAGAGGCCTTCAGCCCACACCTCTGAATGCTTTTCCACCACAGCATGCCCTGTGGCCTTTATCCTGCTGGTGTGGAACAGTCAGACCCCTGCAGGGCTGCAGAGCCTCTGTACTGGGCGGCATCCCAGCCTGAGTGCCAGAGCTCAGAGGGCAGGCCCCCGAGCAAGCAGAGAGGAGGGCACCTTTTGGACAGAACGTGTGGGACAAGAGCGATGGCTCATCCGTTCAGGTTCCTCACAAAATGAGAGTCAGGAAGATCAGGGCGCCAGCCTGATTTCCCAGGCAGGGCTGAAAGCAGACAACCGGAGGAAGAGCAGCACCTGGGCCAATGAGGTAGAAGACAGAAGACCACAGTGTACTCCTGCCCTCAACCTCACCCCCTCCCACCCACATCCTCCACACTCCCTGACCACCTTCCTCAGAAGTGTAATAGGAATCCAGATTCCCCCTGGCCTGGTTGCTGCAGGAGGCACAGTAGCCTGATGGAGCCTGAGGCAGGTGTGGGAAGATGTGGATTGTCTAACTGGAGGTTGGGAGTCCAGGGTGTAGAAGCAGCTTGGAGTGCAGGATTTGGTGGTACGTGTGTGGCAGTAGGCAAAAGAAAGAGACAACTGGCCGGGCGCGGTGGCTCACGCCTGTAATCCCAACACTTTGGGAGACTGAGGCGGGCGGATCACGAGGTCAGATGAAGACCACGGTAAAACCTCGTCTCTACTAAAAATACAAAAAAGTAGCCGGGCGTGGTGGCGGGTGCCTGTAGTCCCAGCTACTGGGGAGGCAGAGGCAGGAGAATGGCGTGAACCCGGGAGGCGGAGCTTGCAGTGATCTGAGATCGCGCCACTGCACTCCAGCCACTGCACTCCATCCTGGGTGACAGAGCAAGACTCTGACTCAAAAAAAAAAAAAAAGAAAAGAAAAGAAAGAGACAACTGAGCCACTTGAAATACCATGAGAATTCAAATTCAGAAAATTCCCGGGGAACTATGCGTGCAGGCACTCACCAGATCCACAAAACAGCTGCTGCATAACTGCATGTTGCAAGCAAGCCCTAAATTTCTGATTTTGAAACAGCCTGATGGGTTCACAAAGACAATTTCTGAATAGTCTTAAGAGCAGAGGTGCACTAAAGCCACTGTGCCCTGCAGGCCCGGATCCCAGTAAGTTCTTTAAGGAGTAAGTCTTACTTCCATTTATGGAAGATTTTTGGAGTTGTCCTTGGTCACCCCCAGGAATGTTTTGGTTAGGAGTAGAATTTTAGATGTCATCAATTTAAAAATTAAAACTAAAACACTGGAACTCATAGAGAGATAAAATTAAGAGAATACATTCACTATCCTGAGTAGAAAGATTTCTTATAGAACATAACAGGCTTTAAAAATACAGAAAAAATATGGCAAAATTTCATCAAATTAAATGCTTTGAGAACTAAAATTAAAATCCAAAGCCACTCAACCAACTGGACAGACTGCTTCTTGGCCAAGGAGACCCCAGAGAAGTCTTAAATACTGAGTTCCTGCCCAGTAGTTGGAATCTCAGACACCTCTCCTTATACTCTCTCCCTTTGTGGTTTAGACACAACTGACCAGCATTATTGTTAAAATAGAGATCCTAAGACTGACAGAACAGACTCCTTGCAGTAGTAAGATACGGTATGATAAACGAGACCTAAGGCCACGCCAGGCAAGGTGGAGTCATGCGCCCCTCAACTTAAAGAATAAACTATGTTCCAATTGCCACAGGTTTTTTTCTTCTTCCCTTTTTTCTCTAGCTAAACAAGCACTGGCCTTGAGATAAGCAATGCTGAAGCACTTGCAGCTCACCCATTACCATAAACTGACTGAGCCCTCCCTACACAAGCCATAACTACAGCTTTGATTGGACAAGAGACTGATTTCAGTAACTTCCCCTTGATAAGAGAGCACTGGCTGTGGACGGGTTCTGGACGGTTTACAGAGGCTGTGCACTTGACTGCCTTTGTGTCCCTGCTTCCCCTTTTGAAGCATAGGGCCTAATTATAATGTATTTAAATGTCATCTCCACCCCAAAGTGAACATGGGTTGCATGTAACAGGCATGTTTACTCAGCATGCATGCAGCAGGATCCCTTCATGAATATTCAGAGCTCCTCCTATTCCCTGTTGAATATGTATATGTGGCCCACCACATCAACATAAATCCCTGTTCCCCCCTCCCCTCCCTGGAAACGTACTTTTCAGGTTTCAGCAGGAGCGTATGCCTCCCTGTCTGTCGGAATGGCCACCTTGCAGGCTGTAACCATTTATAAAAAATAAAATCTCCCTTCTAAATTTATAAATTGTGTGATTTTTCAGTTGACAGCTTTCAGTCAGACTTTTCACTGACTGGGAAAAGTCATTTGCAATATATTTATTTTAAAAATGACTCCTCAGCATACAAAATTCTTGTGCAAAGATCACAAGCATTCTTATACACCAATAACAGACAAACAGAGAGCCAAATCATGAGTGAACTCCCATTCACAATTGCTTCAAAGAGAATAAAATACCTAGGAATCCAACTTACAAGGGATGTGAAGGACCTCTTCAAGGAGAACTACAAAACACTGCTCAACAAAATAAAAGAGGATACAAACAAATGGAAGAACATTCCACGCTCATGGGTAGGAAGAATCACTATCGGGAAAATGGTCATACTGCCCAAGGTAATTTGTAGATTCCATGCCATCCCCATCAAGCTACCAATGACTTTCTTCACAGAATTGGAAAAAACTACTTTAAAGTTCATATGGAACCAAAAAAGAGCCCGCATTGCCATGTCAATCCTAAGCCAAAAGAACAAAGCTGGAGGCATCACGCTACCTGACTTCAAACTATACTACAAGGCTACAGTAACCAAAACAGCATGGTACTGGTACCAAAACAGAGATATAGACCAATGGAGGAGAACAGAGCCCTCAGAAATAATGCCACACATCTACAACTATCTGATCTTTGACAAACCTGACAAAAACAAGAAATGGGGAAAGGATTCCCTATTTAATAAATGGTGCTGGGAAAACTGGCTAGCCATATGTTGAAAGCTGAAACTGGATCCTTTCCTTACACCTTATACAAAAATTAATTCAAGATGGATTAAAGACTTAAATGTCAGACCTAAAACCATAAAAAGCCTAGAAGAAAACCTAGGCAATACCATTCAGGACATAGGCATGGGCAAGTACTTCATGTCTAAAACACTGAAAGCAATGGCAACAAAAGCCAAAATTGACAAATGGGATCTAATTAAACTTAAGGGCTTCTGCACAGCAAAAGAAACTGTCATTAGAGTGAACAGGCAACCTACAGAACGGGAGAAAATTTTTGCAATCTACTCATCTGTAGTTTCATCAGAATCTACAAAGAACTCAAACAAATTTACAAGAAAAGAACAAACAACCCCATCAACAAGTGGGTGAAGGATATGAACAGACACTTCTCAAAAGAAGACATTTATGCAGCCAAAAGATACATGAAAAAATCCTCATCATCAGTGGCCATCAGGGAAATGCAAATCAAAACCACAGTGAGATACCATCTCACACCTGTTAGAATGGTGATCATTAAAAAGTCAGGAAGCAACAGGTGTTGGGGAGGATGTGGAGAAATAGGAACACTTTTACACTGTTGGTGGGACTGTAAACTAGTTCAACCATTGTGGAAGTCAGTATGGTGATTCCTCAGGGATCTAGAACTAGAAATACCATTTGACCCAGCCATCCCATTACTGGGTATATACCCAAAGGATTATAAATCACGCTGCTATAAAGACACATGCACACGTATGTTTATTGCGGCACTATTCACAATAGCATAGACTTGGAACCAACCCAAGTGTCCCACAATGATAGACTGGATTAAGAAAATGTGGCACATATACACCATGGAATACTATGCAGCCATAAAAAATGATGAGTTCATGTCCTTTGTAGGGACAGGGATGAAGCTGGAAACCATCATTCTCAGCAAACTATCGCAAGGACAAAAAACCAAACACCGCATGTTCTCACTCATAGGTGGGAATTCAACAATGAGAACACTTGGACACAGGAAGGGGAACATCACACACCGGGGACTGTTGTGGGGTGGGGGGAGGGGGAGGGATAGCATCAGGAGATATACCTAATGTAAATGACGAGTTAATGGGTGCAGCACACCAACATGGCACATGTATACATATGTAACAAACCTGCACGTTGTGCACATGTACCTTAAAACTTAAAGTATAATTTAAAAAACGTCAAAACAAGACTCAATTCTTGAATATATAAGAGAACTTTTGTAAGTCAGTAATATAGAGCTAAGCCAAATAAAATAGGGCAAAATATTCGAATAGGCCTTTGCAAAGGAGAGTTTCTTATATGCTGGAAGCCATAAGAAAATATGCTTCATAGGATTGCTCATTAGGCAAATAAAAATTAATTCCACACTGAGATAGCACTACCCACTCACCAGTGTATGGCTACTTTTTTTTTTTTTTTTTCTGAGACAGGGTCTCATTCTGTCACCCAAGCTGGAGTGCAATGCTGCGATCTTGACTCACTGCAACATCCCCCTCCGGAGTAGCTGGGACTACAGGTGCATGCCACCATGCCAAGCTAATTTTTGTATTTTGAGTAGAGACAGGGTTTCGCCATGTTGGCCAGCCTGGTCTGAGAGCATAGCTACATTTAACAAAGTTAGTACACCAAATGCTGACAAGAATTTGGTGCCACTTCAACTGTCATCGCTGGCGAAAAAGCATTCTAGAAGACTGGCAATTTATACTGATGTTAAACTTATACTCAGGTCATGACCCAGCAATTGAAGGACTTCCATGAATCTCAAGTGCACACAAAGACTGTTATAAGAATATTCAGCACAAGAAATCAATAACCCCAAAATTGAGAAGTGATCTATGAAACTACATGGATATATCTCATGAGTATAATGAATGTAACTGGAGAAAAAAGGCCAGACACAAAACATATGTACATTCATTCATGTGAACTTTAAGAACAGGCAATTGTAACCTGTGGGAATAGACATCAGAATAGTGATAACTAAGAGGACACAGGGTGGGAATCACCTGGACAGGGGCTCTAACAGGCCTTTCTCAGATGATGGCAATTTTCTATAACTTGAGCTGGGTGGTGATAACATTGATCAAAACTAAACAAATTGCACTAAAGATTTGTGCACTTTATGTGAACTGTAGCTTCTTTACTGTTCTCATTGCTTGAACCTGGGAGACACAGGTTGCAGTGAGCCGAGATTGAGCCATGACACTCCAGCCTGGGTGACAGAACAAGACTACGTCTCAAAAATAATTATAATAGTAATAATTTACTGTTCTCATAAAAATTAGCAGATGGGGAATGGAGGCAAGCCTGTGCAGACCATGACAACTAGTTTAGATTTTATTGTCAACTCATTAAAAACTCGTTCTCGTTTTGTGTTTTTAAAAAATTCCACTGATACAGCCGTTTTCTCTACCGAAAAAGACTATAACCGCATTATTTCACCAGTGGAAGCTACAGACAAAGGGCCCTTGAGAGGCGGCATCTTCACCTACGGGAATTTTTCCTGCTCAATTGTGAGACAAAGAGCATGTCCAAGTTTTCCTATCGGCCAGGCCGCCCCCTAGTTTCTGCACTGTGGGCTAAACTCCAGAAGCTGGCGCCCTTCAGGGCCAGAGGTTTACTCTGCTCTCTGGAGGCTGCTAGGATTAAAGGCAAAGCAAACGACAGGTCTATTAGCCACAATCGCAGGCTAGAAAACACTACTGTGACTCAGATTAGAACCCAGGTTGTGGCAACCACAACTACAAGTATTAACCACTACACGACCACAAAGCCTGCTGACAAGCATTGCACTTCTTCTATTTTTTTAATGTAAAAACACTCACACTATTTTATCTGCTTTATTCTTGGACGCCACCGATTTTCGTGCTTTTCTCTCTTTCATGCGCTTCTCCTTTTCTCTCCCCATTCTGCTACATAATTTTAAAAAAATCTCATCTCCCAGGATCCACCCACTGCCTCTACAACAAGCCTCCTGGGAGGTCTCTTTGTCCCATTGACATCTCTGCCTTCTTTCGCTGCTTTTTTTTTTTTTTTTTTGACGGAGTCTCGCTCTGTCGCCCAGGTGGAGTGCAGTAGCGCAATCTTGGCTCACTGCAACCTCTGCCTCCTGGGTTCAAGCGATTCTCCTGCCTCAGCCTCCCAAGTAGCCGGAATAGCAGGTGCATGCCACCACATTCGGCTAATTTTTGTATTTTTAGTAGAGACGGGATTTTTCCATGTTAGCCAGGCTGGTCTTGAACTCTTGACCTCAAGCGATCCATCCGCCTCGGCCTCACACAGTGCTGGGATTACAGGCGTGAGCCAACGTGCCCGGCCAAATTTCAGGCCAACACCTGTTGACAGACATTGCCAGACACACGGAATCCCTCGCAGAACACCGATGGGCCCACAAAGCACGCGGAGGCCGCGGCCGCTGACGATGTGAGCAAATTCGGTTCACGGTGTCTGGGGTACAGCCCTGAGGGTCCACTGGCCACCTCTGCGCAAGGACCAGTCCCCGCCGCTCCCCTCATCTCCACGCAGATTCTTCCCCACACACCTTCCCTTTCTTTGGGCCGCTGAAGCCTCTTGGACCTCTGACGTGACTGTCCTGCCCGCAGCTTCTCTCCTTCCAAGAGCGTCATTTCTTGATCCTCTCTACAGTGGCTCAGCAGTAAGCCCAAGGTCCAGCACGCGAATCAGGAACCTGATGATTCTTCGGGTTTGCAGGGATCCGCCCCGTGAATAGATGAAAGTAACAGGTACCAATATCAAAACTGCAGTGACTCACCGGAAAGACTTCGTGCTTGCCACTTTGCTAAGCTGTTTGAGTCCAACAATTGCATGGGTCCTGGGTTAGTGTCCTGAATGTCTCTTGCCGCTACTCTCGTGAGTAATGTTGTCACTTTACCTTGTGATGGCCAAGCCCCTAAATGCACTATTAGGTTATGCAGTATAATTTTGCAGCGTAAAAGATGGGTAAAGGGCCATAATGAAATGAAAAAGTCCCTGCTGCATTGGCCGGGAATTGAACCCGAGTCTCCCACGTGGGAGGCGAGAATTCTACCACTGCACCACCAACGCCTCTACACAACCACATCCTGGAGGATAAGAGAAAAGAGTATCCAAAAAGACTTAGAAACTTCCAACCGCCTTTTTCAAGTGTCGACTAAAGGCTAACAATCACATCCAAACCAAATGTTTTTATAGGAAACTTTTACTAGACAAAGTTATAAATATCAAAATAGCTCATTTGGTGGATCAAACTCTTAAGTCTGAAAAAGGTCTTTCTACCTGCATTATAAACCCCTATAATAAAACATCAGAAATTCATTCATGTTTTTCTAATCTTAAATCTTCCATTGTCAATCTCAAACTGCTGCCTTAGAGGTTCTGAGAAGGTAACCTAACTGGTAGTTTAGGTAAATAAAGTTCAAATCCAGGGAGGAAACAAGAAGCAGAAGCAGAATTAGAAGAAAGACGAAATAAAAGGACAGAATCAATGTACAGATAATGAAGAAACAAAGGTTGGTCCACTAAGTTAGTCTTTTGTCGCTGGTTTTTTTGGCAAAAGAGTAATGATCGGTCTCGTAATCATTATAATACTATTATTTGTCTGCTTGAAGATGTATAAAGCATTTGAAGGAAATGTGATGTGAAAAGATTAAGAACCCTTGCCGTCAATGTTTCCTTGTTTGGGAGAATCCCATTTCCTAAGTTAATATGCTTTGATGTATTAGCTATGAAAGGAGTAGACTAGTTTAAGGAAATATTGACGGTCAAAATATTAACATATTCGTCTTTTGATGAAGTTCAAATAGTAGAGAGATTTCTTTCCTCAATTTTCAACGGAGACATTCAACTGAAGAGACAAATCCAGAGTTTTCCCCACATGTTGGGTCTGGGAGTCATTATGACTTTTTCAAAGACAGGAGCTGTGACATGGAATCATGCTTCTTCTCTAGCTGAGAAGCCAAGCTAGGTCTAGGCTGCGTCATAAACTTGAGCCCACCAAGGAAATCACCCTTCACATTGACCTCGCAGAGCTTTGGCTGTTCTCTGTTCTTTGCCCAACACCCAAGACACACACCAGCTCTGGCCAACAAACCTTAACATATGATCTATATCCACCAGAGCTATATTTATTCCCAAATCTCCTTCTAAAATACAAACCTGTACTTTCTACTCTCAACTTCTAAATTTACAAAGGCCTCATATGCATCTCAGAGTCATAGATGCTAAAACTTAACCGGTTTTCTGAGGATTATTTGGGGAAGGGGTATGCATTCAAAATCTTTTGTATGTAGATAATTCGTGTGGTTTCAGATTATTGACTCTACGAGTTCCAGATGCAGATTTAGAACCTTTTAAAAAAATATTTTGTTTTTGTCTCGCAAATCAGCCAGATCTGAAACTTATCAGAGTAAAGCGAAGCCCAGCGGGACACTTAGGAAATGCATTAAGATGTCATCCACTTTCAGTGTCAGCCTATGAAAATTCAGGCGACAGAAGAGAATGAAGAGAATCTTAAGGAATTTCTGGAACCAAAGCTAACATTAAGCAGGCCTCTTGCTGGCAGACCAGTGGAAACTGTAGCCTGGTCAACAATCTGTCTAGATTGAGGAGGTCTAAAGTGTAGCCACAGGTTCAACTACTTTTCTGTTTGTTTCCCAACCTCGATTAAACTCACTAAATTTAGGGACAAAAAGAAAAACCAAAAAACCATGTTTCCCTCCAGTCTCGAGCCAAGGGTCTTTCACATGTGAGGCAAACATGATAACCACTATACTACAGAAACTGCACATACACTGGAAAAGGCAAAACATAATCATGAAAATCTGAGGTCAGCCATTTCTATTATCGTTTCCAAAGTAAGAAATTCAACTGCATTTTGAAATTCGACTGAAAAAAGCCCAATAAGCACCAGCCATCAAGAAGACTATGGCTCCCAGTAGGCCCAGGCTTAGCGTTCCGCACCTACCCCCAACACGAAGACCACGGGGACCCACACCCAGGCTTCGGGATCCCGCATCCTCCCCCGGGTATCCAGTTCCAGAACTAAGCGCCGTGTGCGGGATCCTTCCGGCTGACACTCTTGGCTCCCAGAAGCTCCAGAAGCTGCAGAAGCCGGCGGGCTTTGAGCTTCCGAGCCCCGGGCGCCCCGTGCCTCGCAGGAGTGTGGACGCCGCCCTTCCAGGGATGCGGACCCCGCCTCGGGGCCTTTTCCCCGGCGCCAGCTGTCAGAGCTCTTGGCTCTTCGCGTCCTCCCAGGAACCGTAGGACCCTCCTTGCCCTCCCTTCCGCAGGCCGAGGGGCGCGAGCTGCGGGCTCTTTCCTCACGGACCCTTTGGCCTCAGCGCCTCGACGTCTTTCTCCCAAAGGTCATCCTTCACTGCTGCTGTCTCTTAGTCTGCCCCACTCAATTTAAGTAATAGTTAATCACACTTCCAGATTTCAGCAGGTACCGTAGCAAAGGCTGTGTCTCAGGGCACTTGGCTGTTTGAAAATATGGGCACATCAACTCAGGCCAAGCCACCGAGTACAAAACCCTGGAAGACCCGGGGGCAGCCCACTTAGATTTCACGATCGCTCCTCTCTCCCTCGTCGGTCTTCTGATTCTTCTTGAAGGGCAGTTTCATTTTACCCTTTACAAAACTGAAATGTCTTATATGTGCTTTTTGTAATTTTTCTGTTCAATAAGGTTTTGGAGTGCGGATTTTAACCTAAGAGGGACAAAGAGATAAAGGCGGTTTTCACAGAAAGCGTCTCGATGGATTTTCACGTTCACCTGGCAGCAGATGGCCAACAGGCAGAAAGAGTCTCTTTTTGCTTGAAGACATTAAAATCAATCTCTCTCCCCCCCCCTTCCCCTCTCTCTCTCTCAATGCCAAAAATTAGCTTCTTGGGAGGCCGAGGCAGGAGAATCGCTTGAACCCGGGAGGCAGAGGTCGCAGTGAGCCGAGATCGTGCCACTGCACTCCAGCCTGGACGACAGAGCAAGAGTGTCTCAAAAGTTTGGAGAAGAAGGTGCCATTTTCCCTAGTTGCTTTTCTTATTGCAGTGGTGACCGCATTGCCTTCAAACCTGAAGTCCGAGTGCTTCCACCCTGGGGAATATGCAGACCGCTGGGTCACTGGACGCCAGGCCGCGGTGCTGGCCTAGTTCTGCTTTTGGCTTTCAATGCAGTCGGCGGAGGCGACTGGACCTCACCAGAGACTGGTGGGATGTTACCCTCACCAGCGACTGGAGGGCCGAGCTCCCAAAGAGGCCTACTTCATGATAGCCTTGAATCAGGAAATTTCATGAAATCCCACCCCTCTACTGCCCCATTCCCATATTCTATCTCCTCCCCATATTCTATCTCCTCCCCTGCCCACTCTGAGAGGATTCGCCGCCTTTCTGTCGCGTCTGGACCCTTTGGAGTCCCACATGGACAAGACAAAAGGGGCACTGCCTTTTCCTACAGGAGCGGGAGGAGCCCTCACGGCGGAGGAAACACAGGCTCACAGAGCGCATCCCCACACACCTGAGCCCTGCCAGGTTCCAGAAAACCCAACAAAGCATTCTCTGAAGCTTCTCTTGGATATGTACCCAGAAATAGGGTTCCTGGATCATAGGGTAGATTCTATTTTTAGTTTTTTGAGGAAACTCCATACTGTTTTCCACACCAGCTGTACTAATTTACATACCTATTCACAATGTGTGTGTTCCCTTTTCTCTGCATTATGTCTAACACATCATTCACCTTTTTGATAAATGCCACTCTAACAGGTGTGAGATGATATTCATTATGGTTTTAATTTGCATTTCCCTAATGATTAATGATGCTGAGCATTTGAGAAAAGCTAATTTTTAATGCCTTAATGTTGAGAACTGACAACATTGTTGTGAAAGATAGGAAGCAATAAGGTAAAAACAAAACAATGTCATTCAAACAGGATATCAGATTTGCACATAGGCCTTTGTGGGGCAAATGGGAACCCAGCGCACAAAAAGTTGAATTATATGGAAGCAATATCACAAATGAGTTAGGAAATGTGAAAAAAATAACCAATAAGAGAGATATAATTAAAAATAGACCTAATGGATTCACACTATCACTACAAATACTGGAAGCCCGGGGGTTTCATTTGGGGGAAAGAAATATTTGCTTTCATACACGATCAAAACTAATGAAAAAGCTAGATCCTGAGTTACTTTTCAGGCCTTTACGTTTAAAACTTAAAGTTAGCCAAAGAAAGTCCACTTTGAGATGGAAATATGAAAACCCGAATTAGCCTGGGGAAAAATCAGACCCCTAGGCACTGTTTGATTTTCTCACTTTAAAGTGGGAAATTAGATCAGATGTACCTTAAGGTTTTTCTGGTGTTAACACTCATGGTTCATCATTTTTTTCTTTTTAAAGAAAATAGGTATATTGAAACCAATAGAACAAGATAATATATATTCAGAAGGCACTTTAATCATGGGTAAACTTCATGAAAGTTAGACATTATTTTTAAGCAGAAGGAACCCTTAAGGCCTAGAAAAGAATAATGCTGTGCCCACACTCAAGACTAATGGCAAAGTGTGTTTTAGTTAAGTTACTTGGAAAGAGTTTATATAGAATGACAACATCACATAGTTTAAATGAGGGGTGGGATCATAAGCTTTCAGAAGTAGCTTTATTGGGTCCCCCTTCCTTTATTTTGTCACAAATGCTAGGGGGGCACATATGGAGATGGCCACCAGCCTGATTAAGCCTGCCAACAGAGTCTTAGAGACAGACATTCCCAAGAGCCTGTCAAATCTCAGGTTCACAAAGCCCAAGGAAGATTGGGTGCCTGGGAATTGAGCGGCTTTGTCTAAGGATCTTTCTTCTTTGACCTGGGTGCACATGTCTTCACAACCTCAACTGCTATGCTACTGAACGCCATTGCACATGTATACTGTGAATCGACCCTACCACAAACCTGTGACCTAGATTTGAACATACTTTGTTACGGGGAACAGCAAAAGTCAGTGGCTTTGCAGCAACCCCGACAGCTCTGTCAATCGTTGATCCATATAAGCTGTTCAGGGCCCTGCTCTGCTTAATGTATTGGTGACCTGAAGACCTGAATGGAGATGTAAAGCATATAATTAATTCTACAAATCATCCCCAATCAGGGGGCCACTACATGATTTGTGGAAATGCACATCGAATATTTGGATGACTTGGATAATGGGGGAATGATTCAGTATAGCCACAATGAATTTATAAGTGACAATTACAAGTCACAATATTTATAGAGATAAAAGAAAACAGCATGACCCAGCAACAGCTGTGGGGGAGGGGTGGAAAATTCAGAGGTCGAAATTGACCCTAAGTTAAGTAAAAGCTCCAAATGCTGCCACCGAGAAGGAAAAGAAGCCAATGTGACATTGGGACGTAGTAAGATTCATATTGGACAGACAGGCAGGAACTCCTTGTACTGAAGTAATTAGTCATATGATAAGTGGATTATCATACTCAGATTTTGATTTGCACCCTTTTAAGAGCACAGGAAAAGACCAAAGATAAGCCCAAAATGAACAATAACAAAGTCTAAAAGTGAACAAGTTCCCATTTGAGGAAAAGCGATAAGATCTGCTTTAATTAAAACATTGATGAATAACTTCAAGAGTGTCCTCGAGAAATAGAAAGGTGCTGGGCAATTGTTCCTGCCTCTGTTTCTTCCACATGCTGAGATTTGTAGAGAGAGTTTGTCCGGCAGCATCGGCACAAGGATAATAACCAAAAAGTGAGGTTGGCTGCTCAGCAGGGTGGCTTCACCTCCACCTCTCAGTAGCTGCAGAGTGTGATTCTTCTACTGCCAATGAAATAGTTGGTGTTGGCAGGGCACGGTGGCTCACGCCTGTGATCTCAGCACTTTGGGAGGCTGAGGTGGGCAGATCATGAGGTCAGGAGATCGAGACCATCCTGGCTAACATGGTGAAACCCCGTCTCTACTAAAAATACAAAAATAAAAAAATTATCCAGGCGCGGTGGCAGGTGCCTGTAGTCCCAGCCACTCGGGAGGCTGAGGCAGGAGAAAGGCGTGAACCCAGGAGGTGGAGCTTGCAGTGAGCCGAGATCGCACCACTTCACTCCAGCCTGGGCGACAGAGCGAGACTCCATCTCAAAAAAAATAAATAAATAAAATAAAATAAAATAAGAAAAAAGAAATAGTTGGTGTTGTCTTCCCTGCGTAGCTCCACCTTATTCTAATTCTGTGACTGGGTCTGCTGACTTTCCCCAGTGCCCTGAGTCCTCCCTCTCAGCTGCCCTTGAGGGAGTCGGAGTTACAGGCAGGGCCTCAGGCTTTGCACCCAGATATCTTAAGCCATCATCTCCCGCCATCCAGGACTCAGGTGTTGCAGAGCTGATGGAGCTTCCTGACTTGTGACAAAACTCGCAGGACCCTGTCTCCTCAGGAAGAGAAGAATCACCACATTCACACCCTCCAGCCCTGTTTCAACCTCGTTTGTTTGCATTTGTTTTTAATTTCTTATGTGCTTTTCTCCCTCACCATCTCTGGATTCTCTTCGCCTCTATGGGGAAATTCCTCCTGCTCATTTGGTGTGTCCTTCCTACCCAAACCAGTCCCCAGGGCCCTTATTGCCTGACTAAGGCACTGAGGTTGGGTTGCTGGAGGCGCACCAAGGTGGAGGTCTCTGTTCCCACGTGACACCTAGGAAGGGTGGAGAGAGAGGGGGCAAGTGTTGGATGCAGGGGCTGCCCCCCAATCCTGATGCTAGCTTGGTACAGCCCCACAGCCCCCCTTCCTGGCCCTGCTCAGCCCAGTAACCCTGTGTCACTCCTTCAGGCATTCCCTGAGCCCCTGGGAGTCAGGGCTGTGGCCCTGGGCCTGGAGCCAGTCTCCTGCCATGACAACCAGGTGCCTGTCGTGTAGGCAGCTCGCAGTCAGGACCTGCAGCCTCTGAAAACCCTGCACGGTGCTGCCTATTGGCTACGTACGGTTCAGAGAGGGCCAATTAGTTGCCCAAGGACAGAAGCAGGACTCAAACCCAGGATCCGCTTGACCCAAAAAAACCATTGCTGAGTGAGGCCTGGCCAATTCTTCCAGGGAAGACAGAGAGCACAGAGCTACCTTCCAGGCCTGTGGGAGTCTGGGAGCGGCCCAAGCCAGGGGCCGGGCAGCAACAGGCTTTAGGACTTGAACCCGCTCTCCTCCCACAGGACAAAGACAATTCTGGTCCCACAGTCTTGCATCTGACTACCCGCTTTGGCCACCCCGAGGTGGTGAACTGGCTCTTGCATCATGGCGGTGGGGATCCCACCGCGGCCACAGACATGGGCGCCCTGCCTATCCACTACGCTGCAGCCAAAGGAGACTTCCCCTCCCTGAGGCTTCTCGTCAGGCACTACCCTGAGTGAGATCACTCCTCTTAAGGGGTCCTCTGGGTGGGCCGGGCCAGGGCTTTGGGGGATGCCTGGGATTTTCCACACTTCTCTGGCACTCCAGGGCAAAGATCCCTCCAGTAGCCATCCTGGGGCCAGAGGGCCAGGCCAGAGAAATGGCTCCCACTCAACATGAAATCTTCCCCTCCTGGAAAACCCCTTCTGGGGCTGCCCCCAGAGCCCTGCAAGCAGGTGCTCCCAACATCCTCAGCTGCCCGGCCGCACGCAGCTGGACCTGGGAGGCTGGGCACACAGGCCAAGGTCACCTGTTCCCCTTGGGCTGCTTCTGCCGCAGGGGCTCTCTCTGGCTCAGGCTGTGCTCACTTGCAAGACTGTTCAGAATGGAGTTGGGGGCAGCAAGGGCAGGAGCGCCTCCTAGGCCCTAGTCAAACAGGCAGAAAGGGAACCCCATTAGTTACCAAGCAGTTAAGGGAGAAAGGCCCCTCCCCAACCCCCACCCCACCTCCTGACCCCAGAGCCCCTGGCTGGAGGCCATCCAGAAAGCAACTTGTTATCTCCTGTGGCCCCTCAGCCCGTTCCCACTATCAAGGGAAGCATGGGGATCCCAAACCTCCTGGGGAGTGGTCTGGGAGCTCCCCCGGGTGGGGTGGGGGGTCGAACAGAGCAGGTGGCATGTGTGAGTCTTGGGGAGGGAGGAAGAGACTCAGGTCTTAGGTGCGCCTGGGGAGGCAGGGATCCTGGGAAAAGCTGCCCAGGCCCTGTCTGAGAGGGTAGGGTGCCAGATGCCACAGGGGTCTGAGCGGGGAGTGGGTTACTCTGATGGGTGACCCTCGTTAGTCTAAGTGGGAGCCTGAGATGGAAATGTGAATGTGGACCCAGCCTCAGGACGAGAGCAGCTACGAGGTGAGAGGGTCTGGCCTGTCCCCACCACTGGTCAGTTTCTGGGTGTGCCTGCAGGGCCCCTGGCCACCAGGGAGCAAGCTGGAGGCCAGTTCTGGCCATATGGCCATGTGGCAAGGTAGCCACAGCTGCAGCCTCTTGGGCCCAGGCACACTGGCGTGGATGTAGGGTGGCCCTAGGACCCACCAGGCCGGGCTCCAGTGGTCCCCTCGGCCCAGGACAAGGGAGCTGGGCCTGGTTCCATCCTTGCTAAGAAGGGGCTCCCTGGTTTGGTTAGTGGGAGACCCAACAGGCAGCACCCGGAGGAAGGGGTGCTTCACAACCAGCCCTGCCAGGCCTTCTTGGTGGCTGCTTTGGTATGAATTCACTGCTTCCAAACAAACTAGGGTTTGGATCATGTCAAAGTCAGTGGGATTTAGACTAGGAGGGACCCAGGGACCCTTGAGTAGAGGGTTCCAACTGGCTCCTGTCAACACCTCTTGGAGGCTGTCCCAGATTCCTGAGTTAGACTCTCCAGGTTGGGGCCTGGGAGCCACACCTGGGACATGTCCCCACCCTCATGGCGGTGATTCTGATGCACCTGTCCCACCCCCTCACTTCAAGCAGAGGAGAAGGACAGGTCTTGAGAGGGGCAGGTGCCCCTGATGGCGGGACCAATATGGCCCAAGTGTGAACTGGAAGACGCTGAGCCCGCCTTATGCAAGTGCTGGTGGGGACCGCCGGCCCCTAAGCCTTCCTCACTGAGAAGCCACGATCCCTCCGTGGGCTGGATCCCAGGTGTTAGGAAGACTGGCTGTGCTGTGGAACGCCCTCCAGGGCTCCGGGGCTGGGGAACCCTGACCCCCTCCCAGGCCATGCCAGGTGCTGTGTGTGATTGGGCGCTGGTGCCGACCCAGTGGCCAGATGGCCTGGACTGATGAGCTGCCAGCCCCCCAGGAGTCACCATGAATCTCAGGGAGGTGGACAGAGGGCTTGGGCTCCGTTCCCCACAGCAGCATGTGACTCGACTGATAAGAAGGTGTCTTTCTGTGGTTGCCAGGCTGGGCTTATGCAGGAAGGGCAGCTGGGAATTGGGGTTGGGGGCTGGGGTACCCACTTAACCTCCTATCTTGGGGGTAGGGATTCCTGCTCACCGAAGCTGTGGATATGAAGGCTGGGAGCTGGGTAGGGCAGAGGCTTGAGCTGCCCCAGGCCACAGGGCCCAATCAGGGCACCCAGGTGGCCCAGCTTCATGCTCTTGCGAGCCTCTGGGGCCTGCTGTGAATTGCTGTGAATTATTCACAAGGCTCAGCTCTCTCGCTGGCGCGTGGGTGAGTGCTGAGGGAGGAAGGGCTCCCGGACCTGCTGGTGGGAAACTCGATCCTGCCCAGGGAGGGGCTGTGGGTGGCCATGAGACATGGAAGTGACACGCTGCAGAGGAGCTGGAAGGCTGGACAGCCTCGGGGAGGCTCAGCTAATTCCAGGGCTACACCTTGGGGTGTTATAATAGAAAGTGCTTGAGATTGCAGGAATGTCCTGCACGTCCCCCACACCTCCCCGTCTATCCCGTTCATGGGGCCAAGTCTTCCCAGAAGCAGAGGACTTGTCACAGTGACCTCGGGGCTGCTGCCACGTGGGACCCTCCCTCTGAGCCCTTGTAGAAAAGGGATCTCTCATACAAAATTAGCCGGGTGTGGTGGCGCGTGCCTGTAATCCCAGCCACTCAGGAGGCTGAGGCAGGAGAATCGCTTGAACCCGGCAGACGGAGGTTGCAGTGAGCCAAGATCGCGCCATTGCACTACAACCTGGGCAACAAGAGTGAAACTCCATCTCCAGGTGGGGAAAAAAAAGAAAAAGAAAAAGGACCTCTCAGTTGGGAGGTACGGGGCTGGCAGGAGCTGGGCTGGGCAAGTCCCAGGCTCTGGGTCTCAGGGAGATTGAGTTGGGAGGGTTGGCCCTCCCAGCAGGAGCTCCAGTGGCTGATGGAGGGGAACAAGGGGTCCAGACCCCCATTCAGGGCAGAGTGAGGAGGCGCGAAGAGCAGGTGGCCCCAAGGCCAGTGGCCACCCTCCCAGGAGGGTCCTGGAGCCCAGGAGCTCACTCTGCCCCCCTCACACCTGCTTCTGGCTGTCCCAGGGCCTGAGCAGCTGGACAGGGCTGTGTGGGTCGGGGAGCTGGGGATCAGCTGGGACCCTGAGGCTTGAGCTTCCAGGCTGGGGAGTGAGGAGGCTCCAGTCTCTTCCCCTGGGCTCGTGGGTGCTGCCAGTCACAGCAAGCTGGAAAACCAGTTAGCCCAGAGATGTTATCAACTTCAGCAGGTGCCTCCTTCCCCCAAAGCCTCCCCTACCCCTGACCAGACTAGACTGGAATGGGATTGGAAAGTACCTGGGGCTGGGTATGGTGGCTCACGCCTGTAATCCCAGCACTTTGGGAGGCTGAGGCAGGTGGATCACCTGAGGTCAAGAGTTCAAGACCAGCCTGACCAACATGGTGAAACCCCGTCTCTACCAAAAATACAAAAATTAGCTGGGTGTGTGGCTGGGCTATGCCTGTACAGGTGGCACATGCTTGTAATCCCAGCTACTAGGGAGGCTGAGGCAGGAGAATCGCTTGAACCAGGGAGGCGGAGGTTGCAGTGAGCCCAGATCATGCTATTGCATTCCAGCCTGGGCAACAGAGCAAGACTCTGTCAAAAAAAAAAAAAAAAAAGGAACGAATGAAAGAAAGGAAGGAAAGAAAAGAAAGGAAAGAAAAAGGAAAAAGAACCTGGTGCTGAGTATCTTCTAGGGGTCTGGCACCACCCAGTGTCATCTGAGTCACACAACCACCCCGAGCAGTAGCTATGTAATCAGCCCATTTTACAGATGGACTCATTCAACTAATGTTTATTGAGCATCTTCTATGTGCCAGGCAATATTCTAAATGCCAGTGATATGCTGGTGAACCAGACAAGCGTCCCTGCCTGGTGGAGCTGACAGGTACAGAAATGGTGTTTTAGAGAGGCTGATTCACCAGCTGTGGTCATCACTGGCTTGCTGTGTGGCCTTGAGCAGGCTGTACCTCCTCTCTGGGTCTCTCTCCCACTCCTGGTCCAGGTCCTAATCACTCAGGGCCTTTCAAGTCCACTGCAGACTTCCCCTTTTCCCTTCCTTTGTGCAAAGCTTCACGGAGTCTGGCTGCTCCCACGGCCCAGGGGTTCAGGCAGCCCCCACCTGGGACAGAAAGGGAGTTTGTTGGGAAGCCCCTAGCAACTCTCAGCTTAGAGAGCCCCAGGGCCCAGGGCTCAACTCTCCCCCTTAGAAGGCTGGAGGCTCTGCCTGGGGTGGTCCCTGATTCTGCCACAGGCCGTGGGGGCTCATTCCTTTTTATCAGCAGCCCCAGATCTACCCCTGGTGTCTGTCAGTTCACCTGGCTGCAGGGCGTGGGGGCGGGGCCTGTGTCCACACTGAGGAGGTGGCTGCCGTCCTTGACTCCCTGACCCACGTGGAGGCTCTGGGAAAGGAAGGGCCTGGTGGAGTCCGGGGAAGCCCCTCACAGCAGGAGACCATCTCGTGTCTCCACCAGCAGCTCCTGGTCCCAGCTGTCATCTAACCGGGGCTAGTGCTCCTGCCCTACCCTTCTAAGGGGGAGAGCTGAGCCTTGGACCCTGGGGCTCTGTAAGCAGCACGCTGCTGGGGCATCCCAGGGCTTCTGAGAAACCCCCTTTCTGCCTCACGTGGGGGCTACCTGAACCCCTTGGGCTCAGCTGGGCCCAAGGCTCTGTGAGGCTGTGCACTACAGAACGGAAAAGGGGAAGTCCTCAGTAAGCCTGAAAGGCCCTGGCCTTCACCCGTCCATGTCCACCCGCAGCCTTTGAAAACACAAGTCCTGCTGGGTGTGGTGGCTCACACCTGTAATCCCAGCACTTTGGGAGGCTGAGGCGGGCGGAACACGAGGTCAGGAGTTCGAGACCAGCCTGGCCAACATGGAGAAACCCCGTCTCTACTAAAAAATACAAAAATTAGCCGGGTGTGGTGGCACGTGCCTGTAGTCCCAGCAACTCGGGAGGCTGAGGCAGGAGAATTGCTGGAACCCGGGAGGCGGAGCTTGCAGTGAGCCAAGATCGAGCCACTGTACTCCAGCCTGGGCGACAGAGCAAGACTCCGTCTCAAAAAAGAAAAAGAAAAGAAAAGAAAAGACAATGCAAGTCCTGGTCTGGTGCAGTGGTTCATGCCTGTAATCCCAGCACTTTGGGAAGCTGAGGCGGGCGGATCACAAGGTCAGGAACTTGAGACCAGCTTGGCCAATATGGTGAAACCCCGTCTCTACTAAAAAATACAAAAATTAGCTGGGCATGGTGGTGGGTGTCTGTAATCCCAGCTACTCAGGAGGCTGAGGCAGGAGAATTGCTTGAACCCGGAAGGCGGAGGTTGCAGTGAACCAAGATTGCGCCACTGCACTCAAGCCTGGGCGACAGAGCAAGACTCCATCTCAGGGGGAAAAATAGTTAGCCGGGTGTGGTGGCTCCCGCCTGTAGTCCCAGCTGCTTGGGAGGCTGAGGCATAAGAATCACTTGAACCTGGGAGGCAGCGGTTACAGTGAGCTGAGATTGTGCCACTGCATTCCAGCCTGGGCAACAGAGCAAGACTCCGTTTCACACAAAAAAAAGAGCACCTCCCGTCACAGGCTTCTGGCCACTGACAGGGAATGCTGCTCACTTCCTTACAATGGCCCAGAGGCTGTCCCTCCTCCGGGCTGTGGTCCCCTCCAACAGGCCAGCACCCCTGCCTTCACAGAGGCTGATCCCTCTGCAGGGATCAGAGATCCCCGCCTGCTCCCTGCCTTCCTGCAAGTCTTTGCCCAGACCTCACCTCAGCAAGGCCAACCCTGAGCCTCGCTGAAACTGTCACCCGCGCCCATGATGCCCACTCACTTTCCCGCTGGCCTTGTTCCCTGCTGCCCTTTTCCTTGAGACTCGACTCTTGCTCTATTGCCCAGGCTTGAGTGCAGTGGCACAGCTCTCTGTAACCTCCACCTCCCAGGTTCAGGCGATTCTCCTGCCTTAGCCTCCTGAGTAGCCAGGATTATAGGTGCATATGGCACCACACCTGGCTAATTTTTGTATTATTAGTAGAGATGGGGTTTCACCATGTTGGCCAGGCTGGTCTCGAACTCCTGAACTCAGGTGATCCGCCCACCTCGGCCTCCCAAAGTGCTGGGATTACAGGCATGAGCCACTGCACCTGGCCTCCCAGCCGCCCTATGGTTGCCTGGCTTTGCGTTCTGTGTGCATCCTGCGTGACAGCCGGAAGCTAACCCCTAGGAGAAGCCCCTGAGACAAATTCCATTTCTTCACTCCCTGCATGCCCGGATTTCTGGCTGGGCCCTGCATCACACAGACAGATGTGTGTTTTCATCCCGTCTGTCCGTGACTAATAAGGCCAGGGGCTTTGTCTTCCCGGCTCTGTATGCCCAGAGCCTGACTCCAGTAAACATCTGCTGAATGAGTGGGGCATGGAATCCCAGGGACTTGTCCACTCTGCCTACAGCTCATTGCATGTGACCCTAGACAAAACTCCCCTCTGGGCATTTCCGAGCCTATCTGGCAAGTGGATCTAACCTGCTCTACCAGGCTGCGGCCATGAGTGAAGAGACATCCCCTACTCCTGGCCTGGATGTCCCTTCTCATATTTATTCATTCAACAAACAGCAAGTGGGTGCACTCAACTGCCCGGCCTGTCATCACGACAGCCACACATTCTTCTATCCACGTGTGTATGGGTCTGAGGAATAGGAGAACAAGATAATTCAGGAGTGGCAAGTGCTATATAGTGAAATGAGGAGTTTGGTAGGAAGCGATGGGGATGGTTCTTTAAGTTGAGGGGTCAGGGAAGCCAGGCATCTTTGAGGGGAGGAGAGCTGAGAACCTAATGAAAAGAGGGTCGGCCTCGCAGCCCTGCCGTGATGGAACTGGCAGTGATGTGGGGAGGTGTAGAGGCCTCAGGTGGGGTCAAATTTGGCCTAATTACGGGCCAGGAGGAAGACCTGGGAGGCTGGGAGAGTTGCAGGCAACTGTAGGCTTCTGGAACTATTCCATGCTAGCTGATGGGCTGGGGTGTAGAACCTTTCTCAAATCGGGGCTGCATTTATTTCTTCCCTGGGCCAGGCCTACTTGGGAATCTTTTAACATAGGCCGGGAAGTTTGACTGGAGGACACCGAGAGCCGTAGATCCACCAAAGGCTCCGTGAATTTCAATTGAAAGCAGTCACGGGCCACAACCAGACTGATCCTCGGAGGGACAGCCTCTTCCTGGCCTCCCTCTGGGGAGGCGTGACTGGCAGTGGGGCGGGCTGCGGGAATCATTCTGCAGCCCGACTCTGGCTCCATGGGCAGCTCACTCCCTGCGGCGGCGCTGGCAGTCAGCTGGCACCAGTCTCCGCCAGAGATTCCCACAGCCCACACGGGGGACCCATGTTTCTTTTGTGTAATCAGAGGTGACTTGATGAATAGTTACAGTTCATCCATAGCATCTTTGTTCCCAGGAGAAAGAAAACAAATCATGATTTATACGATCATCGCCAGGGCGCCTCTGACCTACAAAGAGGGTTTGGGTCAAAGCCGGGGCAAAGGGCAAGGGCTTGGTCTGGGAGCACTTTTCTGCAGCTGTCACTGTGGTCAGGGCTAGAGCTGGCAAGGGTCTGGGAGTCAGAGGTCTCCCCCAAGACCCATCCTCTCCCCTCTAGGTAGTGTTCCCCACAGCAGAAATGATGCCCAGCCTGGCCCGTACTTGGCAGGACCCGGACACGCCAGGCCAGCCATAGACCCCCCTGGTGGCTGGTCCTCCCAGGCACAGGGAAGGATCCTAAAGTTCAGCAATGGCTGTGCGCCAGGCACCAGGCCTGTGCTCAGGGCTCTGCAGGCACTTCTCAGGCACTCCGCACGAGGTCAGGATGACAACTGTTGCCCCCATTTCATGGATGGGTTTGGGAACACAAAGAGACAAGAAGCAAGACTGTGGCACAGCTCAAAGGCACGGGACTCGAGCCAGGTCCTCCTGCGGGGCTGTGCCCCAGCAGCTGTCAAAGAGTGTTCCTGAGTTCCCAGCAGTGAGGTCTGTGGGGAAGGGCAGTGGTCTGTGCAGTGGGAGGGAGGGAGGCAGAGGGACAGACCGACCAAGAGCAGAAGGGGTGTAGACGTGGCACATTTGAAGTCAGAAGCAGGCTCTGCATCAGACACAGCCTCAAATCGGGGCTCTGCCTCTTTCTCACAGAGTGATCTTAGCTCTCTGTGCCTCAGTTTCCTCATCTGTACCAGAAGAACAATGCTAACACCTGTCCTGTGGGGTTGTTACAAAGACCAGCTGAGAGAACGTGTGTGTTGTACTCATCACAGTGCTTGAGACAGAGTAATCATTCAGTAAATGGTGGCTGCTATCACTATTATTATTATTTACTATTATTACTTTTATTAATTCCTCTCTCTAGTGATGGGAATTTTGTTTATTTTCTCATTTATTTATTTATTTTAGAGATAGGCTCTTGCTCTGACACCCAGGCTGGAGTGCAGCGGTATGATCATAGTTCCCTGCAGCCTCAACTTCTTGGACTCAAGTGATCCTCCCTCCTCAGCCTCCTGAGTGGCTGGGACTACAGGTGTGCACCAACACACCTGGCTCATTTTTGTATTGTTTGTAGAGACGGAGGTCTCTCTATGTTGCCCAGGCTGGTCTCGAACTCCTAGGCTCAGGCAGTCCTCCTGCTTTGGCCTCCCGAGGTGCTTGGATTCCAGGTGTGTGATGGGAATTTCATTTTGGTCCTTATGCTCATCCATATCTTTGTAATACTCCCCAGTGACTGTGAGAGTGCCCATTGTTCTTCTTGTCCTCAGGCCAAGGTGGAAGGGGATGTTGAGCCAGGACCCCTTCCCACCCAGCCCAACAGCATATCTGCCTCATGTTCTGGGGTATTCCAAGCTGGAGGCTCTGACTCCATAATGGGGCGCATGAGTGCAGATGGTGGAATACTAATGAGAATGGTGATGAGCTCCAGCACTTACTGAGGGCTCATTCCGTGCCAGGAACTTGGGCTGGGAGTGCCAGCCAGCGGCCCTGCAGGAGGCCGTGGGTACCACTTCCCCCTGCTGCTCAGATCCTGCTTGATGCCAGCTTCTCAGACCTTCTCTGGCTGGCTGGGCACCCCTGGGTCATGGATCTCTGCCAAGTAGGGAGTGCTGAGAGAGCAGAGCTCACTGCAGGTCTGGCCCCCCACCCGCTGTGTACACCGCCGTGGGCCTCTGCAGAAAGAACCCAGTGGGCCCCCACCAGCCCCTGATCCCCAAGACCCCGGCACTCACTGTGCCTTGGTTACGGGGTGAATAATTTAGGCCGCTGAGCGTCGGTCATGAAATATTCAACAGCCTGTTCTGATGCAGCAGTATGTGAGTGTGTGTGGGGGTGACGCTGGCGCTGGGGTGTGGAGGCTGGCAGCCACGAGCCAGCATGTTTCTGAAGATAGATACGTAGCTGGGTCTTCTGTCTCCCTCATCTGTGTTGACGGGACCCCCTCTGGATCACCAGGCATGGTGCCTGCTCCCCGCACCATCATGAAGTGCCCGGCTCAGCATCAGCCCCAGCAAATGGCAGCCCTGTGTCTAGGGAGTGGGGAGGGAGGAGAAATCAGTGAGTGGGGGTCCATGGGGGCTGCAGAGTCAGGGGTCTCCGTCAGAGTCAGCCTTGGGGTCTCAGGAGTCAGGGAAGTGGACAGAGAACCAGGGCTTTAGGGACAGGGAGATGCCAGCTGGGAGGGGCTCAGGATGTGTGTGAGAGGGAGGGAGAGGGCACACGTGACAGGGGTCAGAAGAGGGGCTGAGTCGTGTTGGGAACAAGAGGGTGGGTGGGCAAAGGGGGGTAGCCTGGTGCACGTTGATGGGCAGGCAACAAGTGGATGGGCAGTTGGATGGGTGAACGAGGGATGAATGCAGGGTGGAGCATGTGGTTGATCTACAGGGTGAAAGACTGGGGGAGGTAGATGGGCAGGATGTCAAGTCCTGTGAGGAATTGGCCTCCTAGGCACAAAAGGTGAACTGGAACCCAATAGGTCGTGGCCCCCAACCTGGAACTTCTCCTGGGTCTGGGGGTAGGTTGTGGCTCCACCTAGTGTCCTTCGGTGGCAACTGCACCCTGGGCTGTTCACACCCAGCAGCCCAGCAGCCAGGACAGCCCTGCTGTTCCCTAGGTAGGCCCCCTCTGGGCTGGCAGAGCAAGGATAAGGGACAGTGACAGCCGAGAACTAGGCCCTAGGAGAAGCCCCTGAGACACATTCCATCTCTTCACTCCCTGCATGCCCATATTGCCAGCCAGGCCCTGCATGCACAGACAGATGAGTGTTCAAGTGCCACTTACCAACTGTGTGACCGAGGAGAGAGCTGAGTCTGTGCCTCTGTTGTGGGACTATGGGTGATGGCACAGAGTCCCAGCCCCACCTGTGAGCCTCCCCAGCTGTAGCTGCACCATTGACTGAATTCTGATTCTGGCAGGTCCCCTGCTAGGTGCCTTACCGGTGTAATCTCAGTTGATGGTCACAGTAATAGTTGATGGCCGGGCGCAGTGGCTCACACCTGTAATCCCAGCACTTTGGGAGGCCGAGACAGGCGGATCACTTGAGCTCAGGAGTTTGAGACCAGCCTGGCCAAGATGGCAAAACTGGGTTTCTGCTAAAAATACAAAAATTAGCCAGGCGTGGTGGCACATGCCTGTAGTCCCAGCTGTTTGGGAGGCTCAGGCAGGAGAATGGCTTGAACCCAGGAGGCAGAGGGTGCAGTGAGCTGAGATTGCGCCATTGCATTCCAGCCTGGATGACAGAGAAAGACTCCATCTCAAAAATAAAAATAAAAAAAGAAGAACCTGCTTGCCAGTGCCATAGCCCAGAGCTAGCACAGCAGAAGCATTCAGTACATAGTGGACATCCCGAGGGCTGCCAGATTAACAAAAACAGCAACAACAAAACCCGGGATGTTTGACTAGCTTTGAATCTCAGATAAAAAAGTTGTATTTTAGTATAAGTATGTCCCATGCAATATTTGGGATATAGAATACTAAAGCATTATCCGTTCATCCGAAATTCCGGTTGAACTGTGTGAACTGCATTTTGTCTGGCAACCCTTACCACCCTGCCCGCTGGGAACTCAGTCTTCTGGGGGAGGCAAAGGTCAAAATCAGTTATGGTCAACCAAGCATGACAGGTCATGCTCATAGTGGCCCTGGGCAGTGTGGGGCGGAGGCCAGCAAGGGGGAAATAAATCAGGGTGGCCCTCATGGAGGAGGGATGGGTACTGAGTCTTCAAGAGGGAGGAGGATGGAAGGACATTCCAGATGGAGGGGGCACACGATGAAAGGGATAGAGGTCAGACACAGCAGTTGTAGGGACTCATGGTGACAGTGGGCGAGAGGGGAGGAAAGGCCAGCTCACCACATCTTTGTAGACCTCGGTTAAAAAGTGGGACTGAGGCTGGGCGCGGTGGCTCTGTAATCCCAGCACTTTGGGAGGCCGAGGCGGACGGATCACGAGGTCAGGAGTTCGAGACCAGCCTGGTCAACATGGTGAAACCCCGTCTCTACTAAAAATACAAAAGATTAGCGGGGCGTGGTGGCGCATGCCTGTAATCCCAGCTACTCAGGAGGCTGAAGCAGAAGAATCGCTTGAACCCGGGAGGCAGAGATTGCAGTGAGCCAAGATCCAGCCACTGCACTCCAGCCTGGGCGACAGAGCTAGACTTCTTCTCAAAAAAAAAAAAAAAAAAAAAAAAAAAAGTGGGACTGAGGGCAGGGCAGTGCTGGGTGGGACGCCCTCAGGGGCCTCTGAGGGAGGGTGGCTCAGGACTCAGTCCAGGCGGAGCCCCCCGGGCGGCAGCGGGCCGGTGACAGGGCCCTCTCCCGCCCACTCTCCCTGCCGTCCAGGGCTCCCCGGGAGGGGAGGGGGGCGGGTAAGGAGGCCTCGGAGGGGGTGAGGCGCTGAAAGCCCACGGTGGGCGCTGTGTCTCCGCAGGGGAGTGAATGCCCAAACCAAGAACGGTGCCACGCCCCTGTACCTGGCGTGCCAGGAGGGCCACCTGGAGGTGACGCAGTACCTGGTGCAGGAATGCGGCGCGGACCCGCACGCGCGCGCCCACGACGGCATGACCCCACTGCACGCCGCGGCGCAGATGGGCCACAGCCCGGTCATCGTGTGGTTGGTGAGCTCCGGGCCCGGGCGGTGCGGAGGGGAGACGGGGCGGAGCCGGCAGGGCGGGGAGTGGAGGGAGCGGGGCCATCAGGAGTGGGGCGGAGGACCGTGGGCGGGGCCTGCAGGGGCCTGGCCCCCATCCCCCGCCCCTCTCTCCCCGCCCCTCCCGCCCAGGTGAGCTGCACCGACGTGAGCCTGTCGGAGCAGGACAAAGACGGCGCCACCGCCATGCACTTCGCGGCGAGCCGCGGCCACAGCAAGGTGCTCAGCTGGCTGCTGCTGCACGGCGGGGAGATCTCGGCTGACCTGTGGGGCGGGACCGCGCTGTACGACGCCGCCGAGAACGGGGAGCTAGGGGTCAGCGCGGGCCCGGGGTGGGGGCGCGCGCCCTCTGCTGGCACCGCGCTCTCCGCACGGCCCTGCCCGGGCGCGGGGGTCCCAGCTCGTGGCCGCGGCCGGGTCCTCACTGCGTGCCCCCACAGTGCTGCCAGATCCTGGTAGTGAACGGCGCGGAGCTGGAAGTCCGCGACCGCGACGGGTACACGGCCGCTGACCTGTCGGACTTCAACGGCCACAGCCACTGCACCCACTGCCTGCGCACGGTGGAGAACCTGGTACGATCCCTGCGCTGCTCCTGTCGCATTCTCTCTTCTCGCCCCTCCACCCCAGTGGTGGGTGTCGTCACCCCTTTTACCAAGGAGGAAGCTGAGGTTCAGAGACGTGAAGCCCGCTACCCCACACGACCTGTCAGCCCAGAACCACTGCCTGCTGGGGACTGAGGGAGTAGAGGCACAAAGGTTAACGGAAAGAGGACAGGGAAGAACAGGGTCACCCCAAGGGGTAAGGCTGGAGAAATCACAAGACAGGCCCCATTGGGAACAGGCAGGCTCATTCACCTACCCATAGACATTAGCTTGGGTATAACTCACAGCCACCCTCTGCAGAAGAGAGTGTAAGTGTCCCGTTCCACATATGGGTAAAGGGAGTCTGCGGGGCACCAGGATCGCATCACCAGTAAGTGGTAGAGTGGAGAACCTACCTTGATGGCCTGACCAGGAGCCACCTCTCTGCCCCTGCACCATATATTAGCTGACTTCATGGCTGGGTCATAACTGGAAACCCATGCTACTCTTTTTAAATTATGTTTTTATGGTGAGACAGCCACGAAGTGACCTACTGGGACTTGAACTCAGCTGTGGATGTCTCCAAGTGAGGGCTCTGCACCATCTGGTACAATGCCTGCTTTGAGGCAATAGGCAGGGAAGAGAGTGGGCCTCACAGCCAACCCCAAAAGGATGCGGACCAACTCCATGGGGCAGCCTGGCCATGGAGGGGCTGTGAAATGAGGCCCGGAGGGAAGAAGGCAGATGGTCTGTGCCCTGAGCACCGTCTGTCCATCTGTCGTCCCTGCCAGCACAGGGGGATGGTCCTGGCTCTAGGGGCTGCAGAACACAGCAAGGCCCAGAGGCCAGAGGCTGCAGGCGGGCCTGAGGGTGAACTTCCCCCCGAGAAAGAGTCTCTGGAAGAGAATGAATGGCCCAGCAGGTAGTGAGAACTCTGTCACTAGGGTATATAAGCCGGGATGGACACAGGGAAGGACATTTCTGCATCAGTGGTGGGTCCCCATCAGTTAAGAGAGCCTGTGACTCTGTCGAGGGACCATGGGGGGTGGCACCAGAGCCCAGGGCACCTGAGGGCCTGTCTGGATGCAGCTGCTAGTGGTCATAGGACAGCAAACACTATTCATTGGATTCTGACTTAGGCAGGTACCCTGCCGAGTGCCTTAAAGGTGTAATCTCAGTTACTCTTCACAGTACATTAAAAAAATAGTTGGCTGGGTGCAGTGGCTCAGGCCAGGCGCGGTGGCTCATGCCTGTAATCCCAGCACTTTGGGAGGCCGAGGCGGGCAGATCACGAGGTCAGTAGATCAAGACCATCCTGGCCAACATGGTGAAACCCCGTATCTACTAAAACTACAAAAAAAAAAAAAAAAATTAGCCAGGTGTGGTAGCACACGCCTGTAGTCCCAGCTACTCGGGAGGCTGAGGCAGGAGAATCGCTTGAACCCAGGAGGCGGAGGTTGCAGTAAGCCAAGACCGCGCCACTGCACTCCAGCCTGGTGACAGAGCAAGACTCCATCTAAAAATAAAATAAAATAAAATAAAAAAGTTGACAGGCCGGGTGTGGTGGCTCATGCCTGCACTTTGAGAAGCTGAGGCGGGTGGATCACCTGAAGTCAGGGTTCGAGACCAGCCTGGTCAACATGAGGAAACCCCATCTCTACTAAATATACAAAAATTAGCTGGGTGTGGTGGCGGGTGCCTTTAATTCCAACTACTTGGGAGGCTGAGGCAGGAGAATTGCTTGAACTCAGGAGGTGGAGGTTGCACTGAGCCAAGACCGTGCCACTGTACTCCAGCCTGGGCAACAAGAACAAAACTCCGTCTAAAAAAAAAAAAAAAAAAAAAAAAATTTGACAGTATGGCATTTACTGGGCGCCATGTCCTGGAGCTCAGCAGAGCAAGTAGTGCTGTTACCCCCATTTGCAGATAAAGAAACTTAGGCACAAAAAGCACAGGTGACTCGCCCGAAATAGCTAGTAAGTCGAGGAGGGGAAGTTTGAAGCCACAGTCCCAGACTGCAGAGCTGGGTGGCTCAGGCCAGGCGCAGTACACCTGCTGAGGCCCAGCCTCTTATCTGTTGCCTACAGGGGTCAGGGCTTGGTGCCCTCAGCACCCACTGCTGTTGCCCAGGTAAAGAGCACCTTTGGGTGCTGCCCACACCACCTCCTATGGCTCCCCTGACTCCTGCGGTAGGTAGCAGGGCCTGGTCCCCTGGAATGGGTGGGGTGTGTGTGCCCTGGTCCCCTCACTCAAGCAGGCCCAGCTGAGGCAGGGACAGACCCAAGCCACAGAAGACGCTGGCCCAGAAAAGGCAAACACTCCAGCAGAGCCCCTAATTACGGGGCCAATGAGCGCAGCCGCTGAGCCGTTACCTGGTGCCAGGCCTGCCTCTCTCTCCCAGGGTGCCTGTGACACTTCTTAGGCAGGGAGGGGGCACGGGGCAAGGAGGAGCAGGCCTGGGCAGGAGGCAGCGGAGCAAGCGGGCTTGCCGGCAGCAGGGGCAGCGTGGGCAATGTAAGCAGGGCCCCTACCACAGCCCTCTCTGCACCGGGAGGGGACAGGCCTGTGGTCAGACGCACAGACCGGGCAGGGCGGGGGAATGGCAGGCCTGGCAGCCTGAGCTCTGGCTGCCCATCACTGCTCAGCTGGCCATCCAGGCCCTACCCTTACCCCAAGGGCCCCATTAGGAGACAGGCCGGGCTGGTGTTGGGAGTCT
Source organism: Homo sapiens (assembly GCF_000001405.40). Lineage (NCBI taxonomy): Eukaryota > Metazoa > Chordata > Mammalia > Primates > Hominidae > Homo > Homo sapiens. Next base: position 832,082 of record NW_025791756.1, read on the forward strand.
GCTCCAGGTCCCAGGTCTGGCAAGGAGAGCTGGCTTGCCAGCCAGGTCACTAGGGATGGGCCTGTGCTGTGCCCCTCCCCATGGAGCCTGTGCCGATCTGTGAGGGAGAAGGCCGATCTCCTGGCAGTTCTCCCCCTGGGGTGCAGCTCAAGGCCCCCTCGTCGATCTCTCCACCCTCCTAATCAGGGAGGAGCCAGGGGAGGGAGTTTCCCAGGAACCTGGGTCCTCTGCCTGGCGGGGCTGGGCTTGAATCTTAACCCGGAGGAACCTGAAAGACCCTCTAGCGATGGGGAAGAGACCCCAGAGAGGGGTGTGGCTTGGCCAAGATCCCACAGCAAAGGCATGGCTGAGTAGGACCCTGGCCTGGAGAGCAACGCATCTTGGGGTGCAGTTGCCTTCATGGCCTCCCTGCCTCCCCTTCAGAGCATGGAGCACTGCGTGCTCTCCCGGGATCCATCCGTGGAGCTGGAGGTGAAGCAGCCGGATTCAGGCATGTCCTCACCCAACACCACGGTGTCGGTCCAGCCTCTGAACTTTGACCTCCACTTGCCCACCAGCTCCCTCTCCAACTACGACTCCTGCTCCTCCAGCCACTCCAGCATCAAGGGCCAGCACCCTCCACGTGGTGAGTGTGCCCAGGAGGAAGAGGGGGAGGGAGAGCAGACTGAAGCCAGACTGCTGGGCTGTGAGGGTTGGCCTTGGGCCAGCCTGCCACAGCCAATATCGGAGACTACTCTCATCACTTGCTTTTAAACATGGGGAGGCGACACCCTTTCTGGTGAGAGACAGATGTCACTCATACTTGTGTGTGCTCATCACAGACATACATGTACATCCACATGTACTCTCCCCACCCACAAAATCCACGTGTGCCGCCCACCATTCATTATTCTTAGCTACTCACACACAAAAGCACACACTTGTACATGTGTACACACAGCATACAGATATGAACACACATACAGAGCCATGCTAATATCTGCACACACCCACCTTACACACAAGCACACAATGCTCTATTTCCATACTACAGATATGCACACACACACACACCATGTCCACAGAGCAATGCACACACATTCATCAATACAAAGAAGCATGTGCACAAATGCGTACACACTCAAACATACACAAATTCACAATCGCCTCGGCAGACTTGCAGGCTTGTGTGTACACACACCCTGACCGTGCCCTGAGCATGGGCGTCCATCCACTTGCAATGCCTGCTTCACGCCACCAGATGGTGGCCTCCAGACCTGGCAGGGTGCCCTGCAAAGATTGGATGTGGCCATCTGTACTCCCAAGGAGTAGACCCTCCCCTTCCAGGTGACCCTGCCCTCTAGACACACCAAAGCCTCCAGTGCTTCCCCTCCAAACCGGAGTGCCTGGTCTTCCCCCAGTAAGTGCTGGGCTGGGGCAGGGCAGGGCCAGGGAGAGGAAGCCCAGCAACGCCAGGGGCCACAACAGGTGTACCAAGTGGTGCCCGGAGCCCACCTTGGCCCTCGGCAAGTTGTTTCCAGGTGGTGGAGAGTCTCATTCTTGGGGGAAAGCCTGTCTGCATGCTTCCAAATCTGGCCCTTCCTTCTGCCTCCCCAGGGCTTTCCAGCACTAGAGCTGCAGACATACAGAGCTACATGGACATGCTGAACCCAGAGCTGGGCCTGCCTTGGGGCACGATTGGGAAGCCCATACCCCCACCACCCCCACCCAGCTTCCCCCCGCCACCCCCGCCCCCAGGCACCCAACTGCCCCCACCCCCACCTAGCTACCCATCTCCCAAGCCTCCTGTGGGACCACAGGCAGCTGACATCTACATGCAGACCAAGAACAAACTCCGCCACGTGGAGACAGAGGCCCTCAAGAAGGAGGTAGTGAGCCCTCACCCACTGCCTGCCTCCCAGCAGGGGTACTGGGCTGATGGGGGCCAGTCAGGCCAAAGGCCTGGCCTCACTAGTGGGCACAGGGTGGGGGTCCCTGGGTCCATGGCATATTCAAGAGTCAAAGCTCCTGGCGAGTCCCACGAGGGGTCAGGGCTGGACACTGGACTGGGAGGAGAGTAAGAGCAGGTCACTGCCCTCCATGGGAGCTGGGGGGTGAAGGACGCAGGTCCAGACAGCTGTTCCTCACCAGGAACTGGGCCTGTGCCACCTCTTGCACAGAGTGGCCGGGTTGTCATGGAGTTGACAGAGAATGCATGGAGACTGCCCCTCCCCAAGCATGCCCCCCCACCCCCACAGCCCCAGGCTCAGTCGGAGAGTGTCACCCAAGGGAGGTGGCTGCCAGGTGGAAGGTGCCAGTGGCATGGCTGTAGAGGTAAGGGCTGGAAGGAGGGAGGGAGGAAGGTGAGCAGGCACTAGCAGGGCTGGGCGCCCACCGGCAGTAGGGGCTGGGAGGAAGTGAAGCTGTGGCTGGTTCCAGTTTAGGGCTTGAGCTCCTGGGGGAAAGGGCCAGGCCTGAGCTGGGAGCCCTGGAGGGAAGCGAGCCTGTGTGGAGAGGATGAGGGCAGGGTAGGTAGGTGAAGTGTGAGGTGCCTAGGGATGTCTGGGGCCTGCAGGCGCCTGGCTGAGGCTCTGGAGCAGGGATTGGGGCAGAGGTCTGGTCTGAGCAATTGCGGGTATCCTCGGCAGGGTGCCCTGGGGAACACTGGCGTTCTGGCCACAGGAACAGAGCAAGGATGGTCTAAGAGGTGAGGGGACAGCCTGAGGTCACAGGTGGCCAGATGTGGTGTGGCAGCTCCCTGGGGTCCTGCTGGAGCCTGGGACCTTGCAGTTCTCTCTTAAGCCCAAGGCAAAGCCACCCCAGGGCCAATTCATACAAGGTGACTCAGGTCACAAGGCCAGTGGGCAAGGGAGGCATGGGAGGGACACCAAACCTGCAGGCCAGCTCCAGTAGCTGCCCTCTTCACGCCACCTTAGACCAAGCTCCCACAGTGGCTTTCCCCTTTCATCTCTGGGAGGCAGAGGGGGCCGGGCGGGTAGGGCTGCAGGGGCCCTGGAATCGTTGAGCTCCCGGCGCAGACTGTGGGCCCCGCCCAAATCCACAGGACAGGTGGCCCAGCCAGTGCCCCCTCTCCACCGCTGAGCCCAAGTGCCAGGTCTGTGAGGTCACCTCCTGGCTGTGCGAGCCCCCTCCGGGCTGTGTGCGTCCCTCCCGGCTGTGTGTGCCCCTCCCGGCTGTGTGCGTCCCTCCCGGCTGTGTGCGTGCTGGGCCGCAGACGCCAGGGCCCGGGCCGGGAAGCTCTACAAAGGGCTCTTTGTGTCGCCGCGGCGCCTCCCGCGCGGGTGCCTGACCGCAGGTGGGAGCAGGGTCGTGGCGTCGGAGCCTCCGGGCTGCAGGGGGCGCGGAGCCGGCGGGCTGGCCCAGAAAACGAATCCTGCGGTGTCGCGTTTCCTGCAACCTGAGCCAGGTCGGGCGGGGTGAAGGGTCTGAGGCCACCGCAGGGACGCATGGGCTGGAGAGTGGGGCAGGGGACAGCCCCCACCCGGTCACTCAGTCTTTGGCCCGGCCGCCTCACTCTCCCTCACTGAGCTGGGCCTAGTTGGGGGCAGCTGCGACGGGGCGGGAAGCCGCGCTGTCACCCGACCCCGCCTTACGGCCCCTGAAATCCGAGGCTTGAGCGCGGGTGTCGGTGTCGCTTTCGTGGATGGCGATGGTTTCCAGATGCAGGAGGGAAACGGTGGGGACGCGACCCGGAGCCGGCAGCCAAATATGAGAGGCCCCCTCTGCCCACGGTCAGCCCTCTCTCCTCTCGGGCGGGGATGAAGGTGGGGGCTCAGCTCCCAGCTTAGGGAGAGGCGCAGGGGGCGGGGTCACATCTGGCCCGGGGCGGGTGCAGAGCCGCGGCCAGGTGTGGCAGAGTAGTTGGCGCCCCCGTGGCATCCGCGACGGCTGGGGGGGGTTCGGCCTGGGATTGGCGGGCCCCGGGTGATGTCAGGCCGTCGGAGCCCATAGGCTGGCCGTGCGCGGGCGTCTGTAACCTGAGAGGAAGTATCACGTAAAGCAGGTGTCGGGTCCTGCCGCCCCCGCCGCCAGGTGCACAGCAGGACCACCAGCACCGTGGCAGGTTGGAGCAGCCCCTAGACGGACAAGCGGGGTCCGGGGCAAGCCGGAGCCTCGGAGAGCACAGGCTCTGGAGGGGGCTCCCTCCGGCCCGGGACCCCCGAAAGACAGGGCTCCGCGGAGCCCTGGGGACCCGCAGTCCTTCTGACAGCCGAGAGCGGAGTGCGGCCGAGGGCCTAGTGAAGGCTAAGCTGGGAGGTGCCCCTTCTCTAGCTCCCCCTGGCGTCGGGGCTGGGCCACCCCGCCCCTGGGCCCGCCCCTTCTGGCCTCAGTGGGGGACCCTGTGCCCCTTGGCCGGTGCCCAGAACCCCTCCCTGTAAGGCGGGCGGAGCCTGCCCTTCCACCGAGGCCCCCATGAACCTCGCCCGCTGCCCACCGTGAGAACAGGGGGTCTAGGAAGTCGGCTGCTGCACCCCCCGACGGCCGCTGGCCGCGAGTTCCCAGGAGGTGAAGAGCTGGGTGGGGAGGCGTGGGGGGCGCCTACCGGGCACTTGCCCGAGCCCCACCGGTCACTGTCTTCCCGCAGCCGAGCTCCTGCGACGGCCACGACGGGCTACGGAGGCAGGACTCCAGCCGCAAGCCCCGCGCTTTCAGCAAGCAGCCCAGCACGGGGGACTACTACCGGCAGCTGGGCCGCTGCCCCGGCGAGACGCTGGTCGCACGCCCGGGCATGGCGCACCGCGAGGAGGTGCGTGCCCGCCAGCCCGCGCCCGCCGGCTGCCCGCGCCTCGGCCCTGCCGCCCGCGGCTCGCTCGAAGGCCCCTCCGCTCCCCCGCAGGCGGCGCAGCCGTCGCGGATGCTACGTGGGCGCCAACTGCTCTGCCACACCTGACCGCGGCTCTGCACGCGCCCCCGGCCAGATGTGACCCAGACCCCTCAGCCTCTCCCTAAGCTGGGAGGTGAGCCCCCACCTTCATCCCCGCAGGCGGAACTCCCTGGGAACCACGTGCCTAACGGCTGCGCCGCGGACCCCAAGGCGTCCAGGGAGCAGCAGCTGCCGCCGCCGCCGCCGCCGCCGCCCCTGCCCGAGGCCGCGACTTCGCCGCCGCCGGTCCCGCCTCTGCCCCTCGAGGGCGCTGGCCCTGGCTGCGGGCAGCGCCGCTCCTCCTCGCCCACCGGCAGTGAGTAGGGGCAGGTTGAGGGGTGGGGGGCGGTGCTAGCCCTGAAAGGGGAGGGAAATCTAGACACCGCCCCCTCCCCAGCTGTCACTGCCGGGGTCCTTCCTCTTCTACATGGTCTTCCGGCCACCCCTACCCCATTGAGTACTTGACCCTAAGAGAGGGCTCTGGGTTGCTTGAGGTCCTGCCAAAGCAGGACCGGGCTGCACAGCCTGGGGCAAGTCCCTTCCCCAATCTGGGCCTGCCTCCCACCCTCTAGCTGTGTGGCCTGGACAAGTCCCCTCCCCTCTCTGGGCCTGCCTCCCACGGGCTAGAAAGGGCCTTCCAGCTCTGGCGCTGGTGTTTCCCATGAGCTGGTGCTGGTGTTTCTGATGAGCTGGTACTGGAGGGACACTTGAAGTCGAACCAGCTTCAGAGAGGCCCCGCAGCTGGCCACCCTTCCCCCTGCCCCTGTCTATCCTGAGCCTCTCTTCCTCTCTCCACGTCTTTCTCTTGTCTTTCCAAGCAGCACAGACCTGAAGCCTTCTTAGATATGCCAGGAACTCTTCCTAGCCAGTTCCTGCCAGGGGCCCTGGGCCAGCCAGAGCCTGGCTATGGGGGCAAAGCTGTGACCCACCATGTTTCCCCCTCCCTCCCCGGTGACTTCCCTAGGCATCCTTTTTTAAGAGCTAGACTGGCGCAGGATTCCTGGGCTTCTTTTCTGTAGGGTGGGACAGTGTCCCCCTGCCAGGACACCTAGAAGGCCCAGGACAGGGTGCCTAGATGTGGTGCTCCCATCCCAGCCTGGCTGGGGTGCCTTCATCACCCAGCCACTCAGGGCAGAGATCATGCTTAGTGGCACCCCTCAAAGCTTCATCTCCCTGACTAGGAGGGCAGAGCAGAGCTTGTCCCCCTATGGTTCCTATGGAGCCCCAGCCCCTGCAGACCAGAGCCCATGGAAGCATGTCCAGCACCTGCCGAGCCTCCTTCTCCTTCCCTCCACAGTCTGCAGCAGGGCTGAAGCTAAGGGCAGAGAAAAATATACTCTGGGCTTCCCCAGACACCCCCACCCAGCACAGCCAGGGCTGGGTGCCCTACCCCAACCCAGTGCCAAGGTGGAGGCCCTTGCTGGGGGCTAGAGCCACTGGTGGCCCTGCCCTGCCCAGCCCTCAGGGGCACCAGCCAAACCAGGAACTCGATGGACCACCCTCATGGGGCCCCAGAGCAGCCTGAGCCAGGGTCAGATGGGCAGAAATGCTCCTCCTCTCTTCTCCACTTCCCCCCTCCTGCTCTCCCTGGCCCGCTCCCTGTCCCCTGCTATCCCAGTCTCATCCTGGCCCCCTTTCCCTCCTAACTCCGCTGTCACTTCTCTCCTCTTGGTCCCTAGAAGTGAGAGTCCTGAGGCACAGGAAGAGTGAGTAGCTGCGTGCGCGGCTCCTGGCTGAGGCTGAGGCGCGGGGTGGGGGGAAGAGGCAGGAAAAGCACGGGAGGAGGGGCCCAGCCTTGAGGAAAGGGCAGGGGCAGGGGCTGGCAGGCGAGAGAACCTCGATGCATGGGTGGGGCCTTGCACCTCATACCTACCCTCATACCCACATATGCACCCAAGCATTCTGCGCCTGGCTGATGGTTTTGCCTAAATAAATGAGTAAGCCACACCGATTTTCCCTTTCTCCTACTCTTCTCCTCCCGGTGACTGCACTCTGGGATCCCCAGCCTGGGAATCCAAGAGCTGTCGGCCCATTTTATTCCTCCCTCCCAGACCTGACCCCTTCATCGGGGCTCAAGAGACCTATCTCTCCAAATCTCCATTCGCCTCCTCCGGCTAAGCCAGAAAATGCACCCTCTGCCCTGGGTGTTTGCATATTACCTGCCTGCCCTTCTTCCTGGGTGCCTCCTGTGGCCTTAGTAAGGGCTCTGCTTTCCCCTAGAGCTGAGCCGTGCTTTGCCATAAATGTGCTCCCGGCTTGCAACCAATGTGTCTGCTTGTGCGTCTGTCTGTGGGTGTGGTGGCGAGGGAGGGGAGCAGGTGGTACTGGCACTCTGGGGTCTGGACTCTGCATGTCCATGGAGGCCCCAATTGACTCAGCTCAAGGGTCACTGAGGCTTTGCTGATGTAGGGAGAGGGCCAGAGGGAGGCTCCACCCAGCCGGGCTGAGCCAGGAAACCTGGGACAAAGGTCCGGTGGCTGATTCCAGGTAGTGTTTTGCGGCTGGGCAGTCAGTGGCTGGGCAGGAATATATGCCCAAGAGCCACCATGAACTCCCAGGGGTCTCCAGGCAGGGGCCCTCCATCCCGTGAGTAGGGTGGGGGAGGATGGTGGGGTTGCCACAGTCGGGGAACCAAGGGCCTGCCTCTGGGGGCCCTGAAAGCTGCCTGCGGGACCTGGGATCTGGAGAGCTGCCCGCTGGCCCCGAGGATGGGCACCCATCCAATCTTGAGTTGGGAAGGGGGCTGCAGAGGGGCGGGTGAGGGGTGGCAGGGATGCAGCCCCACCCTGGCCAGTGCCTCATCTCCTGCCTCTGCATAGGCACCAAGTCTTTCAACGTGATGTTCCCGATGGGCGACAACTCGGAGCTACTGGCTGAGATTAAGGCAGGCAAGAGCCTGAAGCCGACGCCACAGAGCAAGGGGCTGACCACAGTGTTCTCAGGCAGCAGGCAGCCGGCCTTCCAGGTAGGCGGGCCCAGCAGGAGCCTGCGACCCGGCTTCCCTGGCCCTAGGCCACCAGGCGCTCAGCCCCACCGCTTCTCCCTGCAGCCCGATTGGCCGCTGCCGTCTGTGTCACCTGCACTGTTACCAGTCCGGAGCCCCACACCGCCAGCTGCGGGGTTTCAGCCGCTGCTCAACGGAAGCTTGGTTCCGGTGCCGCCCACTACTCCTGCGCCGGGGGTGCAGCTGGACGTGGAGGCGCTCATCCCCACGCACGATGAGCAGGGCCGTCCCAAGCCCGAGTGGAAGCGCCAGGTGATGGTGGGCAAGATGCAGCTGAAGATGTAGGAGGAGGAGGAGCAGAGGTGGAAAGTGGGTGGGGCGGGGTGCCCAGGGAGCCCTGGGGTCTGCATCTGGATGCACAGCCCATCCCCCACGCCACCCCCAACACCAACCTCGGGACCTCCTATTTTCTTTCTTTCTTTCTTTTTCTTTTTTTCTTTTTCGTGAGACAGAGGCTTGCTCTGTCGCCCAGGCTGGAGTGCAGTGGCGCGATCTCGGCTCACTGCAACCTTTGTCTCCTGGGTTCAAATGATTCTCCTGCCTCAGCCTCTCAGGTAGCTGGGATTACAGGCGCATGCCACCACGCCCAGCTAATTTTTTTGTATTTTTATTAGAGACGGGGTTTCACCATGTTGGCCAGGGCTGGGATTACAGGCATGAGCCACCGTGCCCGGCCATCTTCTTTAGGGAAATCAGGGTGGCACGACCCCGTTTGGGGCTTGTCCCAGTCTCCACACACACCCCCAGCAGCTTGTCCTTGGAGTGAGACAGCAGCCTTTCTCAGACTCTCCTTCACCTGCCCAGCACCTGGGATCTGGTTAAAAGGCCTGTTCGGATTCAGGAGGTCTGGGCAGGGCTGAGGTTCTGCATTTCTAGCCAGCTCCTGGGTGAGGCTGCTGATGACACTGGTCCAAGGACCACACTGAGTAGCCAAGAGAGCTTTGGTCTCAGTCTTAGGGACCTGGGCTCCATTGCTGCGCTGCCGCCTTCCAGCTGCCGATACTGAGCCTCATCCAGCCTCAGTTTCCTTCTCTGTAAGGTGAGCTGATCAGCACCAGCTGGCAGGATGAGTTGCCTTCCATTCATCCAAAAACTATTCCCCGAATGCCATTTATTTTTATTATTTTTTATTTTTTTGAGACAGGGTCTCACTCTGTCACTGAGGCTGGAGTACAGTGGTGCGATCTTGACTCACTGCAACCTCCACCTCCTGGGTTCAAGTGATTCTCCCGCCTCAGCCTCCCGAGTAGCTGGGACTACAGATGCCCGCCAACCATGCCCGGCTAATTTTTGTATTCTTAGTAGAGATGGGGTTTCACCATGTTGGCCAGGCTGGTCTTGAACTCCTGGCCTCAAGTGATCTGCCCGCCTCGGCCTCCCAAAGTGCTGGGATTACAGGCGTGAGCCACCACGCCTGGCCCCCGAGTGCCATTTATGTGCCCCACACGCTTGTAGCCTCTGGGGATTCATGGTGAACATATCAAGGCCTGCTCTAAGGTGGCTGCGGACAAGTGTGCGAGTCACCAAGCACACAAAATGGGGCAGGGTGAGAGAGTGGGTGGCAGTGGAGAGAAGTACCTGGGCTGATGCAACACAGCCAGCTGCAATGGGGAACGCAGGGGACTGGGGCAGCCCTAACCGGCCACCTTATACGTGGGCTGGGGGGCGTGTTAGGGAAGGAGGAGGTGATGTCTAAGGTAACACTTGGAAGACGAGTGAGGGGTGGCCAGGCGGAGAGGGGGCTGAAGAGCCGCAGGTGGGACAGGGCAGTCTGGAAGTGAGAGTGGATGTGGCCCTGACTGTCCTGGAGGAAGGGGGTCGCTGATCTGGAGAGACCTCAGTGGGGGCCAGGTTACCAAGACCTGGCCAGAGGCCCAGAAGAGAACGGACTTTCTCCTGGAGCACTGGGGAGCCGGGTGCGGGGAGTGTTAAGCAGGGAAGAGGCTGCTTCCTATTTGTATGTGGGGAGTGGATCCCATAGGGTCAAGATGAATCAGGGACCTCTGTGGAGGCGATGGCAGGCCCAGGGGGGAAAACTGGACATCAGAGGTGGAGAAAAGTGAGCAAATGAGAATATTACGGTGCCCAGCTGTCCAGCAGGACGAAGGGAGGGGAAGGGTGGGCAGCTCAGTGGAAGCTGCAGCTGCAGCCTCTTTAAGAGAGGAGTGGCCTCTCATTCTGCACATAAAACATTGACCACAGGGAGCGGAAGGCTTGGGCCACAGGGGAGCTGGAGAAGGGGTCATGAGTCTGGGAGGAGAGGCCTCACAATAGCCGCCCTCGGATGGGTTGGGGCGGGCCACCGCGCCTCTCAGCTTCAAGGCCTTTGGCAAGTTCCTTGGGTGGTGTAATGAGCGAACAAGCCAGGCATGGAGACCCCGTCTGCTGGCCTGTTCTTGCCGCCGCAGCAGCGAGCAGCAACCGGCCGTGCCCCCGCCAGCGACCAAAGTGGACACTGCCCAGAGCCTGGAGCGGCGGCTCAGGCCGAAGCCTCACCCCAGCGTCACCCCCCGCCGGCCAGACGCGGTCCCTCCCTGCAGACGCAGCCCCGCGGAGCCATTACACCACCCAGGACATGCAAAAGGTTCCTGGCGCCACGGCGGGAGCTGGGCCAGAGGGAGACGCGCCTCCCTCCCCTCTCTTGTCTTCCCCGCCTTAGCTGACGGCCGCCAGCTCGTGCTGCTACCCCCGCGAGGGCTGGAGGTACTCCCGCGAGCACAACGCCATCCTCTGGCCCTTTGGCGAGCTCATGACCGAGGCCGACATCCTCCGCATCGAGCAGCAATCGAGAACCTGCAGGTGCTGCACAAGGCGCAGAAGCTGGAGGCGCGCCTGGAGCAACTGGAGCTGAGCAGCTGCTGCCCATCTCCGTCGCCCTGTGGAGCCGCGCTTCACCGTCGACCCGCGCCGAATGCATGGCCGCGCCGCCAGCCTGCCCGCCTGGTGCAGCAAGATCTCCACGCTGCTCAAGAGCATGGCCACGCTGCTAGCCGCGCTGGGCGGCCGGCCTGCGCACCTGGCGGAGCTGCCGACCGCTGACACGGGCCAGCCGCTGGCGCCGCTGCCCGAGGCGCCCTGACTGCCGGGGCCGCTTTGCCTGGGCCGCTCGCACTGGCTCAACTGGTGCCGCGAGGCTGTGGCGCGCGAGATCCTCGAGTGCGGCGTCTCCGTGCAGCATCACCGCGCCACCTACGAGCTGCGCGCACTGGACGCGGCGCCCCCGCGCTGTCCGCGCCGCAAGCCCCCGCAGTCCGCTGGCGCCCCGGTCCGCGAGCCCATCCTGTAGGAGGACTACGTGGCGGCCGGCTCTGGCCAGCCCAGCGCCGCCGCCGCCCACGGCCCGCTGGCCGACTGGGAGCCCCTGGACACCCTGGGCCCGCCTGAGGCACAGGATTGCCAGGCGGCGCTACCTGAGCCCGAGCAGCTGGCGCGCCGGCCGCCCCTCTGCACGGAACTGCGCGGCGTCCAGGACTACCTCGACCTGCGCAAGGAGCGCATCGTTTACCTCTTCCTGGAGCACTGGCGCCGCTGGGCCTTCCGCGGACCGGGCCTTCCGCGGACCAGGCCGCCGCGCCCAGGCGCGCCTAGGCAGACTGCTGCCTGGCGTGACGGCCGCCCGTGCTGGCCGGAGCTGGAGGCCACAGACGCCCCCCGGCTGCTGGTGAGCAAGAGCGAGGCCCACAGCCCCAACGAACGGCTGGGCAGCTGCTGAGGCAGCGGCAGGCAGTGGGCAAGCTGCTGCACCACTGGCGGAGCCTGCGGCGGCACGTGCCGCCAAGCCCGGGCCTGGCGCACGGCGTGTACTGGCCCCAGCACTTCCTGTCGCCCCTAGACGGCGGCGCACCCCCGCGCTACGAAAGCCTCACGCTCGACCTCTTCATGCTCGGCTACTTCCAGCTACCGGAGATGGGCCTGAGCCGCGAGGATCGCAAGTTCCGCCACCTACTGTGCTACGAGATGTTCCACCGGCTGGACAGCCACCCGTGGGAGCGCATCCGCCTCTTCCACCGCGTGGTGCTGGAGGAGGTGGAGGCCGGCCGGCGCGGCTGGAGCGACGGCTTCGAGGACCTCAGGCACAGGTTCTTCGGAAACGGCCTGGAGGCTGAGCCGGCCCCCGAAGAACAGGCGAAGAAAAAGGAAGAGAAGGGGAAAGAACAGGAGCGGACCGAAGAGGCCGCTCCGGTTCAGAAGGGGGACCCGCCCAAGGGGCAGCGCGAGGCCCTGGCCCCTGTGCCGCAGCCGCCGCGCCCGCCCGCCCGCCGCGCCTCCCCCGATCTCAGACTCTCCGGGTTCCGAAGCCCCCGCCGAAGACCCTTTGGAACTGGTGTCTGAGATGGGCGAATTCAGCAACGAGGACATCTGCCGCTACATCGACCGCAGCTTCTCCTTCTGGAAGGAGAAGGAGGCAGAGCTGTTTGACATCTGAGCAGCGGAATTCGGAATTCGCAGTTCACCCTCGAGCGTCTTAACGTGGGCCTGGACGCCTGTCTGACGCCCTCCAGAGGCGTGAAGCAGCGGGAAGAACCCAGGACTGTGGCCTTGAGCAGCCCGGAGGGCCCAGGACCAGGCTGCCTCAGCCTCTGAGGTCCCATCGTGAGCAGGCTGTGTGGGGCGTTGGTCGGATAGGCAGGGCAGGCACAGAACAAACCAGGTGTCCCCCTCTGGCCCCGTGGTCTTGCTGAGCTCTGTGTGGAGCCAGGCAGCAGAAGAAGCCCCTCTGAGTGAGGGGCTGCGGCTCCTCCCTGGGGCAGTGTGGCCTGCTTTCTGGTTTTCCACTGGAGTTCACAGCTACCTCCTTGGCTGAGGTCAAGGGAGCCACGTGTGCAGTGTTCTGTGTGAAGTGTGCGGTGTACAGACCCTTTCTCCTCTGTAATATTCAGGAAATAAAACTGTTTGCTGTAAACTGCCTATGTTGGACACCACACCTGCCCCTGATGTCATTGCAGCCCCACGATTGTAGAGCACGTATCCACTCTGTTGGGAAGAGGGCAACCATGGGCTGAAGGTCCTTCTCAGGGGAGCCAGGGGCAGCCTGAATCTCCCTGAGCCAAGAGGCTGGGTGGGGGCCCGCATCTGCGTCTGCCCAGAGATCTTGGACCTGTGGCCATTGGCCACCTGCCCCTGTGGGGAATCAGGCTCAGGACCTCTGGGTCCCGGCTACTTTTTCTCTGCTTCTGTCCCACTCAGCTCTGATCTCTCTGGTGCCTCCTGTAGGACACAAGGGTCTGGGTTACTAGGAGAAAGGAGGCCAGCTCTGAGGGGGTGTGACCAGGCACCTCCATCCACTTGTCCCACAGAAATGCATCCAAAGGGTCACTTCCTGTGACCCTGACTCCTTCAGGTCCCCAGGTTGAGGGTGCCCCCTATCTCCCAGCCCCTGCAGGCTCTGAAGCTTTGTGGTTGTGTTTCAGGAGGAGGAGGAGGCCCGGCTGGCCAGCATGCCCGCCTGGAGGTGGGACCTCCTGCAGAAGAAGCTGGAAGAAAAGAGGTGAGCCGGCGGTCAGGCAGAGGCTGGCCTGGCAGCGTGTCTTGACTGCGCCCCTGAGGTGGAGGTACCAAGTGACACTGTTTCTCCTTCTAGGAAGCAGAAGCGGTGAGTGCAGGGCTGGCCCCAGCCTGCCACCCTTACCCCCACCCAAGTCGCAGAGGGTCGTCCCTTCATCCAGGCCAACTTGAGTGCATCCTCCTGTCTCTTGGCCCTTGTAGCACAGCCTCCTTCCTCCCTATAATATCCCAGACGGCTGACCCCCAGAATCTCTCTCTCATGCTCTGATAACTTTGTTCCCGGTTACTCAGTCCCTGCCTCCTATTAACCTGGCCTTTTCTACCCTTCAGTTAACCTAACCCCAGTATCAATCACCTTGATTGTCTGGCCCTCAGAATGTACTTTCTGCCCCTAGTCATCTCACCCAGCCCAGTGCTGTCCAACAGAAATGTAATGAGAGCCACAGATGTAATTTAAAATTTTCTAGTAGCCACAGTGAAAATGTAGAAGGATATAGGTGAGCTTAATTTTAGTAGTGTTACTTGACACAAAATATCAAAAATATTATTTCGACACATAATCAATTATGAAAATTACTAATGAGATGTTTTATACTCCTCCTGTAAAAGTAAGTCTTTGGCCAGGCATGGTGGCTTACACATGTAATCCCAGCACTTTGAGAGGCCAAGGCAGGGGGACCACTTGAGTCCAGAAGTTTGAGACCAGCCTGGGCAATGCAGTGAGACCTCATTCTGAAAAAAAAAAAAAATTTTTTTTTTCTTTTTTTGAGATGGGGTTTCACTCTTGTCACCCAGTCTGGAGTGCAGTGGCGATCTGGGCTCATGCAACCTCTGCCTCCTGGGTTCAAGTGATTCTCCTGCCTCAGCCTCCCAAGTAGCTGGGATTACAAGCATGTGCCACCGCACCCAGCTAATTTTGTATTTTTAGTAGAGATGGGTTTCACCATGTTGGCCAAACTGGTCTCAAACTCCTGACCTGAAGTGATCCACCCGCCTCGGCCTCCCAAAGTTGTGGGATTATAGGCATGAGCCATCAAGCCTGGCCTTTTTTTTTTTTTTTTTGAGACAGAGTTTTGCTCTTGTTGCCCAGGCTGGAGTGCAATGGCACAATCTTGGCTCACTGCAACCTCTACCTCCTGGGTTCAAGTGATTCTCCTGCCTCAGCCTCCCAGGTAGTTGGGATTACAGGCGCCTGCCACCACGCCTGGCTAATTTTTGTATTTTTAGTAGAGGCCGGGTTTTGCCATGTTGGTCATGCTGGTCTCGAACTCCTGACCTCAGGTGATCCACCCGCCTCAGCCTCCCAAAGTGCTGGGATTACAGGCATGAGCCTTCACACCAGGCCTACGAAAAAAAATTTTTTTTAATTAGCTGCACGGGGCTGCGCACAGTGGATCATACCTGTAATCCCAGCACTTTGGGAGGCTGAAGCGGGTAGATCACCTGAGGTCAGGAGTTCAAGACCAGCCTGGCCAACATGGTGAAACCCCGTCTCTACTAAAAATATAAAAATTAGGTGGGTGTGATGGCACATGCCTGTAATCCCAGCTACTCGGGAGGCTGAGGCAGGAGAATCACTTGAATCTGGGAAGCGGAGGTTGCAGTTAGCCGGGATCACCCCATTTTGTACTCCAGCCTGGGCAACAGCGTGAGACTCCATTTCAAAAAAAAAAAATTAGCTGGGTGGGCCGGGCTCAGTGGCTCACGCCTGTAATCCCAGCACTTTGGGAGGCTGAGGCAGAATGATCACCTGAGGTCAGGAGTTCAAGACCAGCCTGACCAACATGGTGAAACCCCGTCTCTACTAAAAATACAAAAATTAGCTGGGCATGGTGGCACGCTCCTATAATCCCAGCTACTCAGAAGGCTGAGGCAGGAAAATCGCTTGAACCTGGGAGGCAGAGGTTGCAGTGAGCCGAGATCGTACCACTGCACTCCAGCCTGGGTGACAGAGCGAGACTCCGTCTCGATTAAAAAAAAAAAAATTAGCTGGGTGTAGTGGCACACACCTGTGGTTCCAGCTACTTGGGAGGCTGAGGTGGGAGGATTACGTGAGCCCAGGAGGTCGTGGCTGCAGTGAGCCATGATCTCACCACTGCGCTCCACCCCGGCAACAGAGCGAGACCCTGTCTCAAATAATAATAATAATAATAATAATAATAAAACTTAGTCTTGAGATCTTATTGCTCTTATTGCCTGACTAAGGAGGTTCTGGGTAGGGAGTTCATTTTAGATCTGCTTTTTTTGTTTGTTTTTGTTCTCATCAAAAACTACCTTTGCAATCTCATGTTTCTCTTGGGCCCTCTTTAATGGCCTAACTTCTTCAAAGCATGATTTTCTTTTAGTTCCTCAAGGTGGCTTTGGAGAAAAGTCTGGCAACTGTGGAGACCCAGAACCCATCTTTGCCTTGAGAATGCAGAGCTGAAAGAGCAGAAATGTCTGAGGGATGGGAGATTGAGGAAGACAAGGAGAAGGGCAAGGTGGTGGTTGAGACTGTGGTTGCCAAAGAGGGTCTGAGTGAGAGTAGTCTTCAGGCTGAGTTCAGAAAGCTCCAGGGAAAACTGAAGAATGCCCACAATATCATCAACCTCCTCAAGAACAACTTGTGCTGAGTAGCAAAGAAGGGAATAGTAAACTTACTCCAGAGCTCCTTGTGCATCTGACCAGCACCATCGACAGAATAAACACAGAACTGGTTGGTTCTCCTGGGAAGCACCAACACCAAGAGGAGGGGAATGTGACTGTGAGGCCTTGCCCCAGACCCCAGAGCCTTGACCTTGGGGCTACCTTCACAGTGGATGCCCACCAAGTCAATGTAGGCTTAGATGGAATGAAAAACCACTGGAGAAGGGCTCGAGATGACAGTGTTTACTTTAAAACGTTCTCCCATGTGAATCAAGAGGTACCAAGAGAAAGGTCTCTTTGTACCACAAACAACAGTAATAATATTCAGCCTACATTCAGCCTTTAGAAAGCCTTTTACAATATAAATATTTCTTGAGTACTTGATTTTTCAGATAACACACTAGGCATTGGCATGGGGCGATAAAACCAATGGCTGCCCTTGAGATACTTAATATGGTAAGGAAAGATGGCACATAAACAGGTAATTTTAATAGGAGGGGGTAACTGCTGTAACATAGGGATGCATCAGGTTATGAGGCAGCCCAGACAAGTAGTATGTAATGACATCCCTTCCTTATCAATGCCATTTTTTTTTTTTTTTTTGGTCACAGCTCATCACAGGTGTCTGTTCCTGGACCTCAGATGGGTTATTGGGATCCTGTTTAGGGGAGGAGCCATGCTGAAGATTCAGTAAAATGGGGAATACAGGGGATTCTGAGAGAATCGATGGCACAGAATGTGAGGGGAGATGAGTGGAGGGTTCCACCCCTTCTCTTTTTGACCACTGAGAAAACGTTTCCTAAGAGCTCCTCTGTAGACTTGATTGGCGCTGTGCTGTGTGCTGTGGATACAGATATGAAGAAAACATTATCCCAGCACTCCAGGAGCTCCATCTGGAAAGCAAGTCACTGCCAAATGGCATGAGAAGTGCTGTGACAGACTTGAGTATCAAGTCCACGGGGTTCACAACGGGCCGTGGTCATCACTGCATGGGGGTGGCCTCGGACTGTCCTGATCCTTGTCTTGGCCCCTTTCACAGTTGGAGAACCAGTCCCAGCCTTGTGACACTGGGCCCAATCAGCGTTTAGCCCACCAGGGTCCACCCAGCACCTGCGCTCCCAGCTGTCACAATGCAAACAACGCTATCAAGATCTCCAGGAGAAGCTGCTGCTATCAGAAGCCACTGTCTTTGCTCAGGCGAACGAGCTGGAGAAATACAGAGTTATACTTAGTAGGTAACTATGACTTACTAGTAAAGAACTAGCCTGTACGTCTTATAAGCTCTGTATGTTCTATACAGACATAACGTGGTTATTGAGCACATGAAGTGTGGCTAGTGCAACTTGGACATTTGGTTTTATTTAATTTTAGTTAATTTAGTATAAAGTGGCCATATGTGGCTACTAACTACCTTATTGGACAGTGCAGGTCTAGGTGTCTTGGGACTCTAAATTAGTTCAGCTCCATTCAACATTTATTGAACCCCTGCTGATAAAGCACTTGCCAGCTTCAATGGGGCTGCTAGAGATGAGAGTACACAATCCCTGACTTACAGATACCTTGTCCCAACTAAGGCCTAGGTTATCTGAAGGGGAGATTATCAATGGCAAATGCAGGCTCCTCCTGTGGAAAGAAATTCTGCTTCCTGGAGCTGGTGGTCTCTTCTCCCACCAGTTCAAAGAAGCTTCTCTCGCACTGTGGATCTGCCCTCCCTGCCCCACAAGGTTAGGGTATGTGCCATTGAGGCTGAGGGCATATGTGGGAAATTCAGACATTCTGTAACACCTGCTGTCTCTTCCCACGCAGGTGAACCCTTGCTGAAGCAGGACAGTAAACAGGTCCGGGTGGACCTCCAGGACCTGGGCTACGAGACTTGTGGCCAAAGCAAGAATGAGGCTGAACAGGAGGAAACCACCAGTCCCGGTAAGAGCACAGGGTGTGGGGCTCACCTTCCCTCCCTGGAGTCAGCTATCACATTTGGGTGCTGTTGGCCAATTCCACACCTGACAAGTAGTGGGGAAGAGGAGGACAGGAGGTTAATAGGAGAACTCTTACCCAAAATGAGGCTGAGTATAAGTTTGAATTTCTACAATTAGTTTGTGGCACACTGCTAATAATAATAATAAAAATAATAATAATAATAATAATAATAATATAAAGTTCTAGCCAACTGATTATTATAGAAATACTAAGGCCTACTTAGAGACCACATGAGGTTTTGGAAACATGCAAACCGTAAGTTAAAAATAATTTTGTTTTGCATTATAAAAGGACTACAACCATAGGGCCACCCACCACATTGAAAACCAGAAGAGCATTTTGCTGCCGCCGAGCGTGGACGCAGGCGGATCTCTGAAGAGTTGGGTCGCCAGCCTCTCCCGCGCACGTTGCCTGGCCTCCAGCACCTACTTGGTCCCGCGCGCTCCCTCGTGTCGCCCCTCGGAGCAGCAGCCGCCGCGGTCGCCGCTACCCGGAAAGAAGTCAGAGACGCCGCGAGGTCGCCGCCACCGCCATGCCCAAGAATAAAGGTAAAGGAGGTAAAAATAGACGCAGGGGTAAGAATGAGAATGAATCTGAAAAAAGAGAACTGGTATTCAAAGAGGATGGTCAGGAGTATGCTCAGGTAATCAAAATGTTGGGAAATGGACGGCTAGAAGCAATGTGTTTCGATGGTGTAAAGAGGTTATGTCACATCAGAGGAAAATTGAGAAAAAAGGTTTGGATAAATACCTCGGACATTATTTTGGTTGGTCTCCGAGACTACCAGGATAACAAAGCTGATGTAATTTTAAAATACAATGCAGACGAAGCTAGAAGTCTGAAGGCATACGGCGAGCTTCCAGAGCATGCTAAAATCAATGAAACTGATACATTTGGTCCTGGAGATGATGATGAAATTCAGTTTGATGACATTGGAGATGATGATGAAGATATTGATGACATCTAAATTGAACTCAACATTTTACATTCCATCTTTTCTGAAGATTGTCCTACAATTTGGATTTTGATCATGACAAAGAAGATTAAAATTTCATTAGCATGAATGCAATTTGTTAAAGCAGACTGATTTGTTTCTAAGATATTTTTGGTTTTTTTAAAACTGATAATAATGCTGAATTATCTTAAGTGAGATGTTAAGCCCACTTTGTTCTTTTAATGTAATGGAGCTTATGGGTAGAAGACCATGTCTACTAATTACAAAAAAAAAAAAAAAAAAAACCATGCATTGCTGCTTTTCCTACCACTTCCAGTAAGAAAATGGGTGTTTTGAAGAAATCATTTGCCTTGTCCTCACGGAATCTGATTAAGCCCTGGCCTCTTGATTGTATAGAGTCATTGTGTATATTCCAGTTACCTAGATATTCCCTTGAGATTTTGATACAATTTGAGGGAGGCAGAAGTCTGCATTTGAAGAAAAAAAATAAGTCTGTTTGTCATATTTAAGTAGCCTGTGGCTATTTTTATACTGATTTTGATATCATGTTCTTTTCATAGTCGTATTTTGCCACCGTAAACATAAAAAAAAAAAAAAAAGATTTCCAAAATGCCGTTTTCAGAACCTGGGTTTTAATAGCAGTATTGAATTTGTAAGCTTAGTAGTTGCAGAAATTGAACACTAGGTGGCACTCAGTTATCTTAACAGGGGAAGTACTGATATAATTGTTGACTTTTCTTTTACTATGTGTAAGAAATACCCCAAACATGAAAAGATTGTTTTGATCATATGCATGTATGTAGAATATTTTTGCAGAGCAGAAAGATTATGTTAGAAGTGTGATTTTTATTTTCAGAAGTCATATACATGTAAGCTACAATTTTGAGTGCTTTATAAACACTTAAGATATATATATAAATTTTAATTTCATAGCAACTTGTAAAAAATAAAATACTTGTTGAAAAGCCTTTTTCAACATATCCCTAAGCTAAGGGAAGAGGAAGGAATAACAACTCAGTGAAAAGATGGTCTCCAATTTCTGAATGAAAAAGCTACAGCTGAGAAATAAAATAAAATGTCATGCTGCAGAATATGTTATACCCTTATTTTGTGTTAAGGATATATTTTATTATGTGAATGGTTTTGTTTTTGTTTTTTGTTTTTGTTTTTTGCTTGTATTGGGAATTAGCTTTACTGGTAACTTCCTTATTTAGTTTTTAGTGGTCAACTCTAATAAAATGAAACTAGGGCTGAGCTAGTTAGCCCTCACTAGCCAAACTGAAACTGTATGCAACATTAAAAGAAGAGATCCATCATGTAGCTTGTGACACTTTTATTTTATTAGTCACCGGGGAACTTTTCAGTGATGAAAATACACAGGGTAATAAACCTTCACATGGCTTCAAAAGGAAAACAAGCAAATCTTCTCTAATCTACTCTTACTATAATTTCCTAAGTGTACACCAAACTCTGGATTTAAAAATCTGAAGTACTATAGAACATTAAGTTGAAGAATGGAAATTAAGAGTACATATTCATGGTTTATATTTCTTACTCTATGGAGTTCGTGAACACATCTAGGTGGAATGCATCTGAGACTAAGGGCTGGTTTTTAATCCTCATAAGAAACCAGCCTTGAAGAATTAACAATTCTCTTCATTGGTATTCTAAACCTCCTAAGATATTTAGGCTTCTGTACATAAAAGTGTTTTTGCTAAATTTACAGTATATATAGATCCTTTCATATTATTTTACTAAGAATGTTTGAACTTTGCATATTTGACATAGTTCCTGGTAGGAATAGCACAGCTCAAACATTAGTTTTTCTACTTACCTCCTCTAACACGTGGTTTGTCTGGAGAGTTTCTAAAAATTCAGCTATAACCCCAGTTCATGTATTTACTGGTGATTGTTCTTGCTGAGGTAGTAACAGCCCAATCTTGGGCTGTTAAATCCTAGGAAATCTCGAATCATAGTGATTAAAATAGTTGGGGTAAAGTTGTAGCTTATATGCAATACTACTTGGAGGAATTCTTTTACTAATTTGTATTTAATGTGGAAATTGTATAGTTTCATTGATTTAATCATAAATAATGGAAATGGTCTTCAAGAAGTTTTATTTCATTTTTTTGCTTATACACTCTGATTCCTATAATACAGTGCTATAAGCTATGCACAGAAAATAAAATGTTTGAAATCCAAGAATAATGGTTCTTACTGCTAAGAGGGAGTAATAGTTATTACTAATGATTTTGATTGGGTTGCATTTTTGTTGCAATGTTTATTCCACTTGCAGTTAGAATATGAATATGTTTTATCACTAATGTGGCTAAATAACCAAACATTTGTGTAAAAAAAAAAAAAAAGCCAAGATTTCATTGTTTGTTGAATATTTCTTAAGCATCTAGCCCCTAAAGAGACTGCTTCTTACCAAGCCTGTAAACTATGCATGATGGAAATTCTTGTATTTTATTTAGGAATGGCTGTTGGTTTACTTACCACATCTGTGGAATCATGGCTATAAATGTTTGCTTACAAACTAAAAAAAAAAAAAAAAAAAAAAAAAAAAAAAAAAAGAAAACCAGAAGAGAAGAAAAACACAGTCTCTCTCATTCTTGAGGAAGTGTAGTGTGGCAGTTAAGAGAAAAGATCCTGGGGCCAGACTTGTTGCTTCAAATCCCAATTTGTAAACTTTCCTATGCCCCAGTTTCTTCATATGTTAAAATAGTAATAAAGGAACTACCTACCCCATCAGATACTAATGTGAATTAAATGAGTAAATTCTTATAAAATGCTTTAGAACAGTGTCTGGCATCAGGTAAAATGCTGTGGATTAGTTCTCATTCTGACTACCACTGCCCCAATACACTGATGTTAACATGCTGATATATTTATTCGAAGTCTTATTTTCCTATGCCTATTTTTCACACAGTGGTAACCCAATAAACTTTTAAATTATAGTAAACTTTAGAGAGCATTAAACTTGCAGCATGCAGAAATAGCTTGTCCTGCGTTCTTGTGGCTATCCTAACTAGATAAGGCCATGTTAATGGCTTGAGAAACATCAGTGTGTGTGGAATGAACACAGGACGTTGGAGGATTTGAATTCAGGCTCTGCCATGTGCTAGTTTGAGTGATCTAGAACAAGCTGGTTTACCACCTCTCTTTAAGTTTTGGTTTCCCCAGTCAGTAAAATAGAAAGTGGTGAAACCTAACTTGTGGGTATAAGGAGGATAAGAAATACTGTATTTGAATGCCTAGTACAGTGTCAGGGTTGAATAAAGTACGACTTCACCTTATTCCCTAGTAATTATTGTCCTCATGACCAAACCTGCCTCCTCTCAAAGGCAGTGGCCACAACAGCACATCCAACTTTTATTTAGGAAGACATCTTTGTCTTTTTTCAGAGCATGAGGAGCACAGCAGCCGCAAGGAAATGGTCCTGGTGGAGGGGCTGTGCTCTGAGCAGGGGCGCCGGGGCTGAACGCTGGCTAGTTCCTCTGAGAGGAAGCCCTTGGAGAATGAACTAGGGAGGCAGGAAGAGTTCTGGGTATATGGAAAGTCAGAAAACATCTGGGTCCTATGAAAGGACATCAAAGATCTGAAGGCCCAGCTGCAGAATGCCAACAAGGTCATTCAAAACCTCAAGAACCGGGTCCAGTCCCTCTTGGTTACAAGTGATTATTCATCTAGTCTGGAAAGACCCTGGAAGCTGAGAGCTCCTGACACCCTGGAGGGGTCTTCACCTCATAGTGTCACTGATGAGGATGAGTTGTGGCTGTCTGATGGCACTGGGGCTTTCTACTCTCCAGGACTTCAGGCCAAAAAGGACCTGAAGAGTCTCCTCCAGAGAGTATCCCAGCTGGAGGCCCAGCTCCCAAAAAATTTATCTAGGGACATATAATTAACATATATATAACAGTTGAAGAACAGTGGCATGGTAAATTTTTGTTTTGTTTTGTTTTGATACAGAGTCTCACTCTGTCACCCAGGCTGGAGTGCAGTGGTGCCATCTCGGCTCACTGCAACCTCTACCTCCCAGGTTCAAGCAATTCTCCTCCCTCAGCCTCCCAAGTAGCTGGGATTACAGGCATGTGCCACCATGCCCAGCTAATTTTTGTGTGTGTTTTTAGTAGAGGAGGGGTTTCACCATATTGGCCAGGCTTGTCACGAACTCTTGACCTATGATCTGCCTGCCTCAGCCTCCCAAAGTGCTGGGATTACAGGCATGAGCCACCACGCCCGGCCCATACTAAAATTTTTAGTGCGATACTTTATCAGGGTAGAATTTACTGTTAAATGCCTCCTATGGCTTATGTGCCAGAATTCAGTTTGGGGGAGTTCCTTAGAGATGTTCTCATAGAAATCTCTACAGAAGCCCCCATAACTTATCATCCACCCTTTCCTCTTCTGTCCTGCATTAGGAAATATGATTCCCTGATTCAGGATCAGGCCCGGGAACTGTCTTACCTACGGCAAAAAATACGAGAAGGGAGAGGTGTTTGTTATCTTCTCACCCAGCATGCAAAAGATACAGTAAAATCTTTTGAGGATCTCCTAAGGAGCAATGACATTGACTACTACCTGGGACAGAGCTTCCGGGAGCAACTGGCCCGGGGAAGCCAGCTGACAGAGAGGCTCACCAGCACACTCAGCACCAGTAAGTTGGCCACAGGGCTTTGGATACTCTCAGTCACCCCACAGTTCCAGCCCCTGGTGGCCACCACATCTCCACTGCAACTTTTTAACGTAGGGTCCTGTTTCTATTTCATTTCCTGGGGCTAATATAGGATCAAGACTGCTCAATGGGGAGCATGGAGAGGAACACACAGGGCTGGAGATGCCATGGTTACAACTCTAGAAACTTCACCACTCATGGAATGTGACCTGTGGGGCAGGGGAGACATCTCTCTGGTGCTAAGAGGGAGTAGGGGACATGACATGGAAGGGCCTTGTTATAGGAGGAAGAGCCGTGAGCTAAGAATTGCAAGACATCGAGGCGCTGAGGCCAAAGGGTCCGTGAGGAAACAGGCGCAGCTCACGCCCCTCGGCCTACGGGAGGGAGGGCAAGGAGGGTTCTACGGTTCCTGGGAGGACGAGAAGAGCCAAGAGCCCCGACGGCCGGCGCCGGGGAAAAGGCCCCGAGGCGGGGTCCGCATCCCTGGAAGGGCGGCGTCCACCCTCCTGAGAGGCACGGGGCGCCCAGGGCTCGGACGCTCAAAGCCCGCCGGCTCCTGCAGCTTCTGGGAGCCGAAGAGTGTCAGCCGGGAGGATCCCGCACACGGCGCTTAGTTCTGGAACTGCATACCCAGGGGAGGATGCGGGAGCCCGAAGCCCGGGTATGTGTCCCCGAAGCCCGGGTGTGGGTCCCCATGGTTTTCGTGTTGGGGGTGGGCGCGGAACGCTAAGCCTGGGCCTATTGGGAGCCATAGTCTTCTTGATGGCTGGTGCTTATTGGGCTTTTTTCAGTCGAATTTCGAAATGCAGTTGAATTTCTTACTTTGGAAACGATAATAGAAATGGCTGATCTAAGATTTTCATGATGATATTTTGCCTTTTTTGGTGCATATGCAGTTTCTGTGGTGTAGTGGTTATCATGTTCGCCTCACACGAGAAAAGTCCCTGATTCGAGACTGGGTGGGAACGTCGTGGTTTGTTTTTTTTTTTTTTTGTTTGTTTGTTTTTTTGGTCCCTAAATTTAGTGAGTTTAATCGAGGTTGGGAAACAAACAGAAAAGTATTTGAACCTGTGGCTACATTTTAGACCTCCTCAATCTAGACAGATTGTTGACCAGGTACAATTTCCACTGGTCTGCCAGCAAGAGGCCTGCTTAATATTAGCTTTGGTTCCAGAAATTCCTTAAGATTCTCTTTATTCTCTTCTGTCGCCTGAATTTTCACAGGCTGACACTGAAAGTGGATGACATCTTAGCGCATTTCCTAAGGGTCCCGCTTGGTTTGGCTTTACTCTGGTAAGTTGCAGATCTGGCTGATTTGCAAGACAACAAAAACAAAATATTTTTTAAAAAGGTTCTAAATCTGCATCTGGAAGTCATAGAGTCCATATTCCTAAATCACATGAATTATGTATATACATTTGCATGCATACCCCTTCCTCAAATAATCCTCAGAAAACCGGTTAAGTTTTAGCATCTGTGACTCAGATGCATATGAGGCCTTGGTAGATTTAGAAGTTGAGAGTAGAAAGTACAGGTTTGTATTTTAGAAGGAGATTTGGGAATAAATGTAGCTTTGGTTGATATAGATCATATGTTAAGGTTTGTTGGCCAGAGCTGGTGTGTGTCTTGGGTGTTGGGCAAAGAACAGAGAACAGCCAAAGCTCTGCGAGGTCAATGTGAAGGATGATTTCCTTGGTGGGCTCAAGTTTATGACTCAGCCTGGACCTAGCTTGGCTTCTCAGCTTGAGAAGAAGCATGATTCCATGTCACAGCTCCTGTCTTTGAAAAAGTCATAATGACTCCCAGACCCAACATGTGGAGAAAACTCTGGATTTGTCTCTTCAGTTGAATGTCTCCATTGAAAATTGAGGAAAGAAATCTCTCTAATATTTGAACTTCATCAAAAGACTAATATGTTAATATTTGACCGTCAATATTTCCTTAAACTAGTCTACTGCTTACATAGCTAACACATCAAAGCATATTAACTTAGGAAATGGGATTCTCCCAAACAATGAAACATTGACGGCAAGCGTTCTTCATCTTTTCACATCACATTTCCTTCAAATGCTTTATACATCTTCAAGCAGACAAATAATAGTATTATAATGATTACGAGACCGATCATTACTCTTTTGCCAAAAAAAACCAACGACAAAAGACTAACTTAGTGGACCAACCTTTGTTTCTTCATTATCTCTACCGTGGTTCTGTCCTTTTATTTCGTCTTTCTTCTAATTCTGCTTCTGCTTCTTATTTCCTCCCTGGATTTGAACTTTACTTACCTAAACTACCAGTTAGGTTACCTTCTCAGAACCTCTAAGGCAGCAGTTTGAGGTTGATGATGGAAGATTTAGGATTAGAAAAAAGAAACATGAATGAATTTCTGATGTTTTATTATAGGGGTTTGTAATGCAGGTAGAAAGACCTTTTTCAGAGTTAAGAGTTTGATCCGACAAATGAGCTATTTTGATATTTATAACGTTGTCTAATAAAAGTTTCCTATAAAAACACATTTGGTTTGGATGTCTTTGTTAGCTTTTAGTCGACACTTGAAAAAACCGCTTAGAACAGTTTCTAAATCTTTGTGGTTACTCTTTTCTGTTATCCTCCAGGGGGTAGTTCCAGAGAGGCGTTGGTGGTTTAGTGGTAGAATTCTCGCCTCCCATGCGGGAGACCCGGGTTCAATTCCCGGCCACTGCACGTGGTTGTTTTTCACTTCGCTATGGCTCTTTACTTGTCTTTTACGCTGAAAATTATACTGCATAACCCAAGAGTGCATTTAGGGGCTTGGCCACCACAAGGTAAAGTGACAACAACACTCACCAAAGTAGCGGCAGGAGACTAACCCAGGACCCCATGCAGTTGTTGGACTCAAACAGCTTAGCAAGCTGGCAAGCATGAAGTGTCTCTGGTGAGTCACTGCAGTTTTGATACTGGTACCTGTTACTTTCATTTATTCACTGGAAGGATCCCTGCAAACCCAAAGAACCATCAGTTTCCTGATTCGCGTGCTGGACCTTGGGCTTACCGTTGAGCCACTATGGAGAGGATCAAGAAATGACACTCTTGGAAGGAGAGAAGCTGCGGGCAGGACAGTCACCTCAGAGGTCCAAGAGTTGTCATCGGCCCAAAGAAAGGGGAGGTGTGTGGGCAAGAATCTGCGTGGAGATGAGGGGAGCGGCGGAGACTGGTCCTTGCGCAGAGGTGGCCAGTGAACCCTCAGGGCTGTACCCCAGACACCGTGAATCGAATTTGCTCACATCATCAGCGACCGCAGCCTCCGCGTGTTTTGTGGGCCCATCGGTGTTCCGCGAGGGATTCCGTGTGTCTGGCAATGTGTGTCAACAGGTGTTGGCCTGAAATTTGGCCGGGCACGTTGGCACACGCCTGTAATCCCAGCATTTTGTGAGGCCAAGGCGGATGGATCGCTTGAGGTCAAGAGTTCAAGACCAGCCTGGCTAACATGGAAAAATCCCGTCTCTACTAAAAATACAAAAATTAGCCGAATGTGGTGGCATGCACCTGCTATTCTTGGGACGCTATACTTGGGACGCTGAGGCAGGAGAATCGCTTGAACCCAGGAGGCAAAGGTTGCAGTGAGCCAAGATCGCGCTACTGCACTCCACCTGGGCGACAGAGCGAGACTCCGTCAAAAAAAAAAAAAAAAAAAAAAGCAGCGAAAGAAGGCAGAGATGTCAATGGGACAAAGAGACCTCCCAGGAGGCTTGTTGTAGAGGCAGTGGCTGGATCCTGAGAGAAGAGATTTTTTTTAAATTATGTAGCAGAATGGGGAGAGAAAGGGAGAAGCACATGAAAGACAGAAAAGCACAAAAATCTGCGGACGTCCTAGAATAAACCAGATAAAATAGTGTGAGTGTTTTTACATTAAAAAAATAGAAGAAGTGCAATGGTTGTCAGCAGACTTTGTGGTCGTGTAGTGGTTAATACTTGTAGTTGTGGTTGCCACAACCTCTGTTCTAATCTGAGTCACAGTAGTGTTTTCTATCCTGCAACTGTGGCTAATAGACCTGTCGTTTGCTTTGCCTTTAATCCTAGCAGCCTCCAGAGAGCACAGGAAACCTCTGGCCCTGAAGGGCGCCAGCTTCTGGAGTTTAGCCCACAGCGCAGAAACTAGGGGGCGGCCTGGCCTATAGGAAAACTTGGACATGCTCTTTGTCTCACAATTGAGCAGGAAACATTCCCGTAGGTGAAGATGCCGCCTCTCAAGGGCCCTCTGTCTGTAGCTTCCAGTGATGAAATAATGCGGTTATAGTCTTTTTCGGTAGAGAAAACGGCTGTATCAGTGGAATTTTTTAAAAACACAAAATGAGAACGAGTTTTTCATGAGTTGACAATAAAATCTAAACTAGTTGTCATGGTTTGCACCGGCTTGCCTCCATTCCCCATCCGCTAATTTTTATGAGAACAGTAAATTATTACTATTATTATTATTATTGAGATGTAGTCTCGTTCTGTCACCCAGGCTGGAGTGCCATGGCTCAATCTCAGTTCACTGCAACCTGTGTCTCCCAGGTGCAAGCAATGAGAACAGGGATCCAGTTTCAGCTTTCAACATATGGCTAGCCAGTTTTCCCAGCACCATTTATTAAATAAGGAATCCTTTCCCCATTTCTTGTTTTTGTCAGGTTTGTCAAAGATCAGATAGTTGTAGATGTGTGGCATTATTTCTGAGGGCTCTGTTCTCCTCCATTGGTCTATATCTCTGTTTTGGTACCAGTACCATGCTGTTTTGGTTACTGTAGCCTTGTAGTATCATTTGAAGTCAGGTAGCGTGATGCCTCCAGCTTTGTTCTTTTGGCTTAGGATTGACATGGCGATGCGGGCTCTCTTTTGGTTCCATATGAACTTTAAAGTAGTTTTTTCCAATTCTGTGAAGAAAGTCATTGGTAGCTTGATGGGGATGGCAGGGAATCTATAAATTACCTTGGGCAGTATGACCATTTTCACGATAGTGATTCTTCCTACCCATGAGCGTGGAATGTTCTTCCATTTGTTTGTATCCTCTTTTATTTTGTTGAGCAGTGTTTTGTAGTTCTCCTTGAAGAGGTCCTTCACATCCCTTGTAAGTTGGATTCCTAGGTATTTTATTCTCTTTGAAGCAATTGTGAATGGGAGTTCACTAATGATTTGGCTCTCTGTTTGTCTGTTATTGGTGTATAAGAATGCTTGTGATTTTTGCACAAGAATTTTGTATCCTGAGGAGTCATTTTTAAAATAAATATATTGCAAATGACTTTTCCCAGTCAGTGAAAAGTCTGACTGAAAGCTGTCAACTGAAAAATCACACAATTTATAAATTTAGAAGGGAGATTTTATTTTTTATAAAGGGTTACAGCCTGCAAGGTGGCCATTCTGACAGACAGGGAGGCATACCCTCTTGCTGCTGAAACCTGAAAAGTACGTTTCCAGGGAGGGGAGGGGGGAACAGGGATTTATGTTGATGTGGTGGGCCACATATACATATTCAACAGGGAATAGGAGGAGCTCTGAATATTCATGAAGGGATCCTGCTGCATGCATGCTGAGTAAACATGCCTGTTACATGCAACCCATGTTCACTTTGGGGTGGAGACAACATTTAAATACATTATAATTAGGCCCTATGCTTCAAAAGGGGAAGCAGGGACACAAAGGCAGTCAAGTGCACAGCCTCTGTAAACCGTCCAGAACCCGTCCACAGCCAGTGCTCTCTTATCAAGGGGAAGTTACTGAAATCAGTCTCTTGTCCAATCAAAGCTGTAGTTATGGCTTGTGTAGGGAGGGCTCAGTCAGTTTATGGTAATGGGTGAGCTGCAAGTGCTTCAGCATTGCTTATCTCAAGGCCAGTGCTTGTTTAGCTAGAGAAAAAAAGGAAGAAGAAAAAGACCTGTGGCAATTAGAACATAGTTTATTCTTTAAGTTGAGGGGCGCATGACTCCACCTTGCCTGGCGTGGCCTTAGGTCTCGTTTATCATACCGTATCTTCCTACTGCAAGGAGTCTGTTCTGTCAGTCTTAGGATCTCTATTTTAACAATAATGCTGGTCAGTTGTGTCTAAACCACAAAGGGAGAGAGTATAAGGAGAGGTGTCTGAGATTCCAACTACTGGGCAGGAACTCAGTATTTAAGACTTCTCTGGGGTCTCCTTGGCCAAGAAGCAGTCTGTCCAGTGGCTTTGGATTTTAATTTTAGTTCTCAAAGCATTTAATTAGATGAAATTTTGCCATATTTTTTCTTTTTTTTTTTTTTTTGAGACGGAGTCTCGCTCTGTCGCCCAGGCCGGACTGCGGACTGCAGTGGCGCAATCTCGGCTCACTGCAAGCTCCGCCTCCCGGGTTCACGCCATTCTCCTGCCTCAGCCTCCCGAGTAGCTGGGACTACAGGCGCCCGCCACCGCGCCCGGCTAATTTTTTGTATTTTTAGTAGAGACGGGGTTTCACCTTGTTAGCCAGGATGGTCTCGATCTCCTGACCTCAGGATCCACCCGCCTCGGCCTCCCAAAGTGCTGGGATTACAGGCGTGAGCCACCGCGCCCGGCCTTTTTTCTTTATTTTTAAAGCCTGTTATGTTCTATAAGAAATCTTTCTACTCAGGATAGTGAATGTATTCTCTTAATTTTATCTCTCTATGAGTTCCAGCGTTTTAGTTTTAATTTTTAAATTGATGACATCTAAAATTCTACTCCTAACCAAAACATTCCTGGGGGTGACCAAGGACAACTCCAAAAATCTTCCATAAATGGAAGTAAGACTTACTCCTTAAAGAACTTACTGGGATCCGGGCCTGCAGGGCACAGTGGCTTTAGTGCACCTCTGCTCTTAAGACTATTCAGAAATTGTCTTTGTGAACCCATCAGGCTGTTTCAAAATCAGCAATTTAGGGCTTGCTTGCAACATGCAGTTATGCAGCAGCTGTTTTGTGGATCTGGTGAGTGCCTGCACGCATAGTTCCCTGGGAATTTTCTAAATTTGAATTCTCTTGGTATTTCAAGTGGCTCAGTTGTCTCTTTCTTTTCTTTTCTTTTCTTTTCTTTTTTTTTTTTTGAGTCAGAGTCTTGCTCTGTCACCCAGGCTGGAGTGCAGTGGCTGGAGTGCAGTGGCGCGATCTCAGATCACTGCAAGCTCCGCCTCCCGGGTTCACGCCATTCTCCTGCCTCTGCCTCCCCAGTAGCTGGGACTACAGGCACCCGCCACCACGCCCGGCTACTTTTTTGTATTTTTAGTAGAGACGAGGTTTTACCGTGGTCTTCATCTGACCTCGTGATCCGCCCGCCTCGGTCTCCCAAAGTGTTGGGATTACAGGCGTGAGCCACCGCGCCCGGCCAGTTGTCTCTTTCTTTTGCCTACTGCCACACACGTACCACCAAATCCTGCACTCCAAGCTGCTTCTACACCCTGGACTCCCAACCTCCAGTTAGACAATCCACATCTTCCCACACCTGCCTCAGGCTCCATCAGGCTACTGTGCCTCCTGCAGCAACCAGGCCAGGGGGAATCTGGATTCCTATTACACTTCTGAGGAAGGTGGTCAGGGAGTGTGGAGGATGTGGGTGGGAGGGGGTGAGGTTGAGGGCAGGAGTACACTGTGGTCTTCTGTCTTCTACCTCATTGGCCCAGGTGCTGCTCTCCCTCCGGTTGTCTGCTTTCAGCCCTGCCTGGGAAATCAGGCCGGCGCCCTGATCTTCCTGACTCTCATTTTGTGAGGAACCTGAACGGATGAGCCATCGCTCTTGTCCCACACGTTCTGTCCAAAAGGTGCCCTCCTCTCTGCTTGCTCGGGGGCCTGCCCTCTGAGCTCTGGCACTCAGGCTGGGATGCCGCCCAGTACAGAGGCTCTGCAGCCCTGCAGGGGTCTGACTGTTCCACACCAGCAGGATAAAGGCCACAGGGCATGCTGTGGTGGAAAAGCATTCAGAGGTGTGGGCTGAAGGCCTCTCTTTCCACAGTCCCTTTGAAGACACCATGGAAGTAGGCACCCCCTTGACAGACAAGGTGGCCCAAGGCCTGGCTTCACATGCAGGCTCTTGGGTCCCAGCGGGTCCTCTCTGTGCCTGGTATAGCCAACTGCTTCACGCATCTTACCCGGTTTCCTCTCCTCCACAACCCAAGCTCCTCCTCGACCCCCTTGCTCAGCTGTCCTCAGGACAGCAAGATCCCCAGCCCTTGGAAAAGCCCATCTCTAGTGCTTGGGGAGGGAGTTGGGTTCAGGTGGTCTAACCACAGAAGAACAGAGAACCTGAGGCAGGAGGAAATCCCTTCCCTTGCTGGGTCTCTTGGCACAGCCCATCCAGGGGTCTGGGTCAGGGTCCAGGTATACTCTACCCTCCTTGAGGACCTGGGTTTTCAGGCCCCCGAGGTTGGTCAATGTGGAGTCTTTCCCACTGTTCATCTGGGAACTGAAGGAATATCCCATGGGGCCCTCTCTTACTCATTAGAGACACCCAGAAAATACTCCATCCAGCAGAAACTGGGTGCAGTGTACCAGACCACTATAATTATAATTGCAGGGTGTGGAGGTCAGATACGTTTTGTGGGTATTTTCTCTCTGTCTGTGGCTTGCTTGCCTTTTCGCTTTCTTAGTGGTATCTTTTGATGAGAAGGTGTGGCTAATGTTGATGAAGTCTCATTTATCATGTCTTTCTTATATATGTATTTTTTCTGTGTCCTGCTTGTTGGTAGGCTAATCTTTGCCTGCCAACAAGTCACAAAGTATCCTTGAAATGCTTTATATCTTTAACTTTTAAGTTTTGGTGTGTAATGCGGCTGAAATTACTTTTGTGTGTAATGTGAGGGAGAATAACATTGTTGGTTTCCCCACATCCATATAGAAGTTCATTAATTGAAATGATTTATTTTCTTTTATTGAACTACTTTTACTGAAAACCCATTTATTGACCGTATAGCTGTGGATCAATTTCAGGTTTTCTAACTCAGGCTGTTTATCCGTTTGTCACTCTTGATGCCTTGTGTCTAATAGCTTATAGTAAACCTTAAAGTCAGATAGTACAAGTCCTTGTTCTTTTTCACACATTGCAATAAATTTTGAAATAGATAATAACTCATGAAACCATCACACACATCAGGATATGCTGTCACTTCATCCCTTTCTGACATGGTTTGGCCGTGCCCTCACCCAAATCTCAACTTGAATTGTATCTCCCAGAATTCCCATGTGTTGTGGGAGGGACTTAGGAGGAGGTAATTGAATCATGGGGGCGGGTCTTTCCTGTGCTATTCTCCTGATAGCCAGTAAGTCTCACTATCTGATGGGTTTCTCAGGGGTTTCTGCTTTGGCTTCTTCCTCATTTTCTCTTGCTGCTGCCTTGTAAGAAGTGCCTTTTGCCTCCCGCCATGATTCTGAGGCCTCCCCAGTCATATGGAAATGTAAGTCCAATTAAACCTCTTTTTGGTCCTGGACTCTGTTATGTATTTGTCAGCAGCATGAAAACGGACTAATACACTCTCATTTCTGAGTGGGATACATGCTGTCACTCACATATGCTGGTTGCTGACTTGTGACGGAAGATTCTCTATTGTACCCTCTGGGGACAATACATCTCCAGTTGCCTGCGGGGAGGATGAACCCTCAAGAGTCAATGTGTTGACTGACTTTAAATATGGGTTCCTGGTGCTCCATGCTCATGCAGCCATAGGGAAGGAAAGGGGACTATCAAGAGCCAAGGGATCCCCCATACGACTTTACTCAGATCTTGGAACTTTTAGATGCTGTCCAACTCCCAAAGAAATAACAATTACTCACTGCAGGGGACACCAGAAGGGAGACACTTTTATTATTAGAGGAAATTCCCTGGTGGAAAGAGCAGCTAAGGCCACAACTAAGGAAACCCTGGTATTTCAAGCTGCTGCGCTACTACCAGGTACTGCATCCGTGTCAGTGACACCATACTATACCCCTAAGGAAATTAAAGGGACTGAGTAAAAGGCTTCCAGGGAGACCCCTCTGGATGGTTGCTACAAAAGAACAAACTCTATTCCTGAGGCTGACAGATGGGAAATAATTAAACATTTTCATGATTCCTCACATTTGGGACGGGATTTTCCATTCAAATTAGTTTCCTAAATATTCTTCGGGAAGGGACTGTTCTAAACTATAAAAAGGGTTACCACTCAGGAAGCCACCCCATACCCCGATCCCTGCTTAAACCTGTACAACACCAAGGAACATACCATGGTGAAGACTGGCAGACAGACTTAACCCAGATGCCACCTTACAGGGAACTACAAGATTTGCTAGTATTTATAGACACTTTCACCAGGTGGATAGAAGCTTTCCCCACAAGGACAGGAAAAGTACTGGAAGTGTCTAAATTCTTAAAGAAATCATTCCAAGATTTGGATTACCAAAAGGTTTGCAAGGTGACAACTGACCTCACTTCACAGCTAAGGTGACCCAGTGAGGTCATGCCTCAGCCTTAGGCATTACCTGTCTTCATTCCTCATGGAGATCTCAGTCTTCAAATAACATAGAAAGCCAATCGCGACATTAGCAAAACTCTTTCAGTTTGGGGGCTTGCCTGCCCTGCGTCACTATCATTGTTTCCTTGGGTTTCCCAGGAATGTACATGTGTGAGACTGCCGCCCTGCTTATAGATCTGTTTCCCTGCAAGGAAACAGGAATATGTTGCCTGTGGCTTCCAGAGTTGGAGATACATGTAGTTGCACCACTGAGGGCTAACATTTAATTTTGGAATCAAGTGATGCATTCAGACTGGTTGCTATCATTCTGTGGTATATATTTAGTGAACACATTCATGATTGAGTTTCTTGCTTTTAGCTGGAGCAAGAAAGTTTTATAATTGTGATTTGTATGAAAAAATCATAGGCAAGGGAATGGATGTAAAATAAACTTTATTGTCAGAGGTTTCTAAAGGCTCATCCTTCAAGGAAAATGGACATATGCTGAAGAGCTGATAAACTGTCTACAGCAGTGTTATTCTAACCTAATCTTGATTCCAAGTTCTTGCCATTTTCCTCCAGCTACTGTTGACTCCAGTTATATATAGGATGGGGGAAAGGGGATTATCTACGAATGTAGGCATCACTTTCTCTTGGGCAGTTATCACATTGGCAGACTGAAGGGAAGTGATTTCTACAATCAAACTATCCATTTGGAGTACAAATCTGGAGTGGCTGTAAAATTCGGTTCTCAGAGATGAACTTGCAGATTCGGACTTTCAATTGTTCTGTTGTTTTAGTTTTTCTCATCAACTGGGGAACTGTTTGTGACTAAGCTTTGTTAAAAGTAGAGAAGAGCTTTTCATAATTCCAACATTAGTTGTTACCTGAAACAAACAAAAACACACACAGAGACAATTAAACAGTAATCTTTGGTGAGGTCTTGCTGATACCTGAGGCTGGAGTGAGAGCTGAGTGGTGATACAGCTCATGTGCGTGATCCAGATTGCGCACTCCTTATGAGACTGTAACTGATGCCTGATGACCTGAAGTGGAACAGTTTCATATGGAAAACATCCACCACCCCCTTCCATGGAAAAATTGTCTTCCATGAAACCAGTCCCTGGTGACAAAAAGGTTGAGGACAGCCAAAAAGGCTGCTTTAAATGATAACCTTCCCCAAAACTAAATTACCCCTGTAAAATGAATGAAAGGCTACCAAGTTAGAAGGATGAAAGGGGCCTGATTTCTACTAAGATGTATGCCTCGTTAAATAATTACCAGCCATTATTCCAGAAGTCACAAGATTGGCAGCTTCCCCAATTACTGCTGTGAAGAACATCACTATTGTAGAACCTAAGATTGGCCTCTTGAGATGTCTTTTCAGGCTTTTGCATTTCTGACTGCTGGAAGGCACCATCTGGCCCGAAAATCAACCAGTCCCTTAGCCCCCACCCAGAAGCTGACTCCATGCAGGAGGGCCATTTTCCACGCCCCTGTGATTTCATCCCCAACAATCAGCACCACGCAAGCCCTAGCCCCCTCCCCACCAAACTATCTTTGAAAAACCCCTTACCTCCAAGCCTTCAGTGAGATTGCTTTGAGTAATAACTCTGTCTCCCACATGTCGTGGCTGGCCTGTGTCAATGAAACCGTTTCCTGCAGTGCCATGGTCTCCATGAATTGAGTTTTTGTGTACATTGGTCAGGAAGAACCCATCAGGCGGTTACATCTGCAGGATGGTGCCAGTTCTTTCCACAAAGGCTGGTCAGATACCCAGAAAACATTTCTCCACTACTACCTGGACAATGTGTCTCCCTGTCAATCTCCAGGGAATGGGGCCTGGATCAAGTATTTAGTATTCAGCAGTTACTACACTGTCACCTAATCCCTCATTTTCAATATTTTGCCATGCTTCCAGTGGCCTAACTGGCCACCATGCCACAGAATCTTTACTTTATGATCTCCAAGGAGAACTCTCCACTCGATGTTTTGTGATTTGAGCAATGGAATAGAATCTGATACTGGTGGGCTGGGGGAGGTCCCTGGACACTGGTGGGATCTCGACCCCAGCCGTGGTGTCCAGGCTCTTGACACCATCGTGAGAACAAAGTCAAAGATGAGTCAGCAGATAGTGAAAGAAGAGATTTATTGCAAAGCAAAAAGTACACACTCAAGAAAGGGGAGCTTGGGCATACCCAAGAGAGAATAATGGGTTCTGGGGTTTCATCTTGATGGGTTTCTTTAACCAAGAATTGGAATATTCACGAAAATTCCTGGGTAAAGGTGGAGATTTCTTGGAACTGTGGTGCCATTTTTACATCAAACACTGGTCTCAGAACTGTCATGGCACTGGCGGGTGTGTGATTTAGTATGTTAATGAGCATATAATGAGGGCCTAGGTAAAACCTCCATCCAATCCAGCACCACGTTGGGTCCACTCAGCCTTAGCCAGCTTGGTCCACACCCTGGTTTTTCAGCGTCTTAACAGCCCACAGCCTCAAGTCATGTAAATCTGCTGCCTAGAATTTGTTATCCTGTGACCACCCTGTAGTATTCCTGTCTGAAATCTACTTGTAAATATTCAAATGGTCTTTCACTTGGGCATTCCAACTTTGCTTACTTCACAGTGTTTCCTGCGTAATATATAAGAAAAGATGATCCAGACATTTGTTAAACATCTCAAATAAGATGTAGCCCAGGTATTTGTGTCAAATTTGGATTATTTTGGTTTCGTCTTTGCAGAATATAAAAAACTAACATGAGGTAAGCACTAAGGTGTGGAGATGGCTGTGCAAGAGATGACAAAGTCCAGCACCACGCTTGAGAGTGTCCAATCATCTCTTCTGGGACAGCATA
Source organism: Homo sapiens (assembly GCF_000001405.40). Lineage (NCBI taxonomy): Eukaryota > Metazoa > Chordata > Mammalia > Primates > Hominidae > Homo > Homo sapiens. Next base: position 868,970 of record NW_025791756.1, read on the forward strand.
TTTTTCTACAATACGGATTTTTGAAAAAAAAAACAACATCAAAAAAAAAAAAACCTACAAGATTCATGAAACTGGACAACTGTCTTTATAACATTACCAGTGATAAAACCAGTAAGGACGGCTGGTTTGCAGTCATCTGAGCAGCCTCTTTACTTTCATAAATATGGTTTCTCTCTGATATTAAACAGCTTCCAATTGCAAGCGGAATGCTGCATCACAAGGATAAGGATGTGAAGAGAACCGGTTTCTTTTGTAATCCGAAACATTCTAGTCTGCGAATTAAAAGCCATTATTTGAAGAAGGATGCCCCGGCTCCATCTGGCCACCGAAAGGTTGCTCCTTAACACAGGCTAAGGACCAGCTTCTTTGGGAGAGAACAGACGCAGGGGCGGGAGGGAAAAAGGGAGAGGCAGACGTCACTTCCCCTTGGCGGCTCTGGCAGCAGATTGGTCGGTTGAGTGGCAGAAAGGCAGACGGGGACTGGGCAAGGCACTGTCGGTGACATCACGGACAGGGCGACTTCTATGTAGATGAGGCAGCGCAGAGGCTGCTGCTTCGCCACTTGCTGCTTCGCCACGAAGGAGTTCCCGTGCCCTGGGAGCGGGTTCAGGACCGCGGATCGGAAGTGAGAATCCCAGCTGTGTGTCAGGGCTGGAAAGGGCTCGGGAGTGCGCGGGGCAAGTGACCGTGTGTGTAAAGAGTGAGGCGTATGAGGCTGTGTCGGGGCAGAGCCCGAAGATCTCATACTTACCTGGCAGGGGAGATACCATGATCACGAAGGTGGTTTTCCCAGGGCGAGGCTTATCCATTGCACTCCGGATGTGCTGACCCCTGCGATTTCCCCAAATGTGGGAAACTCGACTGCATAATTTGTGGTAGTGGGGGACTGCGTTCGCGCTTTCCCCTGACTTTCTGGAGTTTCAAAAACAGACTGTACGCCAAGGGTCATGTCTTTTTTCGTATTGGTTTGTGTCTTAGTTGTTAATCCTACAGTGGAGGCCTGGGGAATAAGAAGTAACATGTGGCCTGCACGCCATAGGAGAAAAAGCGAGCATCAGCCGTATCGGCTTTGTAACCCAAATTAGCTATCGTGAAGTCCGCTCAGCTCTTCCCTTTCTACCCTGGCTGCTTTTTGCAGGGATTGGTCCGTGGTCTCCAGTCTCTTGGGTTCTCACCCTGTGTGAAAATCTTCGTGTTTTTCCCTACCCCCCAAGTCACCTCTTACACAGCCTCTGCTTCCAAGCGCAGCCCCCACAGGAGTTTGTAGGATTTCTGTGCTAGCGGGGAGTGTGTTCTCACCTCATAGAGCCAGGTAGAAATTATGCAGATGGGCGCTGTTCTCTGGGAAGAAAGCAGGGCCTTTGGGGCTCTCAGTGTCCCCGTTGGGTTGTAGACATAACACTCTTACTTTGCGTAGGGGAACGGCTCTGCCGGCCCCCAGGTGCCCTAGCGCATATGCATGGAGGCCCGCAGGTCAGAACCGCAGTCTCACCTGTCTTGGCGGAAATGCCCTGCGATCCTCCCGGAGATAGAAGGCGGGAAGTTTTATGAGGAGCCGGTCCAGTTTCCCTACTATCTCCTGCAGTTCATATATCTAGTGTTTCTTTAGACTTTAAGTGACTGCTTCATGTTTGATGTCTCACTCCCACATCCTACATCCACTGCCAGCCAACTTTATAGATAGCACCGTGACCCATCCTTCCCACCCCCAAGAAGCCCTTTCCTATTTCTGGTGCCAGTGTCCTCCCCAGTCCCTCTTTCTTCAGGCCCTCGCTTATCACCTTCATGGACAGAAAATACTTAGCTCTCTCTCAACCTGAGGTTTACACCTGACACGCATCAGTGCCCTGGCAAATTCCTTAATACCCCTTCTCAAATGGCACTGTAAATCATCTCTTTTTAACTCCCAGAACTATCTAATTGGTTTTGTCCCTGCACTACATGAACAATAGTATTCCACTACAGAGGAAAACCCCAGGCCTAGCGATAGCGGTTCTGGGCATTGTGCCAGCCTCTCCCAGGGTATGTTTTCTGACCTCACCTACTTTTGATCAGCTGAGGTCAGGAGTTCAAGACCAGCCTGACCAACATGGCAAAACTCCGTCTCTACTAAAAACACATACACACGCACAATAATAATAATAATGATAATAATAATAATTGCCGGGCGCAGTGGTGTGTGTCTGTAATCCCAACTACTCGGGAGGCTGAGGCAGGAGAATCGCTTGAACCCGGGAGGTGGAGGTTACTGTGAGCCGAGATCGCGCCATTGCACCGCAGCCTGGGCAACAGAGTAAGACTCTGTCTCAAAAAGAGAAAAAAAATTAGTGCATCTGAGACATATTATTGGAGACAGTAGAATCCTGCGTCCAACAGGCACTTGGTGCAGATCTGAACCCATTGAGCTATTGGCTCATGTTCCCTATGTTCTATTAAGTATCATGAGCAGAAATTGAGCTCTTTGGCTTTTACCCACTGAGTATGGCTATAGGACAGGTCTCTCTCTCTCTCTCTCTCTCTCTCTCTTTCTCTCTCATTCTTTGCATCATTATTTTTTGCCATCAGTGTGGGTTTTTGGTTTTGAGGTTATGAAGTGAATTTCTGGGGACAATCTCTGTTGGGTCGTGTTAACAAGGATCCAGTCCCTGTTTGGTGATACATGACAGCTAATCTGGTCTGTGAGTCTTCTTTATTGTCTATTTATTGTCCTGAGAATAATGGCATTTCCTGATATTTGAGACTGCAGCAATGATAAGTTGTTCAGATCTTGTCTTTCCAATGTTTGGTAAACATTTTATAGGCCCAATTTTTGTCAATATCTGCAAGAGTGGCATCTCTGTTACAAGAGTGATCTTACTACTCGATGTCCCCCCTCCCACCCAACTTCATTTCCTAGGGGCTCTTGGCTTTAACGAATTTACTGTATCTAAAAGACATCTTAGTACAGGAAGAAAACTAAATCTGTAGCATGTAAGGAGCAGTTTTATTTGATTGGTATATTCAGGTTTCTAACCAGCTGAAAAATTCAAATACATGCCCTTTAAGGATTAAGTTTAAACCACACTACAGAAAGAGAAAAGATTTATATGATCACATATAAGCAATGGAATCAGCAATATGAGTACTTTTCACAACTATACAAATCAAATTTAATAATCTCCAGAACATTAAGGAAGTTCAGCCCTTAATGGAAATGAATGAAAAGAAATTATTCACCCACTGTTACATGCCCTGGAAAGAGAATGTCCTGCCAGACTCAAAAGAGTATCACAATATTACTCAGATTTTCAGCAATGAAGGCCCTCCGAGGATCTAATGATGTTCATATTTTCAGTTTATTTCCTTCACTGATAAACATTGTTAATAGATACCATTGCCTCTGTTTGCACTTTAAGTGATGTTACTTAGAACAATTCGTTTCTTTAGAATGCACCCTAGTTTGGTGGAAGGAATTTTCCTTCTTTTCAAATATAGGATATTTTCTCATGAAACAAATTGGCATACTCTTTCAGTGAAGTGAATAGACAAATTAGATCTCTAAAATTGTAAAGGAGTCACTGCCCCAATTATCTTAGGAACAATAATACTCACTTATATAAAATTAAAATAAGAAAATTAAGCCAGGTATGGTGGCTCATAGCTACAGTCCCAGCACTTTAAGAGTTGGAGACCAGCCTGGGCAACACAGTGAAACCCCTGTCTCTACAAATTTTTAAGTATTAGCTAATTTTTTAAAGTTGGCCGGGCATGATAATGCATGACTGTAATCTCAGGCTGCAGTGAACTATGATTGTGCCACTGCCCTCCAGCCTGAGTGACAGAATGAGACTCCCAACTCAAAAAAAAAAAAAAAAGGAAAGAAAATTAAGAATTTGTTGAAAATTGTTTTACTACAATGCTAGGCTGCATGTCTTGCACCTGTACTCCCAGCAACTCAACAGGCTGAGGCGGAAGGATTGCTTTAGGCCAGCAGTTGGAGACCAGCCTGGGGAACAGGGCATGACATCATCTCTAAAAAAATACAAGGCAAGCTGAGCCAGGAGGATTGCCTGAGCCCAGAAGTTCCAAGTTGGTCAGCTATGATTGCCCCACTGCACTCTAGCCTGGATAACAGAGCAAGACCCTGTGCCTTATTTTTAAATTTATGTTATTTTTTTACTACTTATGCTTATTTATCTATTTATTTATTTTTGAGACAGAGTCTTGCTCTGTAGCCCAGGCTAGAGTGCAGTGGTGCCATCTCAGCTCACTGCAAGCTCTGCCTCCCAGGTTGAAGCTATTTCCCTGCCTCAGCCTCCAGAGTAGCTGGGATTATAGGCACACGCCACCACGCCCAGCTAATTTTTATATGTTTAGTAGAGACAGGGTTTCATCATGTTTGCCAGGCTAGTCTCAAACTCCTGACCTCAAGTGATACACCTGTCTCGGCCTCCCAAAGTGCTGGGATTACAGGTGTGAGCCAACTCGCCCAGGCTCCTTATGCTTGAAATGTGAGGTTTCATTAGGGAAAAATTTTCTTGTTGAATTTCTAACATGAAAAAATAATAGATTTAGCTGTAGATTAAATTAATGGTCCTGGTAGTTTGGTACAATAAAATAAATGAAGTTGATAGCAGAGAGGAATCTTTGATGCTTTTGAACAATTTAAATAATGTAATATTTTTTATATAAAGACATGAAAAAGTTCATTACATTATTATTATATTTATTTATTTATTTATTTATTTTGAGATGTAGTCTCACTCTGTCGCCTAAGCTAGAGTGCAGTGGTGCAATCTCGGCTCACTGCAACCACTGCTTCCCGGGTTCAAGCAATTCTCCTGTCTCAGCCTCCTGAGTAGCTGGGATTACAGGCACACACCACCACACTTGGCTAATTTTTGTATTTTTAGTAGACACGGGGTTTCACCATGTTGGTCAGGCTGTCTTGAACTCCTGACCTCATGATCCTCCTGCTATGGCTTCCCAAAGCGCTGGGGTTACAGGCATAGGCCACTGCACCTGGCCCATTACATTATTTTTTAAAAATCAGTGTGACTCTTTTGACAAATTAGAATGGTTTAATAATCTTGGTTAGGCTGGGCATGGTGGCTCATGCCTGTAGTCCAAGCACTTTGGGAGCCCGAGGTCAGGAGTTTGAGACCAGCCTGGCCAACATGGTGAAACCCTGTCTCTACTAAAAATACAAAAATTAGCCGGGCATGGTGGGGGGCTCCTGTAATCCCAGCTTCTCAGAAGGCTGAGGCAGGAGAATTGCTTGAACTCAGGAGGCAGAGGTCGCAGTGAGCCAAGATCACGCCATTGCACTCCAGCCTGGGGGGGCAACAGAGTGAGACTCTGTCTCAAAAAAATCATAAATAAATAAAAATAAAGTATAAAAAATTAAAATTACGTGTTCAAATACATTAAATATATGGCAATGAAAAGGAGGCCTAGCATGACTGACTGCATTTTGCTCCTAACCCTTCCTACCGTGTGGTGACATCTTCCAGGCTAACTGCTTTTTCTTATTTCTGCACATAGGCCAAGCTATCTATGGGAGGGATTTAGCTTACAGTTTAACTTTAAAGCACAGATGATAATAATCCCTTCCCCAAACTAACTCCTGAGAAGATAGAGAGGTTGTATACACAAGTAACAGTGTTATGCTGAAGATTTATAAGAGAAGTGTGACCTGACAAAGGACAAACAATTTTCACCATCCCCTTGGGCTCTCACTGCAGCCCATGTCTGTCATTGTCAGACCTCTTCACCTCAATCGCCTCCTTCTTCCTCCCTTCCCTAATGTACAAGGAGCCGGAAAATCGTATTAATTTAAGATGGTTCTTCAGGATGTTACTTCACCATCTGTTCAGTTTGGTGGCTCTCTGGAATAAAGTCACCTTCCCTGCCCCTACACCTCAACTCTCGACTTATTGGCTGTCATGCAGCAAGTGGTGAGTGCAGTAAGCCGAGATCACACCACTGCACTCCAGTCTGGGTGACCCTGTCTCAAAAAAAAAAAAAAAAAAACAGAGAGAGAGAGAGAAATTTGGTTTTTGAACCAGACAAATTAAATAGGAGACTTAATTCCAATGAGACCTAGAAATGTCTAAATTTCTAAAATTTCTAAAAGAACTGAGAAAATTGCCTCCATTGAGGAAGTAAGCTGAAGGAGGTAGACTGTCATGTTTTCTGATTTGAGAAATATTGAGGAGGCTTTGTCTCTTTCACCTCCAACTGCTCCTTCTCCTCCTGCCCCTGCACCTGCATAGTCTTTCTTACCTGAGCCTTCCTGTCCTGCCTTGCCTCTTCTTCCATCACCATCACCTAAGGAAAGTCCCCAGGGATCTGGTCCCTTCCCTGAAACTTCTGTTCTGACAGCCCCTTTCAAGGTAAAACCCAAACCCACAGGAAGAGGGGAGCCTACCGTTGTGTATACCACTTCACCAAAACGTGAATTAAGAATATTATAAAGGACTTCCCTGATCTAAACTTAAATACATTTCACTCTTCTGTTTCTAAAGCAGGCTCCAAGATCCTGTAGGCTTTGGCAGAAAATTTGACTTAACTGTTGAAACCTTTGAGCCCAAATATTCTGATCTTTATCAATTAACTCACATGCTGGTGAAGAAGGGAAGGCCACTAACTGGTTGCAAAAGGTAAATTGGAAGGATTTTCAAAAAGGGACTGAAGCAGAACATGAAAGGTTCACATTTTCACCAAATATCTCCAAGTTGCCATTCCCGAGGTCCTTCCTAAAAATATAGATTGGAGGATAATTCAGCATTGTACTAAAAAGCCAGACAAATCTGTCTTTGCTTAACTAAAATGGTTTGAGAGCCAGGTGTGGTAGTTCATGCCTGTAATCCCAGCACTTTGGGAGGCTGAGGCGGGTGAATCACTTGAGGTCAGGAGATTGAGACCAGCCTGCCAACATGGTGAAACCCTGTCTCCACTAAAAATACAAAAATTAGCCAGGTGGCTACTCAGGAGGCTGAAGCAAAAGAATTGCTTGAACCCAGGAGGTGGAGGTTGCAGTGAGCTGAGATCCTGCTACTGCAATACAGCCTGGGAGACAGAGCGAGACTCTGTCTCACAAAGAAAAAAATAAAAAGAAAAAAGAAAAATAGAAAAAAAAATAGCAGGGTAGTAGAAATATAATGCACACAAGAATGATAATCATGAAGACAATTTGATTCTACAAGAGTAAGGGAACCTATTCCATTAGAGAGCCAACTGAAAACATCAAATCCCAGTTCACACCCCAGGGTGTGGGGTCACGTGCCTGTAGTCCCAGCTACTCGGGAGGATTAGTAAGGAGGTTTGCTTGAATTCATGAGGTCAAGGCAGGAGTAAACCCTGATCATGCCACTGCACTCCAGCCTGGGTGACAGTGAGACCTTGTCTCAAAAACAAACAAACAAACAAACAAACAAAAACCCACAAAACCAAACAACAACAAATTGCCACCTCACTCTGAAATCACAGTGGCAAACATCACTTTGCTATTGACAAATTAAAAGAAAAACACTCCCTCTTGCTATCAACCTGGCCTCTTGCTCTAACATGTCTGACCCATGGTTTAAAATGCCCAAAAGCTGATGTCCTCAAATTATAATACACTTACCTATTCTGCACCAGCATTTATTTTTGTCTGGAGGAGATCACCATCCATGGTCCTGTAAATGTCTAACAGCATGGAATGATGAAGGGCAGTGTCTTTTAGGATATTTGGTTATATCTATATATATGGCTCTGAAGAAACCCAACACTGGGCGAGTTCCCTCAAACTTTTCACTAGGCATGACCACTGCTGTATTTTAGATAGAGATTCTGTGGGGCAAAACCTGAGAATTATCTGCCTGGCTATCTAGAAGATAGCTCCTTGCATTTTTTGGGGGAGAACACTTTTGCTTCAAGGGAGTGTTTCCTCCCAGGATTAGAAATCTTTCTGTAACCTCAGGAAACATTGCTGATGAAAACCAGGCATGGTGTGCTGTACAACTTGTAGTAATAAGGCAGAAGTTAAAAGGAAAAGACAGGTTCCCTGTACTTGGCTGACTCCAAGACCTGCCATAGATAGAGCCCTAGCAGATCCTCGGTAACACGATCTGAAAAGTCAGAGCCGCGAGGAGTGAGTTCCGGAGACTCTCTCAACACAGTAAGCCCCAACAAAGATAAGAGGAAAAAACAACAAATGCCTTTACTACCTTCTCTTTCCCCCTTCCCATTTCTAATTATTCAAGTTTTGTTAAGTTCTTGATTTCCCTTCAGTGCAGCTGCAAGGTCACCAGCTATACTTGCATTGCAAGACCTGTGACAGTTTGATTAGCTGCCTTTGTTCTGCTTCTATAAGCCCTCTTGCCTGCCCCCGAGTTTCATGCCATCAAATTCCCGCCGCGCCATTCAAACTAGCCGACCCCCTTTCAGAAGTGTCTATAAAGTTAAGCCCTGTCTTTGTTCGGGGCTCAGCCTTTGGATTTTCATCTGCTGGGCCTCAGTGCAGTCAATAAATCCTCCTGTTCCACCCATTGGTCTCTCTGTTCTCCTGATTCCCACAACAGTAGTAGGGGACTGCGTTCGCACTTTCTCCTGGTCTTTCATGGTATGAATAATGGACAGCATTTTTTTTTTTCACCTATAGTCGCAGGCTCGGTCTCAGTGATTGTATGCTGTGGTCAGCTGTTTTTGTTTTTGTGAGACCTTGCTTTCTTGTTTACTGTCCTGGGACAGATGTCTGTAGTCACTTGTTTCCTCGGGAGGCAAATTTCAGTCTCTGTGGGGGAGGTCTCCCATGTTAGCTGTGGTGGTACTTGGCAGGCAGAGCTCAGGGATCTAGGCTTCCGTGCTTTGTAGATTGCTCAATGGTCCCCAAGGCCTAGTGGCTTTTAACACCACTTGAAAACCTTAGTGTTTTTCCACTGTCCCCAGAGTCACCTCTTACACAGCCTCTTTTTTTGTTTGTTTGACTTTTTCTCTGAGAGACAGTCTCACTGTATCTTGGTTGAATCGATCCTCCCACCTCAGCCTCTGGAGTAGCAGAGGCACGAGTCACCACAGCCGGCTTATATCTGTTCTTTTTGTTGTTGTGGTGGCTGTCTTGTTTTTTTAAGAGTTGAAGTTTCTCCATGTTGCCCAGGCGACGTGCTCCCGGCGAAGGAGGCCGCCTGCCTGGGGGCGGGCTGGAGCCACGTCCCAGGGCTGGGGGCGCTGTGGGCACTGTGGGTGCCGCACCCACCGCTGCCCGGCACTGGAGGCCAAGAGAGCGTTCCCGACGGGCTCCGCGGATGCCCCGCCGCGTCCTGCTGCCCATCCTGCCCGGGTTGTCGCGGGCCGGGGGCACGACAAGAGGCCGGGGTCTGCCCGGACGCAGCGGCCTGCAGGGCGCAGCTGTCCCTCCACCAGCCGGGGTCCCCTCGCTCAGCCCATGAGACAAATAAATGAATACATAAATAAATAAATAAATAAAAGATGGAGTCTTGCTCTGTCGCCCAGGGTGGAGTGCAGTGGTGCGATCTCGGCTCACTTCAACCTCTGCCTCCCAGGTTCAAGTGATTCTCCTGCCTCAGCCTCCTGAGTAACTGGGATTACAGGTGCATGCCACCACACCCGGCTAATTTTTCGATTTTTAGTAGAGACGGGATTTCATCACGTTGGCCAGGCTGGTCTCGAACCCCTGACTTCAAGTGATCCACCCGCCTTGACCTCCCAAAGTGCTGGGATTACAGGCATGAGCCACTGCACCCAGCCAGAAGTGGGCATTAATATGCAGGCGCCGTATAGGGCAACATCTGTGTGCACCTCTTACAAATCTTAATGCTGTGTATATGAGGGGAGTCCTTCGTGTCCCCCTGGGGATGTTTGAGGTTGCCTGTATGTGTTATGTGTGTGCATATTTTTAAGCTCAGATATGCATAGGCGGATTGACACCTCTGTTTGAATGTATTCCCATGAGCTCATGCCATTAATTCACCATCACAAGAAATATTTACTGAGCGTGAGCCATGCCATTCCACAGCCACCATTATAGCACTAAGATACAATGAGGAACAAAAAATCCAGGCTTTCTGAGCTCACACTGGGGTGGGGGCATGGTGGGAAGACACAGGCATCAATGTAATAAACAGAAACCACGACAGGGCTAAGTGTTCTGGAGGAGAGGCGCATGGTGTACTGAGGCCCCTGACGTAGACCCCAGGTGCACCTTTGAGCTTTGCCTGCATGGTTTGGGTTTGTGGGCTCACCTGCATGTGTCCATGCATGCCCCATCTGCGTGCCCGTGCATGGCTGCATCACCCCATGCACACGTGCACTGCCCCTGGGCTTGCCCACATGTGCTGCTCCCCAGGGCGCCAGGCTATCAGCCTACAAGGCATTGTGGGTCTGGGCCCAGCCTGCCACCCCCTACAGAGGCCTGAGCCTGCCTTCCCAGGAGGCCCAGGACTCTCACCCAGGGCCCTTCCCTGCAGCTGGAGCAGGCTCTGTGGCTGGAATCTGGTGAGCTGGAGACGCAAGAGCCCAGGGGGCTGGTACTCCAGAGCGTGGAGTTGCGGAGGCAGCTGCAGGAGGAGCAGGCCTCCTAGTGGCGCAAGCTGCAGGCCTACCTGGAGGGCCAGCAGCGGCAGGCCCAGCTTGTGCAGCGGCTGCAGGGCAAGGTCAGGGCCACCCATTCCTGCTCTTTCCCTCCCACGTGTTCACTTTGCCCTGCCCCCACCCCTGGGGCTCACCATCAGCTCCCAATCCCCAGATTCTCCAGTACAAGAAGAGGTTCTCGGAGCTGGAGCAGCTGTTGGAGAGATCCGGAGAGCTGGAGCAGCAGCAGCTGAGGGTGGGTGCCAGGGTGGGGCAGAGGCAGGCCCTGCCCTCCACCTGCCCAGCCTGATGCTTTAACCTCTCTGCCACCCAGGACACAGAGCACAGCCAAGACCTGGAGAGTGCCCTCATCTGGCTGGAGGAGGAACAGCAGGGAGGGCCAGGGCTGGCAGCATGGCCCCCTGGGCGAGCGCCTACTGATCCCCTGTGCACCATTCAGGAGTGCCAGCCTGGCCCAGGTGAATGCCATGCTCTGAGAACAGCTGGACCAGGCAGGTTTGGCCAACCAGGCTCTGAGTGAGGAGATACGAAAGGTGACCAGTGACTGGACTCGCAGCTGCAAGGAGCTGGAGCAGTGGGAGGCGGCATGGAGGCGCGAGGAGGAGGTGGGCATGGGGGTGCAGGGAGGCCGGCGATATAAGAGGAAGATAATGCACAATTATGCTAGTGAGACTCTCTTTTCCAATAATGTTTGCACTTCTCAATACTACATTTAAAAAGGAAATAGGAGCACTTGAACGGTTAAGTAAGAAGATGAACAAAATTGAACAGAGGAAAAATAACTGTCTGAAGACATGTTGAAAATACATTTAAAGACAGTCTGTCTGAGACAGGAGCTGAGCTGGCCAATCCATCTTTTAAATAATTGAACATCATTCAGGTGTCAAGTATTTGACCTGGAGCCTGGAAGGGGAGGAGAGAGTCCAAAAAAAAGTCAAAATATAAAGAAAAAAAATTAAAGAACTTGTCCCACAAATCAGGCAACCAAGGTCTAAACTTATACCCTCTGCCTGGGTAAATTGTTGTTGCTTCTTTCTGTGACTCTTAAAAGATGTACCATATACCTCATTTAATGACTTTGATTTATTCATGAAAACTCTATCCCCATGGGAAAAGCTGTTAAATGAAAAAAGATTTCTTTTAAGTAGAAAAATTATGAAAGGATTCCTTCCAACCCTCCATACCCAAAATATCTCAAATGAATTATGTATCTATCAATTATCAATATATATCAAAATATACCAATTAAAAATATCAGTTAAACAATACGTCAATTGAACTATGAAAGCAAGCTTATTTAAGTAGCAAAGAATAACGTGAAGGTTAGTAAGTATAGCTTATACTTAAAATACAATGAATTGAAAGCTCATGGCACTTCATAGAGTAGGAAGAAGAAACTTAATAGAAAGTGGTAGTTGGGCGAGAAGGACTGCAAGGGAGTTATTTGGAAAATGCATTTTTTATTTCTGCATCATTTTGTTCACAAATTATTCCTAATCTTTTGTGAATTTGTGGATTTCTTGAACTCAAACCAGACTTAAAAATACAGTTATAGCACAGAAAAAAATCTTTAATGGCAAAATAAAAGCTAAGCAAGAGAGCCTTTCAAAACACATGAAAATAACACACACATACAAAAAAAAAAGAATAAAGAGATGTACAAGTGACACCTCCTCAACCTTCTCACTTGGTGTACATATGCACAGTAAATTATTTTGGGCTCAGCCAAGCATGGGAGCAATTCAAATAGATCCATATGATATTCTCTGATTAGAAACTCTTGTGGAGTAAGTTGGTGAGTGTATCTTTGCCTAAAACAGTCATGTCAAAATATAGCTTCCTATAGCATATTTATTTAGTATCATTTTGGTGAAAAAGTGGTTATACAGAATAGAAAAGAGTTGTCCAAAACTAAGTGGTTGACCTTTCCAGAGCCATTACCTGCAGAATTGTTATGTAAGTCTGTTCCATACTCGTAAAGGAATACTCAGCTGACCCAACTGATTTTCTCGTGTTTTTTCCTTCAAGGGCTAGTAGAAGTCTATATGTTGTGGTGGAAAACAACCTCAGCCCTATAGTCCAACATTTGCCTATCAAAACTTGTCCTATGATTTATAAAACTAGAACCTCACTGGTAAGTCACATTCCTAGAGTCTCCCCCATCCCTAACCCCAGTCACGGAAAATAAATCAAATCATTGTCACTCTTTCTTAACAAAGAGCATACATTTAAAACTTGAGTAAAATTACAGGTACCGTCTGGGTCCTTCAAGGGGGAACTTGAAGTCTCAATACCGCAGTTGTCCAATCAGAGGATCCAAGATGAATATACTCAAGGACTTTATGCTTGGCATCCTCTGGAGACAGTACATAACCACCAGCTTGGTTTAACTGGAGATTCATTTGGGTTAGGAGAAATTATGTAGGCAATGTACTTAGTCAATGGAGGCCTCATGCCTGAAGACTTACAAGAATCTGAATTCGTATGTTACTTTTCCTTTAATGGAGTGGAATTCCAAATGAAAATAATCAAACAGCATGTGCATAAACATTAGATATAATACCCACATTTACAAAGCCTTTATAGATATGCAAGTGTTATTGCGTCTGTCCCTAGCTTCTGTACAGAATTTAATGGGTAGCTGTTACTATTTTATTGCTGTATAAAAATGAGGAAACTGATAAGTTGTCTAAAGGTGCACAATCAAAACACATCAAAGCCATTGTGAAATACAGGTCCCCGGATTTCAAAAACAGATCTTCTGCTTATAAATTCAGTCTTTTTCATACTGCCATAAACTCCAGAATGGGAAAACAAAGTTACTATCAGAAAAGCTTCTTTTAGCTGGGCGTGGTGGCTCATGCCTGTAATCGCAGCATATTGGGAGGCCAAGACAGGCGGATCACTTGAGGTCAGGAGTTCGAGACCAGCCTGGCCGACATGGTGATCTCTACTAAAAATACAAAAATTAGCTGGGCATGGTGGCGGACACCTGTAATTCCAGCTACTTGGGAGGCTGAGGCAGTAGAATCGCTTGAGCTGGGGAGGCCGAGATGGCTTAGTGATCCGAGATGGCGCCACTGCACTCCAGCCTGGGTGACAGAGTGAGCCGACATCGCGCCACTGCACTCCAGCCTGGGTGACAGAGTGAGACTCCATCTCAAAAGAAAAAAGAAAGCTTATTTTTTCCCCTAATCACCATAATATTCACTATTAAGTGAGGGAAATAGAAATAATTTATTTAGCAAATCCTTTCTAGTTCAAATAATTTGTATACAGGCTGTGCAAACATAATAATGAGATTCTTTTTAGTCATCTTGCTTTATATCACTAATTACACTCTTATTTAATGATATTTTAAAGAAAAACGTGTTTATTTTCAAGTAGAAAACTCATATCTGTCCACCAAGGAAAGCTGTAACAAATGTAAAATACATAAAAAAGATAACTGCTAAATTTCTAAAGCATTCCAAAAAAAGACAAATAGAAGGGTGTCAGATTAGGAAAGTATGTCTTGTAAGGTGTAACGGACAGACTGATGAGCTTAGAGATGTGGATCTCAAAGTGGTTCTCAGAGCAACAGCATCAGGGTCACCTGGGAACGTGTTAGAAATGCAGATTCTCAGGTACCATCCCACATTTAATGAATCAGAAGCTCAGAGTAGAGACCAGCAATTTGTTTTAACAAGTCCTTCAGGGATTCTGATACAGCTGATGTTTGAGAAACACTAGCTTTAGGTAAACGTAAGAGGGTCACGTTAGTATTTTTAAATCATTGGAAGTTGGTTTGTTTTGTTTTTTCTTAAGTGGGACTCATTTATACTTCAATACACAGAATGGATATTTAGAGGAAGTCGTTTTTGACCTAACACGGATGAGCATTTCCAATTGAATAGCGCTTTCTGATAATGGGGCTGCCCACTACAAGTGAATAACTGGGTTTCTCTAGGCTGGAGCTGCAGACAGGTCACTATGTGTATGGAGGATTGTATTAATATGATCGTGGCTCTTTATAGCTCTGCATTACTAATATTCTGTTTTAAAGTCTCTCCTCAATATCCAATGTCTCTGTGTGAATGATGGTAAGGAGTGGGTAACAGTAACAATCATCCTGTTGTTGACAACAGATGATAAGAGAAAGCCCAACTTTACACTCTGTATAATCTTACACCAATGCCCCATTCCTCGTCTAATTTTTTTTACATGTTAACACATGACCTTGGCATTACTAAATAAGAAGCCCTCTCACTTAGAACCCGATGCAGTATGATAAAAATTATTTTGAGAACAATCAGGAGCTCTAGTTTTCAATTCTGCTTCTCTTCTCAAGTAGTTCTGTGCCTTAGTTTCTTCTTTGTAAATTTAAATGGTTGGAACAGAGGATCTGTTAAGTGTGATTCAAGCTGAAATTGTATGTAGCCCACACTGAGTTTCTCTGCTATACCCCTAACCCATTCAACAATCACATCACCAGTTTTCAGGACTCACAGTAGGATAGCCGTCTATCATTTGTTAATAGGTGTGCTCTTTCATCCAAACAAGAAACTCATGATTTCTGCAGTTTTTTATTCTAGCCAGGTTCTAGGTGCTGGCCTGGAACTATAAAACAAACATTTCACAAAAAGTTATGACAATATACAAAGGAAAGACAATTTCTTTGAATATCCATAATCTCAATATACAGTCTGGCTGTGGATGGCCAAGAGATAGTTTCCTTAACTGGAAAAAGCTTTTAAATGAGGCTTGGTGGAAGATATATCTTTGCATCATTACAAAGAAGAAAAAAGAGAAATCTCACAACTGAAGAAAGTGAAATCCACTTTACTTAATGCGGACCTCTGTCTCTGGTGTGCAGGTCCTCTGTGTCCAAAGATAATTAGCACTTTATAATGCTAATTATTATAATTAGGTCTGAGAAAAAAATCATTAGGGGGTAGGCCCGTTCACTGATTTTCAACTGCCCCCTCTATTTAAAAATAAGGTCATTTTTCTATGAAATACCTTTAGGAGCTCAAAGCAGAAAGAGGGTTATAGAAAATCCTGTGTAGGTATAAGCCTGAGTTTTTAATATTCTTATAATTCTGTGATGTGTCTGGAAACTGAACCGGGAGGAAAACAGTGAACCTATTTAGTCCAGGAGACTAGAAATCAGGACTCAGAAGAGTAAACATTTCTGTAATAGTTAGTCCTCAAATAGTCATTCATTGACCTTCCACTGGGTGTCTGGCAATGTGCAAGCTGCTTCTAGATGCTACCTCATGTAACAACCATCACAGTTGCACAGAGCAAGTACTAGTACTCCACTTTCATAGATAAAGAAGTAAAATCTTAGAAATTAGCTGCCCAATGTCATGTATGTAGGAAAGGAAAGCTGGATTCTGATTCATATTTGCTGGCTCCAAAGCACTTGTTGTAAATACTTCACTATCCTGTGCTTACATGTAAATGTACCATTTCTCTTAGGGGTCTTGAAATACTGAACCAAAGAATGGTGTAGGGGAAGGGCAGTTTAGAAATACCTGGAAATTTGGTTGTTTGAAGGAAGCCCACTCTCAGATGGTAGGAGATCAAGCTAACAGAATAGCTGAGAATATTTTCTGAGGCCCCAGAAGTATAAAAACGGTCTAGGGGGGAAAATTTGGGACACAGAGTGAAAATAGCCTGCCTCTGAAGACCAGCTTCATTTCTTCCCCTCTGGGTGTTAATGAAAGAGCCTTTAACTTTGCCAGGCCTCAGTTACTAATTTCTAAAACAACTGCTGCTACTATTACTACGGATCTTACTGCTACTATGACCACCACCACCACCACATCAGTTACTGAGAACTGAACTAGATGCCAAGAAATATGGTAAACACTTCATATACATTATCTTTTTAAACACAAAATGTACTATTAATCCAGTTTTACATATAAGAAAACTGAGGCTCAAAGAGGCTAAGTAATTTGTATGTGAACATGCTTTACACTATGTAAAACACCTTATTAGTAGATATCACTATTATTAAGAACCTATCAGCTGGAGAGGAAGAATTGGCCTTTTATCTTTCTAAGATGCACAGTTGTCTTTCTGTTTAATGGTTTTTTAAAAATCTCCCTGTGACAAGCTCCAGAGGACAAATAATTTGTTTCTTGTGGTGTATGGCTCTCTAAATGAATTAATTGATAGGCATCCCATTGTCAGTCTCAGGGATGTGGAAATAAAACAGACATGAGATGTTTTTTACCAAACTAATTTGTGCTTTAAACACATAAATAATAAATATATATATATTAAAGTAAATGTGTATTTACCGTCTCTCCTGCTCCACTTTGAATTCAAGAACCCGTGTCTTTGTTGGGTCACTGCACTGTCAATTGAGAAGTTTGGTTTTGTTTCTTTGAGTGTTAGTAAGTGGCATTAAATGGTAAATATTGCCGGGGGAAAGAAAGGAGAAAAACAGCTCTTCCAATCCATCCCTGTTTCCATTCAATTAAAGGAGGGTAGAAAGAATACTTAAGATAATTGTAATAAGTCTAATAGAATAGCAGGAGCCACTCTTTTCCTTTCAGTAGGCCATTAGCTCAGAACTATTTTCAGAGTAATACTAAGATGATATTTGCCTTTTCACTGTGTTGGCACTTGTATTGATAAGGCAAAAACAGTGGAGTCTTAGCAAAAATTAAGACCATGAAAACAAACTGCACTAGGAATAATTCTCTTCTTCATTACTGTTTACTTGTAGGGGGAAAAACCATTTTCATTTAAGAAAGTCCTTGGTGAAGTAGTAAAAATATTAATTTTATTAAATCTCAACCTTGAGTACAAGTCTTGTCCTTGACTGTACTTACAAGTTTTGTCCTCCCCAAAGCATATGGCGTCAAGGCTGGGCCTAACCCAGTCTCATGACCTTGTGAATCCAGTCCACAAACACAGAGACACGCGTGAAGACGGCTGGCCAGCGCGACCTTGTGCATACTCGGTTGGGGATTCTAATTCCTTTCAGGACCCAGCAGTTGTGGGTAAAGCAGGCAAGTGGGCCCCCGTAGTCACCCTGGCAGGTAGGAGAACTGATGAGGGCCCCGGGCCACAGCCATGACTAGCCTGCTTCATGATAAAATAGTTCATTTCTAGCCCCCCATACCCTTCCAGGGCTGGCCCAGGGCCCTGCCACCAACCTCACAGGCCCCCACAGGGGCCAACAGTCCCTCAGTGCACATCTCGCTCTCCCGCACATGTCCTCGGTGCTTGATGTTACACTCCTGGTTGGAGATGACGTTCAGCAAGGCCACATTTAGGACTGTGTCATTACCCGTATCTGCAGTGAGGGGAATGGGGAGAAGGAGACGGTCCTGGAGGAAGATCCAGGGCTGGGCCTCCTGGCCACCAGCAGTCCTGTGCACTATGCTCTTACCTTTGGTCTCACCCCAGCCTGCAATCTCACACTTGGTCCCTGGAGGCACCACATACCATTCAGGCGGCAGGCAGATCAGGGCCACACGCTGGTTCAGGGTCACAGATCTTTAACAAGAATGGGGGCACTCAGGGTCTGAGGCCACAAGGCTCAGCCCCACCTCACATCCTCCCAGGTTGTCCACATACCTCTCCAGCTTGAGCAGGACAAGCTGGGAGCCTGAGGGCCCACACAGCATCTTGGCTACTGGGACCCGCTGTAGGCCTGGCTCTCCATGTTGTGGGTTCTGGAACAGGGTGCCCAACCATACCTCATAGCCCGTGAGAGGCATATGGCTGGGAGAGAAGCTCTGCTAGGTCATTTGTGACTCTCAGTCCGTTGCCCCAAGGCTCACTTGTTAGCTTGCCTGGGGAAAGGGGAAAGTGGGATGAGACTGGGTCCCCAAACACAAGGGAGGCTCACCAGGAGGAGAAGCACTGCCGGGCAGTCAGTATCCACTGCTCCTTTACTAGAGACCCCGCGCAGAAATGCTGGCCCTGCCTAGAGGAGTGGGGAATTAGGACAGGAAACAGACTCCTGGGACAGATGCTAGACCTGCCATCTTCTGGCTAGGACCTCTGGGGGCAGGGATAGATTCCCAGCCCCCAGTGGCATAACCACAGAGGACACAACCTCAGCTCCTCTCTGTGGGAGACAGGCAGTTGTGCCTCACCGATTCCCCAAGCTGACTGTCCAGGGTGAGTTGCCCGGATGGCCCCCAGCCACGCGCAGCTTGGAACGACGCTGATCCAGCCGATCCACCCTCTTGCCACACTTCTCAAACTGCACCTGGTCTGTAGGATGGGGTGGGCTGGATGAAACCCAGACTGTGTGGATGTCGTGGGCTAAAGGGCCTGACCCATAACTGGCCCAACTCCTAACCTGGGGGGGTCCAGGATTGATGGCGGCTGGTCATCAGCTGAAAGACAAAGTTCACTGGGGTTAAGGGAGCCAGCCTTTGGTGGTGAGGGCTGAGGCAGGGTCATGGGGCAAGCGTCACTAGTGCTCACCGCAGCGTCGCAGGGCACAGTAGTCGAATGGGGTCCTTGGGTCCATCGTGTAGCACCAGGGCCCATGGCTATCCCCATCTGGGTCTGGCAGAAGTTCTCCTCCAGTTGTGCATGCGGTTCGGAGGTAAATGTGAACCGAGGCGGGAGCGGGAGCAAAATCGTGGCAGGGTAGTCTCAACCATTTCCAGGCTCTGGTCCCAGACACCAAAGCATGCCGCCCCAGGGTTAGGGCCCTGGCGGGGCCGGGAGCACCAGGGACTCACTGCAGCTTGTGCGGCGTCTCAGCGGACCAGCGCTGGCACTGGACACCCTTGCGGGTCTTGCTGACCGTGCCGCGGTACTGCTCCCCCGCGCCGTGGTAGCAGTCTGCGGCCGGTGCGGGCAGCCATCAGGCCGAGACCTCGCCCCGGCCCTCCGGTTCCAGGCTTCCAGCCCCGGCTCTGTAGCCCCCAAGCTTGGGCCTCACCCTGGGGCCGCACGTCGTCTGTACAACGCCGGATCTGGTAGCAAAAGCCCACGCGCGTGCCGGGCCGCAGTGTGAAGCACCAGGGCGCCTCTGAGCCGTCGAGGTTCCAGCAGAAGTTCTCCCGAAGGTCTCTAAGCAGGCGCTCCACTCAGCCCTAGCCCGCCAGCCTCCAGCCCTAAGCCCGTGACTACCCTCCTCCCGTCTCACCCGCAGCAGCACGTCCCAACGCCCGCCCCCCCGCCCACCTCACTTGCACGCGTATTTTTCTGGCGTAAATCGGTGCTGATGCGGGATTTGCGCGTCCCAACGCTGGCAAGGTACGCCCGCGGTGGTGGTATTGGCTGTGCCCCGGTAGCCCTCACCCTTCCCGCGGAAGCAGCTGACACTTGTGGCCTCTTGGCGGGGCTGTGCCTCGGACCCTTAGATGGACCGAGATAGGTCGGGCCCCGAGCGAGAGCTGAGATCCCTCTGGGGCTGGGACCAAACCCGCCTTTCCCAGGTGTACGGTACTCCACGGGATATGCTCTCAGGTCACGCCCAGCCCCTCTGACCTCCCCGGCCAAGCCACGCCCCTCCCCAAGGTTCCCAGGTACCCTCCCAGGCCTGGTCCCCGCCGCCTACCGCAGCGGGGGAGGTCACAGAACTCTCGCTCGATCTGCGGATCCGTAGTGTAGCACCATGGCCGCTCGGAGCCGTCAGGATTCCGGCAATAGTTGTCGTCCAGACCTTGGTCGAGGAACCTGGGGGCGGTAATGGGGCGTGAAGAAGACCCTGGGACCCTGGCTTATCTGGCCCCGCCCAGTTGCCCTACACGGAGCCCTGCCCCTGGAGTCCTGGACCTTCCCTAGCCCGGCCCCCAGGGCGCCGATACCGCCTACGCGTACTTGCCCGGCTCGAAGGGGTGCTGGTGCGGGTGCTGAAGATCCCAGCGCTGGCACTCGCGCCCTGACTCGGTGCGGTCTACCGCGCCGCGGTATTCCTCGCCATTGCACCAGACACACGCGGCTGGAGACAAAGAGCCAGTGGGTTCGTGGATGGGCGTGGGCTTGCCCCTCCACTCTCCCAGCTTGACCCGGCGCCGCTTACCCACCCGGCAGGATTTGATGCTGCAGCTCTGGAAGCGCACGGCAGGGTCTGTTGTGTGGCACCAAGGACCTCCGGGGTCGCCATCAGGGTTACGGCAGAAGTTCTCTTCCAGGCCATTCCGGAGCGTGGGCATGTACCTGAGGGCCCAGAGCATCACTATAGTGTGTGCTGGGGGAAGGTCCCAGGCCGGGACGGAGGGAAGGTGTTTGTCTCACTTGTGATCGTTCGGGAACTTGTGGCTCCAAGCCTGGCAGGACAGGCCACCCACGGTCGTGGCCATGGTGCCCCGGTACCCAACCCCATTGTTCATGATGCAGGTCCGTATGTAGTCTGGGAGCAAGAGACAGAAGATCAACTTGGGCTGAGGTCCCCTGTCTCCCACCCTGCCCCTCTCCACCCCCACTCGCCTTTCTCCTGGAAGAGGTCACAGCGCCCAGAATGCCACAGCCTTGAGTGGGGCGAGTGTTGAGTCCATGGCAGCAGTTGGCAACCATGGCTGCTCACATTGTAGTGGAACGCCCTGGAGAGAAGAAGGCACAGGGTAACGCCACGGCCCAGGCTCCCCTGCCCCCAGTCTTATCTATGCCCAGTGGCCACTCACCAGCAGTCCATTAAGGGCCCACAGCGACCAGCACACTCTTCAGCATCTGCCACATCCTCCTGCCAAGGCCCGGGCACCACCGCATGTAGCAGGTGCTGTAGCTCTGTGCCCCGGAGCACCTGGAAGTCATTCGATGGCGAGCGCTGCCCTGCAGAGTGGGCATGAGTGGGTGCAGGTCAGGTGGGCATACATGTCAGTAATGTGTATTGGCATGTCCACACTTTGTTCATTCAGGGGATCAAAGCTACAAGGCTTCTGGGATGGACCCTGTATGCACTTTCAAGGGCCAGTCTAGCCCCCCTGCACAGATACTTGTCAAAAAAATTTCCCCTGGGAAGCAGGCCCAGACTTGGTAGTTATCACCGGTGCCTCTGTGTAGTGGCCCAGGCACCGGGCTCAGATCTAACACATACGCTCTGTGAGAGCAGTGGGTGATGGAGCTTGCCCCATCTCATCTCTCAAATGAGAATGCTAAGGCTCAGAGCCATCACATTACCCAGCCAGGGGCCCTGGCTAGGCATTCAGACTCCAAATCTGGGCTCTCACCTGCACAAAGGCATACGCTAGGTTAGAGGGGTAGATCAGGCTCAGGAGGGGTCATTTCCTGCTGTGTGCGTGCATCTGTGTGGTCCTAACACTGCTTCAGTGCTAGAGCAGACGTGCTAATAGAGGCCTAAGTGGGCCGTGTCTGTGTGTTCCTAGGGCTTCCCAGCTGTGCTCAAGAGGCCAAGGTCACTGCCCCATGCCCACTGAGCCTCTGGCTCCCCGACTTTTTTCTCATCCCAGAATAGGAGAATAGGGCCAACCCCCTCCTGAAGGCAGATGGGGATCAGGGTTGGGGGCACTCACCAGGGACCCCTAAGTATTGAGTCAGAAGCAGCAGGAGTGGGAGCCACTCCTCCAGGATGACTTCATCTTAACTAATTATATGACTATGTTGACTGCAACATATGTATGAAGTTTCATATACTCAATTCCTTTACTGCTTCCTTGAGCCTATGAACCCCCTCCTGCATCTCCTAGTCTTCACTGAACATTATGTCAATTCTCAGCCTCAGCTCTAAATGCTCATGGTTTCCAAAAACATATTTACAACCCACCATAGGTCCTGAGCACCAAAGCCTGATGTCCAGTTGCCCAGTGGACAGACATCTCCACTGGGACATCTCATAAGCACTAAAAATCTCAATGTACTGAAACCTGAATTTATATTTCTCTCCCCAAATGTGCTCCATTTCCATCTTCCCTTTCTCAACATCCATCCAGTGGAAATGTTGCTCAAACCCAAGTCCAGAGCCACCCTTGGCACGCTCATCTTCCTGAGCCCCCCACTTCCATCGGCCACCCAGGTGCTTGTCAGTTTGCCCACTTTCTCCCTCTCCACAGCCCTTTTCCTAGTTCAGACCTTCTGTCTCCCTTGTTGGGATCATGTCAACCTCTTCCTCACTCGCCTCTGGCTCTGGGCTTGTGCCTTCAACCGACTCTTCAAACCGTAGCAAGAGGGATGCCTCAAATCACAGATCAGATCCCTCTCTCCTTAAAGCCCTGCAGCAGCTTCCTGTGGCTCTCAGGATAGAATTCAAACACTTCCAGGATCTGGACATCTCCTGCCCCTCCACAGCCCTGCCTCGCCCTGCATTCCAGCCCCACCAAACCACAGTCAGTCCCTTCCATGGTTTTGGATCTCTTGTCTGGGAACTTTGCACCTGCTGTTCTCTCTGCTTAAACTCTCGCTTTCACCCATGCGACCTGGTTCACTCCTCATTCTCCTGCATGTCTCAGCTTGGAAGTCACCTCTTCCAGAAAGCCTTCCCTGACCCTCAGGTCCAGGTTAGATCCCCCACCTGGATTCCCACAGCACCGTGTTTTTCCCCTACCACAACCCTAGTCATGCCCTTTAGCGAACAGCCAACAGTTACTAAGCACCTGCTGTGTTAGGCTGTTTCTTAGGACTTTATAAGAAAGATCACATTTAATCCTACGAAGTAGGTACTGCTATTATCCTATTTTTTAGATGAACAAACTGAGGCAAGAGCAGTCACACACACATAGAGTCAGTAAGTGGTAAAGTTGGGATAGAAACCAAGACAATCTGACTCATGGATGTTACACCGTGTGTTAGAACTAGCCTTGAAAAAAAGACACAAGCTTGTGCCCTGTGCCAAGAAAGTTTCTGATAATGGTGGCGGTGGTGGTGGTGGTGGGATTTAATCAGTTGGCAGAAGTCTGTATTTCTAACAATCTCTGATTCAAATGGGCAGGACCCATGTCCATTTCTCTTTATTGCAATTGTATTATGTTTCTTACCTTCACTCTGCAACAAGCTTGGTGAAGACAGAGAACATGTATCTGAGGCCCTTCATCTCCCCTCAGTTCCTAGACCAGCACTAGCCCATAGTCAACCCTCCATCAAAGTAGAGGGAGAAAGTAAGTGGCTTTTACCCTGTGCTTTCTGAACTCCTGGGATGCTAGGAAGAGCCAGAAAACCTTGTCCACCGAACCCACAAATTCACTCTCTTCATCCCTTCCTCACTCCACTTCCTTCCCAGTAGTTGTTGGAGTTTTTGAATTTTCCCTCTGTGAGCCCTTGCCCTCCCCTGCCATGTTCTCAGCAAAGGCCCTGGCCTCCAGGTCCATGAGAACAGGATTCCCTGTAGTAAGAGCTCTTCCCTAGCCTCCTCCACTTCCAAAGGGGCTGGAATCTTCACCCCTTGATCCCTTCCCTTTTTAGAGCACAGAGGAAGCGGAGCCCTCCTCCTGCCCTGGGCTCCCATGCCCCACATGTTCCTGGAGAGCACCCTTGGGCCACTGTTGTAACTACATGGTGACTTGCTTGCTCTCATCCTTCATGACCCCCCCTCCTCCCATGCCCCACTTTGTTAATTTCACTCTCCTCTCAAAACTCCCCACAGTGCCAGTGATGGGGTATAAATGCAGCTGGGCAACGAGGCTCCCACAGACAGACCCAAACCTATCTTCCAAGTGTTAATTTCTTTTCTCTCCTCTTCTTCAAATAGGTCTCTTCCTTACACATTTCTGCCATTCCTTTCTCTCTCTGCCTTGCCTCTCCCTTTTCTCCCGGCCACAGCCTTATCCAACCTCCCAGCCCAGCTTGGACTCAGCTTTCCTAGGAGGCTCCCAGACAATCCAGTGGGCTCTCATTTTTTTGAGTGTATTCAGCAGTTGGCTGATGCTGCATCTCCAGCACTTGCCCTAGGTTGTTTTATCTCCCTAATGGCCTGTAAACCCCTTGAGGGCAGGATCTGGCCTTTGTACTCTAAAAAGGTCTTCCTACTAGAGAATGCTCCACACATGTGTGATGCTTCGGGGAGTCCCAACCTTCATCAGAGATTCCCACTGGTGCCAGCTCATAGCTCATCATGACGTGTCCCAGATGGTGACTGGGAGTAGCCTATGCCAAGCAGGAGTTTTTCCCCGAAGTCTTCCTGTTTATTGCACCGGGCTGGCTGCAAGACATTGAGGATGCTGCCCCAGGGGCCAGCAGGGTGACTGGGGCAGGCGCCATGATGGCTGTGCCTGGGTGCTGGCCAGTGTGGCCCCAAGAAGAGGCCGGGAGCCAGAGCTGCATGCCCTCTGTCAGCACCAGCCTCCTAAAAACACTCTCGACTTTCTCCAAGCATGGATTGCCTGAGCTCCCCTCCTGCTCCCCAAAGAGGCCGGGGAACAAGTCAGACAGGGGATAAGTCAGACAGGCTCAGCTGTGGGAGGCTGGAGGAAAAAGACCAATAAAACTGACTTTATTTGTAATGTTCCCATGTTTGTGATTTTGTTATTTCTACTCTGTTTCCTCAGAGCAATGAAACAAGGAAACGGAACAAAAAATAACAAAACCCAGCTCTAAGTATACGTGAACTGTAAGGCCTCCCTCTGGCCTCCTCTCTTCCTCCTTCCTCACCAGGTTTGCCTGGCTGACCCTTCCAGCCAGTGAATTCCTTTCCCAGGTTGAGTGTTTTCCATTTTAATTTTTGTGGCATTTCCCTGGATTAATGGTTAACGCATTCATTTTCTCCCCTCCAGCCTCCATTATCAAAGAGTGCTTTGAATAACCATTAACTCTCTGGTTAAGCGAAAGAAACACGTTAATCATCTACAAGTCCTGGGGCAGGAAAATTATTCTTGGTAACCTTCTCCCAATGGCAAGAAAACCACTGTCCCTGAGCAGCTCAACTTCAGCCACACCTGGGTCTACAAGCTTGCAAAACCCCTCCGGTAACCTTGTTACAAGGACTTGGTAAACTGAGGTCATAAACTGCTGAATGGCTAAGCGCTGTGCTTTTCAACCCAGCCACCACCGGTTCTCTAGGACCCTATAAAGAGACAAGGCTGGGCTGCTGCTTCTCCCTTTACTTTTAAAAATTGTTTTGCCAGTAAAGTCTCATCTATTGTACATTCCTTGTTACGGGGAAACTCAAGTGGCTGTACAGGCTGTTCTTGGAGCCACAGTTAAAAGCGCTTTGACTCAAACACACATGTGGCGTCATCCTGAGCTCCGTTTGCGTGGGGCCGGAACACCGGACTAGGAAACCTCTCCCTGCTTTAGCAACTGAGTGTGGCTAGATTGAGGGACCACAGGGGGTGGCTCTGGATGCAGCAATCCAAGTCCCCTTTTCAGGGAGGGTGACCTCTTTCCGAAGTTCAGTGGATGGCCCCCTTCCAGGGTTAGGGAGACAGGAGGAGGAGGAAGAAGAAAAGGAGGAGGAAAGCTCTCAACACCCCCCACCCCCAACCCATCCAGGAGAGAAGGACTGCAGTCCCCGAGACCAGCTGGAGGAGTGGCGTGTGCATGGTGTGCCCTCAGGGTAGAGCGCGCCATCTTGGAGAGATGCCTCTTTCATTCACAAAGCGGATCTGTTGCAGAGCCCAGAGCCCCGGGGAGAGCAGGGCGGCGTCCAAGTGCTTGCTGGGTTTGGCTTGCACTCCCTCTCCCTTAAAGAAGACAGAGGCGGAAGGGAGAGGCTGTTCTTCGGAGGCGAGCCTCAGGCACTGCTAGACTTAGTAGGAAAGATATTGCTGGGGTCTTGGCAAGCCGTAGGTGCAGCGCTCCCCATCGTCATTCCGGTGCGGCTGGTTACTGTCACCCTGCCTCCTCCCCGCCGGCCTGAGAGCCTCTCTGTTCCAGATCCAAACATTTCCACATTAGGCAGCCTGCATGTGCATTTCCCTGGCAGTGGAGGGAAAGGCACCCCTGTGACCTGGGATGACCGACGACGGGGACTTGCCCTCCTCCCCCACAGGTGCACTTGCTCTTTTCTGGGCCAGCCTTGTGATCTGGTGTCCGGGCACTTGGCAGCATTTAGCAAATGTTCCTCAGTGCTCTGTTTGGTAGTTAATGCTGTTGACACGGACACCTTTGGGAGCACGTGGGAGAAGCTGCTGCCTCCGTTTCCCCCGGGTTACAGCGCCTGGCGCAGTCTGTTGTCCCCTCAGAAGTGGTGGGCGACATTATCTCCTTTTTCATCCCTAGCCCTCTCCCTTGAAGCTGTCCTGATCTCTCTTTTGGACCCAGGAACGTGAGCAGAGGTTACTACTCACTATATATACACACTGCATCTAGACTCATGCATGCCTTCTTGGTGTCAAGGACACCTCACATTTCAAAGACTTCATGAAAAAGAACGTGAGGTATCTCACACGGTGACATGATAAAGCTTTGGACAACGTGGGTTAAGCTAAAAACAGGTCATTACAATTAATTGTATCTCTGTCTTTTGACCCTTCAGTGGCTCCTGAAATCCATCACACATGTGGCTTGCAAGTATTTTGGTCGGACAACGCTGCCGTAGATTGTCCCACTCTGAAATGGTTCCCTCTGGGCTTACGGGACTGCTATAGAAGGGTCCTAAGGTCCTGTGCCTCCCTGCTTTTCAAGTGGCTGCAAACTTCTGTGCCTACCGCTTCCTCCACTGGATGTTTCCTTCCTGCCCTCCTCCCTGAGGACCTCCTAGTCCCTCTTCAGGATGCAGAGCTGGAGCCTCCACTCCAGGAAAGCCACTCATGTTGTTGCCAACACAACCCCCTGCACACATGCAGTATTAGGCATTGGTCTGCCTGGCTGTCCCTGGGCTGTGCTGTCCTTGAGGGCAGTTTTTGTGTCTAATTCCCAGAGAGTGCAAGAACACAAGCATGCTCATCCAGACGTTAGTAAGCTGCCCTAAGGGGTGGAGCAGTCAGATTCCGGTTTTATTTATTTTTCCCCTGCAAGGAGCAATCAATTATTAACCGAAGTCACGATACTTTGGTTGCTGTTATCAGCACATGAAAATATCAGTCAAGGCTGGGTTTCAGACCCGCCTGGCACTATTCAAAGGAAATTTTTTAGTAATTCTTATTTTATTAAGAGCACTAGTATATTCAGATCAAGTAAAACTTCACATATAACAGGTTCACTCTTCTATATGAAATGTTTGTGGGAAATCTATCATGCATCAGGTGCTCTCAAAAGGTGGTGAGGTGTAAATGTCAGCCTCAAAGGCTGCAGTGTCCAACATGGCACACAGCTTGTGTGGCTCTTAGCACCTGAAGCATGCCTCGTCCACAGTGAGATGTGCCGAAAATGTAATATACATCCAGATTTTGAAGACTTGGTAAAATATCTCACCAGCAATTTTTTATATTGATTACATGAGGAAGTGATAATGTTTTGGGTTGGTTAAGTTAAACGTATTATTAAAATTCATCTCACCTGTTTCTTTTTAAAAGTGGCTTCTAGAGAATTTTAAATAACATGTAGTTCACATTATATTTCTATGAGACAGTGCTGCTCTAAGGCGATTATGCTTTGTTTGTTTTGAGACACTCACAGGTGTATGTGAGCATTTCAACCGGGTTTATAACAGCTTAGGAAACTGGGAACTTTGACTTGGAACTTTCCCGCCAAGTGACAAAACATCCGTCCAGTGATAGAAGTTTTAATTCTACTTCCTCCAGCTAGATCTTGCCTGGAGGACCCACGTTGACTTACTCTCTCCAGAAACGGCCCCACTGGCTCTCTGGGGGAACTCCTGGGTTCTGCAGGGACTTGCTAGGTAGTAATTACAGGTGTGTAGAGACCCTCCTGCTTCATACGCTCAGTCATCATTATTTACTTTTACCAGGCACCAGGGGCGTGATGAGAGCTTAGCTGAAAGGAGAGAAGACTCAGCAAGCACATCACCTTGAAGCTGACCTGTCAGCCAGATTTCGCAGCACCTGCCTGTTCCAGCCTGAGGGGCTGCGATTCATTCCTTGGGAAAGAGAGCTGCAAATTCCCTCTCTAGGCCACAGTCCAAATCCTTGCTCTTCTCTCTCAGGTTCTGGAAGACAGAATGGAGGCATCTACAGAGCAAGGACATGTTTTCTACCTGAATTAGCTTTTCTGACACCTTGAAACCATCTCTAAGAAATTGATTTTTTAACATACACATATACAGGTAAACATTTAAATCTGTGCCATAATGTATTTGCACTTCGAGTCCCCCTGAAGTCCTAAGTCACATGCTTCTCTTCCTAGGGGTTCTGTCTGAAGCAGAGACCCCTGGATTGGAGCAGTGGGAAGAATCCTGATGAATCAGGTGTTCCTGCCTGTTTACATTAACTGGGCACCCTGCCTGCCCACCCCACATGCTGAATACTGCTGGGGAGAAGAGAAGAAACATTTATTAAAGGCAAGGAAAAATTAGAGCCTTTTCATTGAGGTCAGAAGATTTTTGAGGTTGGATCGGCTGGCCAGGTGCATGACCAATTTTCTTGGCTCCTTAGAAGCAGCAAAGTATTTGAAAAATAATGGAGCCCTTCGTCCTACAAGTAAAAGCCCATTTATATTGGGAATTTTTTAAAAAGTGCTGGCGATGGAAAATTTCCGATGAGATGCATTTCTTCCTGCCTGAATGTCTTGAATGCCTGCTGGATTTGTCTCCCTGCTAAGACACTCACACTTGCAAATCTGTGCTTTTCAAGGTGGGGAGATGAAAATAAAAAGTCTGTGAGATGTATTTCTGGGAGGCCTGAAAACAGGAAGCAAATTGGAACCACAGCATGTGGGGCACGGATGCTGGATTCTGGGGGATATTTGCTTATTTGGAAAGGCTGCAAACATTCCATCCTACCCACTGCTAGGAGCTCTGCACTTTGCTAACGTCCCATGGAAACCAAGGTTCTCTTTAGGACTCGACAGGACTGGGTTATTTTTCTCAGCTTAAATTGTTTTTATATGGTTATCCTCAGTACTCTTTTCTGTTTTGGGATATTTTCATACTTTTTATTTTTTAAAAACCCCAGAATATCTTGATTTTGAAAAGGTACATTCACCCAAATAAAGTGCCCAGCGCATAGACAAGGCTGCCTCAATATTTCACGTGTCAACAGCCAATGCCCCCGGTACGTGCAGAAAAGCCTGAGAACAAGGAAGGAAGAAAAGGGTCTGGTCCTTGCTCTGCGGGTATTTAAGCATTTCTCAGCCCCCTCCTCTGACTTCTCAACTATGTTCACCTATATGGCCTCAAATGGAGAGAACTGGGGTTATAAAAGAGGATATTAGCTATGCCTGCTATAGAATGAGGAAGGCATTTCAGGATGTGCTTGGGGAGGAGATGGAATGAATGGCAAAGGGGATGTTTGTCCGTGAGGGTGGTCTGTGATCTGTGGGTGGGGGATGTCTGTGCAGCTCCCTTCATGGCCTCTCATGGCCCACACAGTAGGCAGTGTTTGCCACACACAGACCCTGGACAAAGTCACAGAGTGGTGTTGGTACCATTTCATAGGAGGGGTCCTAGGGGACATTCTAGGAAGTTCTTCATCAGCTTAGGAAGGTGCAGCCTCTGCAGTCATTAAACACAGTCTACCAGCCAGAGAAGCCCAAAAGCTGCTGCTCCTGCTGTTCTGCGTGGTGTGGGAAACTACGGCATTGGCACAACTTTGGGAGCTCTCTTTGATCTCTTGTTTGTCTGCATTTCCCATACTCTTCCAGTCACCAAGTGTCATCATTCTTCCCCAGGTTGTCTCTGTCTCCCTTCCTTTTCTGTCCCCATGACTCTTACCTGTATCCAAAACTATGGCGTTTAAGGTGAAAGAGCCAGTCTGTAGGAGCTGCTTCGAGGAAAGTCTTGCAAGACTGCCTTCTTGAACTTGGTGCTCAAACTCCCCTCTGGCTTCACAACCTGCATAGTTGCCTGGGTCAGAAACAGGTTCCTCAGGCAACTTGGTGTTGCATTAACCAAGTGACACTGATTGTCACTTGGAAGACACTCAGTGACTGACTATTAGAGATCATCTGCCTCTCATTTTGGGGATGTGAAGGTTGAGACTCAGAGAGGTCAGGCAACATGTCTGAGGTCATTGAGCCAACTAGCAGCAGCCCCAGAGTTGTCACCCAGATTTCCCGACTCCCCATTCATTCCAGAAAACCTACCCATGGGGAATGTTCTGCCAGGCTGTTCTACATCACCAGTAGAGAGAAGTTGCCTTGAGTATTCGGTTTGGTTTTGAAGTTAACCTATTCAGACACACTTGAGCATGCAGTGAGTCACTGACTGGATTCATTCCCAGACCTATGGACTCAGCACATCAGCTCACCAAGCCTCCTGCATACTCTGCTTCTACGCTGGACAACTGTGCATTTTGAGAAGCTGGAGGAAATTGTTTGGCATACTGTTCTAGGCCAGCAGTCATGCGATACTGAGCTAGGCCTGGCTCCTATAGGCTGGTGAAAGCCAAGTGTTAACTGTTCAGGATTTTTTTGAGTTGGTTAACTATTGATAGCTTCAAAGTCGCCATGGCAGGGGTATTTATACCATAGAAATTGGTACATGTTACAAATTAGGGTTTCATTTTTCACCATCCAGAGATCTGATTTACTAACTCACTACTGATTCTGAGGTAGGACCCCAGCTTAGGAAGGCACTTTCAGGCAAGACTGTTCTGCGGTAATTAGAAAATGGAGAGTGGCCCTGTCAGATGCAAAGGAGAATATCAAATTTGGAAAAAAGTACTGCCTATTGCACAAGAGGTAAGAGTCACTGAGACATCTTGCACCAGACCCAAGTGAGGGATGGAAGGGGCCCTGATGGTCATCTTGGGACAGCTTCTTAGGGTCACCCAGGAGCCCAGGAGCCAGGTATGCCACTCCGTGGTGGGACAGAAACCCCTGTAAAGAGCAAGCAGACACTCAGTCACCCAGGACCCTCCCCAACACTCCCATTCCCTGCAATCTATCAGCGCATCCTATCAATCCCGTCTGGAGTAGATATCTGATCATGCCTTCTCTCCCTTGTGACTGCCATCACCCAAGTCCAGGTTCCTGCTACATCCTTCCTAAAAGGCCTTCCCCTGCAAGCTTGCCTACCTCACATCGACTTTCCCCACATAGCTGCAAAAGTGGACGTCTGAGAAGAAGGGGGAGGAAGAGGAGAAGAAGGAAGAGATGAAGAAGGCGAAGATGAAGAAAAAGAAGAAGAGGAGGAAGAAGAAGAAGGAGGAAGAGGGGGAAAAGAGGAGGAGATGATGTTATGTCATCCCTTCACCCTTCCCCTGCACACACACACACACACACACACACACACACACACACACACAGACACACACACACACACACACACACCACGAAAACCCTTCAAGAGCTTCCCATTGTACTTAGAATAAAATCCACGCTTGAGTAAAGCTCTGCATGATTTGGCCCCTGCAAACCTCTCCAGCCTCCTCTTGCTTGGGAGCCTCTGTGCTCACAACTCTCCTGTCACCCTGGTCTTCTTCCAGGTCCTTGAATGCCGGCTAAGCTCTTTGCTGCCCCAGGACCTTCGCACCTGGTCTTCTACTGGCAGGAATACTGTTTCCTGAGTCTTCCCCTGACTGGCTCCTTCATTTCCTTTAGGTCTCAGCTTGAGTGTAACCTCACAGGGCCATTTCCTGCTCACCTGGTGAAAAGTCAGGCCTCGTCTGTTCTCTGTTTTAGCTCCTAAGTTTCTTTATGACAATTATTTCAGCCCACAGTTCTTTTATTTACTTGTCTGCTTACATTTTGTTTTAATCTTTTCTTTACTTCCCCCCACTTCAACAGATGCTCCATGGAGAAATGGGTTAACCACTGCATTGCCAGAGCCTGGCATATAGGGGTGCTCAAATAAAGACTTGATGAGTGGGCTGGGTGTGGTGGCTCACACCTGTAATCTCAGCACTTTGGGAGGCAAAGGCGGGCAGATCACCTGAGGTCAGGAGTTCGAGACCAGCCTGGACAACATGGTGAAACCCTGTCTCTACTAAAAATACAAAAGTTAGCTGGGTGTGGTGGTGAGTGCCTGTAATCCCAGCTACTCTGGGAGGCTGAGGCAGGAGAATCGCTTGAACCTGGGAGACAGGGATTGCAGTGAGCTGAGACCGCACCACTGCACTCCAGCCTGGGAGACAGAGCGAGACTCCATCTCAAAAAAAAAAAAAGTTGATGAGTGGTTCATTCTACTGCCACCACCTATGGGAAGACAGGTCAGGAATGTTGAAATGAAAGAAGTGCTTGGCTTCCTCTGAGCCCCAGCTGGACACAGGCATCTGTGATGCATCCAGATTCAGGCTGCTCATGGACTCTGAGGACTCAACGCTCCCGGAGGGCTAGCAGGGAGCTTTGCACACATACAACCAGTTCTCACCAAGCAACTGGGGATTAATAGTGCAAGGGGTTAAATGGGTTCAAACTGTTCCTCTTAAGCTCCCCAAGATGGTGAACCGCACTTCAAAGCTGCTTGAAAATTCTTACTTGGTGAGCATGCTGTTCTGTGTCCCTTTTGGGCAGAGGATTGGGAAGGCAGCCACCAAGGCCGCCTGCCGAGTGAACAGGGGGAGGGGGCACTCCAGGTGACGTGTGTGCAGAGACCCGCTCATGCCTGACCCACAGTTAGTGCACGCTCACAGTGGTTCCAGTCTTGTCCCAGCGACCCGACTGGCCTGCTTTGTTATTGGAACTAGAGCTGATGATTCACTTTAAATAGATCCTTAACCTCACAATTTGTTTTTCTTGAAACGGTCCTGAGAGGTGCTTTCCAAGAAACAAGGAAAAAACTGACTGCACAGTGGTGACTTTGAGTCTGTCTGCAGAAAGCAGTGTGAGTGGATGGTTCATTCCCATGGCAAAGCCTTTCCCTGTCACCCGGTGTCAGGGACAGTGAAAAAAACGGGCCGTAGCTTGGGAAACAGGGGTGCTCTGCAGTTGCCGTAGCAGGTCTTCAGGGAGAGCTTACGGGAACCCACGGTGTAGGGGCGGGGGAGGGGGACTGGGTGTGTTCATTTCCCGGGGATGCTGTAACAAATTACCACAAACTGGGGGCCTTAAAACAACAGAAATGTATTGTCTCACATTTCTGGAGGCTGGAAGTCTGAAATCAATGTGTCGCAGGACCACACTTCTTCCTTGCCGCTTTCTGGCTTCTGGCGCTTGCCAGCAGTCCTTGGCAGTTCTCGGCCGGCGGTTGCATCTCTCCAGTCTCTGCCTTTGCTGTCGTGTGGCCATCTTCCCTCTGTCTCTGTCTCTGTCTCCGTATTCAAATCTTTTTCTCTTTGTGAGAACACCAGTCATTGGATTTAGGGCTTGCCCTAATCCAGTAGGATCTTATTTTAACTTGATTACATCTGCAATTATATCCTATTTTCTAATAGGGTCATATTCACAGGCATCAGAGTTAGGACATCAGCATATCTTTTGGGGCTGGGGACTCAATTCAACCCACCACAGGAGAGGTCCCCTTGCTACTAGGCGGGTAGTCATATCACACGCACATGTCGTAAACATGCTGAGCAGACGAGAACCCAAAATCTCTGATTTGGGTAAGATGTGATTCCAAAATGTAGAGTGCAGAATTGACTAAAACGTTTTGAGGCTTAGAGTAAGAGACTGCTGCAGTTTAGGAAGACTTCCTCATTAAAAGATTCCAAAAGACATATTCCATGAGTCACCAGGGTAGACTGAATAATGAGCGCTCAAAGATGTCCGTGCTGTAATCCCGGGAGCCTGTGACTATGTTACCTTGCATGACAAAAGGGACTTTACAGATGTGTTTAAATTCAGGATTTGAGATGAGATGATCCTGGATTCTCTGAATGGATCTTCTAAGAATCACAAGGGTCCTTACAGGAGGGAGGCAGGAGGGTCAGAGTTAGAGAAGGAGACGTGATGGCTGAAGCAGAGATCAGAGCGCGAGGGGTTGGAGGATGGAGGGAGGATCTAGAAGAGGAAAGCAGGCAGCTTCTAGAAACTGGAACAGGCAAGGAAATAGATTTTCCCTTCAGAGCCTCTGGAAGGAGCTGACCCTGCTGGACGCTTCAATCCTAGCCCGGTGAGACTGATTTTTTTCTTCATGACAAGTCAGTTGATGTTGTTTTAAGCTCCTAAATTTGATAATTGGTTACAGCAGCAATAGGAAGCATTGCAGTCACATAGCCCAGTTTGGCATCTTGTATTATTTTAACAAACTCTCCATCAATCCACCTGTGTATCATTTTAGTCTGCTAACACCAAGAACAATATGTTGCATGTGGAAGACCTTAATAACTACTTGTTGGATGCATACTCTGAGAGCTTATTATACACTCGGTAGTATGCTAAACCCTTTGGATACATCCCTGTCCTCCTATCTATCAGTGTGGAGGAGAATTGGACATTGAACAAATAATTTTACAAATAAAACAGACATTGATTTATGTGACAAGTGCTGTCACAGAAAACCACAGGGAGACATGACAGGGTAGAGTCGGGGAAACCTAACTTCAACGTGGGGTCAGGCAGAGCCTTCCAGGACACTCCCAGCTGAAGCCAGGACTGGACATACCCTCGCTTGGTTCCAGTTTTAAAGACAAGACACTTTGCCCAAGGAGGTGACCCGAGTTGAGCACTCGGAGCGTCCACCATCTTTTCTGAATGGTGCGAGGTTGTCTGTTGTTCATGGAGCTCGTGTGGGGTAGGCCAATCCCTGGTCTGAACTTGAGGCGGTGACACATTTTCATCTTGGTTCTGCCGTAGGTTTAGCGGGTGACCTTTGACATATCGTCTGCCCTTCCTGCATGTCGTTTGTGCTCTGGCTGACAAACAACGATCTCACCAGCCATCAGCGCTCCACAGGAATGAAAAGAGTGAGTGACCAGGACAGGGAGGGAGGAAAGAAGAAGTTGCCTTGTTGCCACGGCCTTCCTCAGATGTGCCTCCGTGCCTTGGGTCACCCCTGGGGCTACTGGCACCTTCTGAGACAGAGCCGGGGCTGAGGGCTAGATTGTCGTTCACTGGGCACCTCTGCACCGGGGAAGGGGACGGGAGCTGAGGAGGGGGCACTGAGCAAGGCAGAATCCTTATCCCCAAGCAGTTGCTGACAGGTGGAGAGACAAATGCAAACACTCAGAATGCAAACACACAGTGTCCAAAGCAGAAGCAGCAGGAGGGGCGTGGGCTCTGCCCCAGGAATTCAGGTGCACAGAAGGAGCTGGGCCTGCAGGGATACTTTGGGGTTTGGTAAATGAAGGCGGGGTCGTGCACTCTGCGGTGGACAACAAGAGAGAAGCCTCTCCACACATCAGGGTTACACGTGGCTTGGAGTATGGCTTGCCACCTTCTCCCGTTTCTCCCCACATGAGCAAGGGCGGTGTCCATTATCTCTCAAGCAATTCCTACCTCCCTGGCACTGGTAGATGCTGGACACATGGTACCTCCTCCAGCCTCACAACAACACTGTCACATCGTCACCTCCATTTCTCAGATGAAACTCAAAGAGGTGACACTTGTCCAGTGTCAGGTGGCTGTGAAGATCCCAGCACAGTCTCCTTGCATCCAAGGCCCTAGCTCTTACCACATTGTTGATCCTGGGTTGATGGTGAAGGTATAAGCTGGGGTTCCTCCCCAGCCCCTACCTGTCGTGTGCACACCTGGCCTTCTCTGGGGGTGCATTTCCCAGCTGAGGAGACTGTCTGCGTGTGTGGCTCCGAAGGAAGCCTAGCTGGTGAGTTCAGAACAGGCCCTGTGTGTGATGTGGTGACCTGAGGTCATAGGATACAGACTGCGTCCCAGGAGCACCTGCCATTTTAGGGGTGGCTCAGGAAAGCCTCTGAGCTCCCTGGAGGAAGTTGTCCCCTCTCCACTGCTGCAAAGGAGAGTTGGTCATGGGGCCAGGCAGACACTCTCTGGACATGCTCGTGGAAGAGCTCTTTGGGAGAAAAGACACTCGAGCATGCCAACAAGGGGACTTAGGGGCCAGAATGTTCTGCCACTTGCCACTCGCCAACCTGAAATCTGCACCTCCTAATCACCTCCTCTCAGCCCTGCCTCATCAAGTGGGGTCTTGCAGGAACTGCTGGCAGCTCGGCCACCATCGGGGAAAACACCCCAGTCAAACACAGGCTCTCCTGTGCCTTGGCATAGAGGGAAGAGCCAGCCCTGCCCCCGCCCCTGCCCACTATGGTCTCAGGATTCACTCCTTGCTGAAGCCTTTACAGGGGAGCCAAATGCCCTCTCACCCAAGGCCCTTCCAAGGCCCTCCCACATCCTTTGGGTGAATCTGTTTCAGGAGCACCCATTTGAGGGAAAACTTCGTCCCCAGGAGAAATGGCAACGGAGAGGTGAAGGGGTGGAGGTACGCTTTGGAGCAGGGCCAAGGCACATGGGGGTGGGCTCCAGCCTCGAGCCTGTCCTTCTCCATGATCCTGAACATGACTCTTCTGGAACCTGGCCGGAAGTTGCCCCTCAGGAGACAGCGGGGGAAGGAAGTTGTGGTCCAGAAACTCCAGAATGCAGGGTGCCCTTCCCATTCAATCACGGAGGCTGGTCCAGGCCAAGAGCATCCTCGGCCTTTGTTTAAGCTCCCGTGAGTTCTTGGTTGACCTGGAGAGGCTGAGAGAGGCCCACAGGACCTCTTTCCTTCTGACCCTTCATTGCCTTTGGATCCAGCTCACCTCAGTGCAAGCCTGTGGCCTGCAGGGGAGGCCCTGAGGTAGAGGCACTCAGCCCTGATACCGTGAGGGACCCTTGAAAGTTTGTGCTCTTGTTTATGGTCTCAAAGACAAGAGGCCAAATTCCTCAGCTGACATTTTTACTGTCAGGACGTGCCAATGTTGTTCACTTTTTGTTTTGCTTTGCTTATGATTGTCTGGCACCTTGAGATGATGCTGAGTATGCCAGGCTATAGGATGGAGATGTGGGTGGGAGCAGGCAACAGACTGGCCCTGATCTTCCAGAGCTGATCACATTCTCTGACGTCAGCTCTCTCTGTTCATGTCCTTTGAAGGGCAATGGACTCCGTGAGGGGAGACCCGAAGTCTGTGAATGCCCAGCTTCTGAGATACCGTCAATACTGTTGACTGCATGAATGGATGAATTGCAAGTGAGTTGTTGAACACAGTGGCAAGGAGGCTCCTTACTAGCTTGGAACCCCCTCCTCCGGCAGGGAAAGTGATTACCAACCTGGAGGTCAGCCAGGCCAAGAGGGCTTTGAGATCTACAACACCATCTCCATCTACTGGGTTTGGGTTACGTGTTTTAAGTGGCTCAACCTTCCTCTGAAATCATAGCAATAGCAATGAATGATGTCCCATCAGGCACTGCCCTGGTTTTTTTGCACACACTATCTTTCATCCCTATAAGGACGATGTGGGATGGCCATTGTCATGTTCCTTTCACAGAGGTGAAAATTAACACTCAGAGAGAGTAGGCATCTTGCTCAAGGCTAGAATGGGGTAAAGCCATTCATTTAATTTATTTATTCAACAAATATTCATTGCCAACCTGCTATAGGCCAAGCCCCTGGCACTATTCCAGGTATCGGGAAAATAGCAGTGAGCAAAATGGACGAGAATTCCTGCTCTCCGGGAGCTTCACTTCTAATGGGGGAAGCAGAGCAACACACAAGATAAAATACACAGCATGCCAGAGGTTGTTAAGTGCCAAGGAGGAAAAGTGGAGAAGGTGGAGGGGAAGGGAAGGGCTGGTGGGCAGAGGGATATGCCTACTGCTGAGGAAGCTCCCACCATGAAGGTGACATTTGCAAACAAACCTGAAGGAGGTGGAAGACTGGCCAAGCAGAGACCTCCGGGAAGAGGGGCTAGGCCCAGACCCAAGCATGAGGGTGGCCAGAGTGTTCTGGGAACACGAAGACCAGCGCTGCTGCAGGTGGGAGGGGATGTGGGGAAGATAAGATGAGACAGAGTAAGGGTGTGTTGGGGGGTGACAGATTATGGAGGGCCCCAGAGGCCATCCTGAGGATACGGGAGCCATTCTCTGAGCAGAGAAGTGACATAATCCAATTTCAGTTTCTGCAGGGTCCTTCTGGGCTCTAGGCTGAGAGTGGACTGAGGGATGAGGGTGGAGTCAGGGGCATGGATTAGGAGGCTATGGCTAGTCCAGGCAAGGGGGATGGCAGTCTAAATCAGGGCAGCAGCAGAGTCAGGTTTTGGAAATGTTTTGAAAATAGAGCCAGTAGGATTTGCCAACATTGGCAAAGATTGGATGTGAGGTGCCAGACCAAGTGTTGTCCTCAGCAACTGGGAAAAAAGAGTTAACGTTCTGCATTAGGCTGTTCCAGCATTGCCATAAAGAAATACCAGAGACTGGGAAGTCTATAAAGAACAGAGGTTTAATTGGCTCACGGTTCTGCAGGCTGTACAGGAAGCATGGTGCTGGCATCTGCTTTCCTTCTGGGGAGGCCTCAGGAAGCTTCCAATCATGCCAATCATGGTGGAAGGCAGAGGGAGAGTGGGCATGTCACATGGCCAGAGCAGGAGCAAGACAGCAAGGGGGGAGGTGCCACACACTTTTAAACAACCAGATCTCATGAGAACTCTCTCTCTATCTGCAGGATGGCACCAAGAGAGATGGTGCTAAACCATTCATGAGAAATCTGCCCCCATGATACAATCGCCTCCCACCAGGCCCCACCTCCAACATTGGGGATTACAGTGAACATGAGGTCTGAGTGGGGACACAGATACAAACCATATCATGTTCCCTGAGATAGGATGGCTGGGGGTTGGGGGTGAACAGTATTTGGGAGGGAAAATCAGGGACTCTGTTTTGGACACAATCCATTGGAGTTGCAGGTAGACGTTCCAGTGGAGAAGACAAGTGGCTGGCTGGCTCTCTGAGCCTGGAGTTGAGGGGGTGATGTGGGCTGGAGATTGGACTTTGGCATCATCAGTGTTGGTGAGGCAGCTACAATCATGACTCTGGATGAGCTCATTGATGGGGGCAGCAAGTGTGGACAGAGAAGCAGGAGGTCTGAAGACTGAGGTCTGAGGTGTTTGGGGAGAAGAGGAGGAACCTGCAAAGGAGATAGGGAGCAAGCAAGGAGGCAGGAGGAGAGCCGGGCAGGTGGGCTGCAGCCAAGCAAGGAGAGGGGGAGGAGGAAGGGGGGAAGGGGAAAGGCGGGGAGTGGGAAGAGGGTAGGAGGGGGAGGAGGAGAGGGGGAAGAGGAGAGCAGGGGGAGTAGGGGTAGGAGGAGAAGGGGAGGAAGGGGAGGAGGAGGGGGGAAGGGGGTGAGGGAGAGGAAGGGGAGGAAAGGAGGGGTAAGGGGGGAGGAGGAGAGGGGAA
Organism: Homo sapiens; assembly: GCF_000001405.40. Lineage (NCBI taxonomy): Eukaryota > Metazoa > Chordata > Mammalia > Primates > Hominidae > Homo > Homo sapiens. The sequence goes on from NW_025791756.1 coordinate 908,681, forward strand.
GAGGGGAGAAGGAGTGAAATATACCTGTCGTGGGATTTGACCTATATTAGAGAATCACTGTGCAGTGCACCAAGTGGCACTGGAGAAGTCATCCCCGAAATAAATTGGATTGTGTGACAAGAGATGGGTTCAGCAGATGCAACAGACAGGGAGGAGGGAAACTGGACCAGCCTTGGCTGTGGATTGGCTGCGCGATCTTGGACAAATCACCCATCATGTTTTCCTTCCGTGTTACGTGGAAATGTCTCTGATATCTACTGCCCTTACCTCACAGAGTAAAGACCCAAAGGAGATGTCATGAAAGCATTTTGAAATGCTGCTGAACACTCAGCACAGTGGCTGGCACAGAGTGGGTAGAACTCAATGGTTGGAAAATGTACTTGGCTGTTATTGTGCCTTTTTCATGAAAATATGAAAAGCTAAATAAACCTGAAACATGTTGGGGACTGAGTGAGGGGAGATGAGCACGTTCTGAGAGTCCTAGGACCATGCACTCTTAGAGTGCCTTTGCTGTTGTTTCGCCTCCCGTCCTACAGAGGAAGGGCTTAGGTTTGCTGTGAATTTCCCCCTTGCCTACCAGCATTGCGCCAATTAAGGTTTCTACTTCACCGCACGTTTCAGCCAAGGATGTCAAGGGAATCCACTGCTGCTCCAGTGAGACAAATAACATATCCAGCATCAACACTGCCATCATCATTAGCATCATTGTGGCCATTAGGATGGTTGGCAAGGCAATAGGTTGGCACTACTGATGGGCAGCACCATTAGTCTTCTTAGTGATTTTTCAAAATGGACAGTCTGGAGCTAAAAGCGTGAGCCCTGGAGGAGCTCATTTCATCAGACCTGCTGCAGGCAAACACTCTTCTCTTCATACCTTTCCCGCCTGTACGTGTGGGGTGATGCCTGTCTTGGGAGGAAATATAGATGCAGTGCCTAGATATTCCAAAGCCCAGGTTCGGAATCTGTGTTCCCTTTGTTTTTTGATATTTCCCCTCCTTTCCTCCTGCCCTTTAGATCTTGTGCATTTGTGGGTTTTTCCCTTTCTGCTCAGCTCTGATCACTTATTTGCTTTTGTTTTTGGAGAGCTGCGTCCTCTCTTTACTCACCCACCTGCTTCATTAGAGATTGCTACTCACCTGCAGTATCCATGCTCACCTTCTTCCACGATAATTGAAAGAGTGTCCGGCACACGGCTGTCTACTTAAAAACTGCTTTCTCTAGTATCCCTTGCAGCCTGGTGTGGTCATGGGACTGATTTCTGCAAGAAGAGTTTGAGCTTCAGTGTGGTGTGACCTCTGGACCTTTGAAAAGAGGGGTTTATTCCTTCCATTCTCCCACCTTTCTCTTCCTTCCTCCTTGTTGGAGTGTGGCTATCATGGTGATGGTGAACCATCTTGGACCACATGGATGAGGGCCACACACTCAGGATGCTGGAGCAACAAGGTGGAAGGTACCTGGGTCTCGACTGCCCACCCTTGTGAAAGGTAAATGCAGTTCCATCTTATCTGAACCCTAGTATTTTGAGGTTCTGTTAGAATTGCTGCACCTGTATTCTAACTAATACCTTCTTTAGGCTCTTTGACCCACTTGCCAGATTGCAGGTTGCAGGAAGACAGAACATGGTTTTGCTCACCATTAGGTCATCAGGGCTGGCACAGATTGCTCAACACATAATAAATACTTGTTGGAAGTGTTAATGAGTTATGGTTTTACTCTGGTATCTGGACTTCTGCTTTCCAAAGGATGAGTGGCCCTTGACGCATTGTTCCCTTGGGCAACTGCAGCCTCTGTCATGGGCCAAGTATGGAATGTCCCTGGGAAATAAAATCTCAGAGGAAGAGAGCTCCTGCCCAGCCGAAATTCTCCCTGGAATTGTGAGCCTCCAATTAGGCTAGAAGATACAGTCTTCCCATCTGTTGTAGAAACAGAAAGTTATTTAGAGTATAAAACAATCTCCCGGCTTCATGTGTGAAGCCTATTTGAGAGTCAGAGGGTTCCAGCAGAGGGAGGAGGAACATCAGCTACACCTGGAGCTCTGGGGATGAAAGAACCCATGAGGGCCTCATAGATTATAGGGCTCTGACTCCTCCAGGGAAAGATGATCCAGTGTTCTGGCCTATCTTGGCCTGTGGTTCTTTGTGATCCATGGAGTGAGAGTGTCCACAATCGCCTGCTGTGTGGTATTTCCCTGACTTGAGCCTTTGCTCATAACCAGCATAGCCCACAAACACCAGCCGTATCCCTCAATTCCTGACTTCTGCTTTCCTGTCTTTACAGAAGAACCCCAGCTGTGCTAATGGTCCTGTAACCTCTCAGCTCAGGGCCATGAGACCTTCTCTCTGCATGAATCTCGCCTCCTCTGCACCCCACACTTCCACACCACTTCCTCATATAACGTGTTATCTGACTACACAACCCTGGAAATGATGTTCCTCCTGATGTGTTCCCAAGCATTCTTGCTATTCTGCTTCCTCTAGAAGCCAGGGAACTTTAGCTGACCAGGTCTGTGTCTTGGGCACCTGCCTTGGTGAGCGACCTCTGAGAATTTCTCACTAAACATTTGTTGAATGAACTAGGAGATATATAAGGGAATGCCTCTTCTGCCTACCATGAGCATGGCCTTAAGTGTTATCTTTGTTGCTTGGCCAAGTCATGGCCTTGAGTCCCAAGTGAGGTGCCCAGCCCTTATTCCTGATCAATAAATACTTTTAGACTCCTGATTATTCTCTTGCTTGCTTGCTTGCTTGCTAATCTCTAATAGATTAGATCTATTCCCTAATCTAATTCTCTGATCTTCCTCCTGAAACTTGGCTCCATATTGAGTTCCTTGCCCTATATCCGTACTTGCACGGCTATTTGCCACCCAGAGTCCCTGTGCTGGCAAATTCAACACCCGGAGCATTATCATTTTGGTGCAATTCCTGAGCACAGCTTGCTGACTCTTCGGTACTTATTGTTTCTATCTGGAATACAAGAGGGAGTATATTATGAGGATGATGGTAAACCCAGATCATGGTGCTCAGAGCAGATCTGAAACTCTGGCAGCGTAACACCTCTCTCCAGCATGGACAGATAAGGGTGATTATTATTTAGTTGGACTTTTCATTTTGAGAGAAATTGTAGGTTCACATGCAAATGTAAGAAATGATGTGGAGACCTATGTACCTTTTATACAGTTTCTCCCAAAGGTAATACCTTCAAAACTATTGTATGATTTCACAAACAGGACACTGACATTGATAGAGTCCAGATTCAGAACATGTCCGTCATCACCAAGGTCCCTCATGTTGCCCTTTTGTGGCCGCACCTGCGTCCTCTTACTCTCCCCATCTCTGCCCCATCTTTAACTCCTGACAACTACTAAACTGTTCTTTGTATAACTACTAAACTGTTCTTTGTATAACTACTAAACTGTTCTTTGTATAACTAAAGTTATAATTTTGTCATGTCAAGAATTTCATATGAATGGAATTACACAGCATGCAACCTTGACTTTTCTTACTCAGCACAACCGTCTGGAGGTTCACCCAGGTTGTGGCATGTGTCAATAGTTTTCTCTTTTGTTGCTGAGTAGTATTCCATGATAGAGATGTACTGCAGTTTGTTTAACCACTCACCTTCCACCTGAAGGGCAGCTGGTTTTTTCCACTTTGGGGGGATTACAAACAAAGCTGCTGCAGACATTCACATGTGGGTTTTTGTGTGAACCTAAGTTTTTTGTGTTTTTTTTTTTTTTTTTCCTGGGATGAATGCTCAGGAGTGCATGCCAGGTTGCACAGACCTTGCATGTTTAGTTTTATAAGAAACTGTCAGACTGTTTTCTAGAGTGATTGCACCATTTTACATTCTCACCAACAATGTATGAGGGATCCAGTTTCTCCACATCCTTGCCAGCATTTGTGGTTGTCACTCTTTTAGCCATTCAATAGTCATGTAATGATATCTCATTGTGGTTGTAATTTGTATTTTCCTAATGGCTAATGATTTTAAATTACCTCTTCATATGCTTATTTGCCACCTGTATATTTTCCTCTTCAGTTAAATATCTCTTCATGTCTTTTCTCATTTCTTCAAATTTAAAAATTCTTATTTATTTATTTTTTATTTTTTTTACTGTGGAGTTTTGAGAGTTCTTTCTATATTCTACATACTAGTCCTTTGTCAGATAGGCAGTTTGCAAGTATTTTCTCCCAGTCTGTAGCTTGACTTTTCATCCTCTTAACAGGGTCTTTCATAGAGCAAATGTTTAACTTTGATGAAGTCTAATTTAACCATTTTTCCTCTTATGGCTCATGCTTTTGGCATCAAGTCTAAGAATTCCTTGCCTGGCCCTAGCTTTCAAATATTTTCTCTTTTTTTCTCTATAAGTTTTATCGTTTTATGTTTTACATATAAATCCATGATCAATTTGGAGTTAATTTCTGCATGAAGCGTGAGACTAGATTGAGGTTTATTTATTTATTTTTTGCTTATGAATATCGATTGCTTCCATACCATTTGTTGAAAAGGGTATCTTTCCTCCATTGAATTGCCTTTGTACCCTTATCTAAAGTCAGTTGGAAATTTTGCGTGGGCCTATTTCTATTAACTTCCACTGGTCTGTGTATCTATCCCTTCACTAATAGCATGTAGCCTTGATCACTGTAGCTATACAGTAAATCTTGACATTAGGTAGACTAATCTATCCCATTTCATTTTTCTTTTTCAAAATTGTTTTAGCTATTCTAGTTTCTCTGCCATTTTATATACATTTAGGATAATCTTGTCTAGATCTATGCAATAATATTGCTGGGATTTTGTTTGCAGTTATATTGACCCATATATCAAGATGGGGAGAATTGACATCTTTACTGTTGAGTCTTCTGATTCATGAATTTGTAATGCTTCTTCATGTATTTTAGCTCTTATTTGGTTTCTTTTGTAGGAATTTTAAGCACACAAGTACTGCACATATTTTGTTAGATTTACACCTACGTATTTCATTTCTCTTGAGTGACTGCAAATGGCATTGCATTTGTAATTTTGGTGTCCACTTGTTCATTGCAGTATACAGAAATAGAATTGAGTTCATGTGTTTATCTCTTATTCTGTAACATTGCTGAACTCATTAGTTCTAGGGTTTTTTTTTTTTGGTTTGTTTTATAGATTCTTTGGGATTGTCTATGTTCACAATCATAGGGATGGTTTTATTTCTTCCTTTCCAAACTATCTGCTTTTATTTTATTTTCTTATTTTATTGCACTGGCAGAACTTCCAGTAGGAAGTTGAATAGGAGTGGTAGAGTGGTCATTCTTGCCTCTCCTTGATCTTATGTGGAAAGCATTCAGCCTTTCATCATCAAGTATAATGTTAGCTATAGGGTTTTATAGATGCTTTTTAGTAAGTTGAGGAAGTCCCCCTCTATTCCTATTTTTCTGAGAGGTTTTCTAATGAATGGGTGTTGAATTTTGTCAAATGGGGCAAGAGGGTGGTAATTCTTCATTATTCCTTACTGTAATTAGTCTGTCAATGTTAATGAGCATGCTATTATTAAGCACCTATTGGATGTTCAGTGTTGTGCTAGGCCCTGTGAGACATATAGGAACCTAAAAATTTGAGCCTTGCCCTCAAGCACTAAGGAAACACACTTTCTAAACCACAATTTAGCATATACCATAAGTGCTGCAGAAGGCCCCAGGCAGCGGAGGCCAGTGTTGCCCTGGCTAGAAGGTGTCACTTAGGTTGGCCTTTGGGCTGGAGTAGAACCTAGATACACAAGAGAGGGGAGTGAATTAGAGAAAATTCAACGGCCTAAAATTCTATTTTCTAACAAGGACAATGGTAAGTTGATAATTAGTAGGATAGAGATAGCTTTTGATTAATGAAGTTGGATTATCTCTATTCTGTGGATTATCCCTGACAAATGCTTAATCCTGAACTTCCTCCCTTTTTGAGCATTTGGGCTCTCTTTTCTGCCATCCGTCAACATGTTCAGGGGAATGCAAACTAATATTACTATTAGCTAAAGAAAAACATAATTAAGGAGGGCAATCTGCTGTCCCTAAATTGTATCATCTTTTCCAAACTAAATATGAGTGATATTGGTACTATCTTTTGTTTGGAGAGATCCACACCACTTCTCTCCCTCTTAAGGCTCAAGAAGAATTGACTGTGACCATGATATACACAATACATTTATTAAGCTGTCTCTCTAACAAGGTAGCTAAACACTTGGGAAGTAAGAGTAATGCCTTAGAGAATTTGGAACCCATGACATCTGATTCATTGGTATTGTTCATATTTGTACATGTTTACTCTAATATAAAGTAATAATATAATAGTGCTGTCATTTGCAAAATTAAAAATCCTGGCACATTACTCATGGGTCATGCTTTGGGTTGTCATTCTAACGGGTTTGGTGGATTTGTATAGATCTGGTCCTCTATCTCACTTTGTCCTGCTGGTGACCAGTGGCTCCTCTTGGAGGCAGATGGCCAGGGTTAAGGGTGGAATCTGAGGCCGTGAGGGAGAGTGAAATTAACTGCTCCCTTCACAAGGGAATTGAACCCCTGACCTTCACCTCATTAGCACAGCACTCCAATGCAGCAATTCCTAACCTCAATTTTATATCACCCCAGGGTGTCTCCACTTATCTCAAGCGGGAGCTGCAGAATTCCTCCAACAAAATTAATTTTAATTCACCTTAATTTAAACATTAAATACGGACTATGAGGCAGCAACTTGCAGGAGTGGGGAAGAATGGCTGTTGTTAATAAATCCCACCACCACAATGCACTGTTATCCAAACACCCCAAAACACCCTCTCGAACCCACTGAGCCAAACAGTGTGGGGAGGAAGAAGTCTATAAGTAAGCAGCAGGCATGGAAGGCTTTTAAATTGAGGGGGAAGCAACACCCAACCCTACCAAACATCTGCATTTCATAGAGACTGTTTCATGTGGTCAGCTGGGGTGCACTCTGACATTCACTGGGCCAGATGGACATATTTCAGCTCCCGTCCAGCCAGCCCATCCCTTTTTCCTCCTAGGGACTGTGATGCTTTGCATAGTCCCAGGAGTTTGCTGCAGGAACATTTTGTGATTTACTAAGAAAATAAATTGGTCTTTGTTGCTGGGGCTTTCTCCTGGGTCAATACAAAAGATTTATCACCTCCATGCCGGCCCACGGAGAGGTTGGCTCAAAGGATTCTCTGGCCACTGGCTTATTCTGGAGACAAGCAGAGTCCCAGCAGAACCTTTGCAGGGCAGGCCAGCAGCCTGAGTGTAAGGCAGGGGAAGTAACCGTAGGAATCAGTTATTGATGAACATCCTTAAAACTCTGTTTGTTTGTTTGTTTGTTTGTTTGTTTGTTTTGAGATGGAGTCTCACTCTGTCGCCCAGGCTGGAGTGCAGTGACGCGATCTCGGCTCACTGCAAGCTCCTCCTTCCAGGTTCACACCATTCTGCCACCTCAGCCTCCCGAGTAGCTGGGACTACAGGCGCCCGCCACCATGGCCAGCTAATTCTTTTTTGTGTTTTTAGTAGAGACTGGGTTTCACCGTGTTAGCCAGGATGGTCTTGATCTCCTGACCTCATGATCCACCGGCCTTGGCCTCCCAAAGTGCTGGGATTACAGGCGTGGGCCACCGCGCCCGGCCGAACATCCTTAAAACTCTTCATGGTCGTTTACTGATAACAACATCCACATGCATTTTTTAAAGGAGAATAAGCATAGTTCCTTACCCTGGCAGTGCACTTTATATAATTTGTCAAAGAGTTTCACATGCATTGTATCTCAATTGTTCTCTACCTACCCAGAATTACCAACTTCATTTTATTGAAGAGCAAATAGACTTGGAAAAGTTAAATGCCTTGCCCAAGGTCGCATAGCTGGTAAATCATGGTTGTAGCACCAGATCCCATGTCTTCTCATATACTGCACTCTTTTCTCTATACTAATCTTATCTTGGTTTATTATCAACATCCATTTGCTTTTGGCAGGGAAGGGTCCAGAATCTTCATTTTACAGAACAACGAATTGAGGTAAGTAAGCGTTTTGGGTCCTGCCTCTTTTTCTGCTGGCACCATGTGCCTTTCTTGCTGAAGGGCAAGGAGTTCTTTTGCAGGCACACTCATTTCTGCTCTCAGAGGCCAGGCTCTCAACCATCATCATCAGTGCCATCCTGCTCATTGGGCCCCACCCTGCCCTCTGTGTCCAGTGGGGGCTTGCATCTGTGATTTCTGGGCAGTGAGGGGGTCATACGTGAACAGTTCCTTCGCATCCTCTTAAAATTGCTCTTTCAGCTCCATAAGTTTCAACTAGTCAAAACACTCTCCTTCACACTTCTTCAAAGATGAGCATTTGTTCTACATATTTTTTTGTAGTCACATTCTGCGAGTGCACACTTTCCCTCTTGGGTCCTTAGACACACCCTTTTCCAGGCATGATTCACTTCCTCAAGCTCCGTTCTGGACACATACATCTGGTGCCACCTGGAAGAGGGCTTATCAGGTCCTCCCACCTGGAATACAGCTTAACCAGAGTTGATTTCTAAGGCATGCAACCAAGAAACCAGACTGATATAAATGGGATATTATTGATTTTATCTGCCTAACCGAGTCTATAAATTTCTGAAAGCCATGGAAGGAACTCTATTTTGTTGCATTCCTCATAACATCTAGAACGGTGCTTTGCATATACTGAGTGCTCAAGGCATATTTGCAGATGGTGACGAGGATGATTTGATGTCGTTTTAAAGGCCGGACATCCAAGAGGAGGTCTGTTCTCTACATGTGCATGCACGTACACTTACACACACTCTCTGACTTGTAAGATGCCCTTTGCAAGAGTCCATTTGGGAAATGCAGTGGGCCCACTGGAAGAAATTCAAGGCCATGGGCCAGCTACACCACGGAAGCCCTACACCCAGCCAAACGTGCTCACTGGCAAGTCAAACCCAAAAGCTGTCATCAAATTCTGCTTCCTGGCAGCCCGGATCCAACAATACTCTGAAAGACAAAAGAAGCAGAAACTCAAGTGAAGATCACCAACGTGTCTTTTTGGGCAACTAGCAGATTGAGCAGAGGGTCAGCACAGACACCAGCAGAGAAGAACATTCTCCTGGCAGGACTCTGCCTCCAAATTCGGCACCACTTCACAGGATCTCAGCCTCACACCTTATGGGATTTATTTTTTTAAAAAAGATCCAACATTTGTTCCTAATTATTCTTAGTAAAACTGCCTTTCTTGATGTGGCACCCATTACCTCATTCATTCAGTCACTCATTCATTCATTCAATGAAACCCCTGTCATCCACGCTCTGGGCTCTTTCTACAGCCCCACGAGATGATCAAGAACTCTGGAAAACAGGTAAGCCATTATCATCAGTGTATATGAAATTATCATCAGTGTATACGAAATATGAAGAAACCCAATTAGATGGAGATATCTCCTACCACACATTGAAATCAGAACTCAGACAAGACTCAGATGTTCTAACTCCAAATTCTGAGCAGTGGCCCCTGGATAAAGGATTATGGAGAAATACTGACCAGAAAAAATACTCTTAAATGGCATATTGTGGTGTTTTAAGGCAAGGTTATTGGTAGTGCTTGTAACTCTCAAAATACTGTTTTGGAAGTTTGTAGTGATTTTGCAGAACGGCTTTGAGTTACCTCTGGGTGTTATCAATCATTGGATAGTTTTCAAAAGAAATCCACCTTAATTTGAGTTAAATAATATGTCATTTAGCCAGATTTCCTCCTGCCCCCAATCCCCATAGGAGTGAGAAGCCATGGCTTGGGGCATTATCTCAGCATCATGGGAATTGCAGAGAGGGTACCACAGCTTTAGAGTTTGAGGTGTTGAGCCTGAACAAAAGGAAAGGGTAAGAAACTTGGGGTGGATAGAACGTGGAACTACTATGAAGAGCTTATTGCATAGAAAAAGAGAAATTTGAGTTTAAAAAAAAAATGGAAGAAAGTAAAGGGAGCCCAAATGGGAACAGTTACCAGAGGAGATTCCCTGGAATTTGAAGGAACCAGGTTGAAGGATGGTTTCCCAATTTGAATAATTATAAGAATCACCTGGTACTCTTTTTAAAACTATAAGTTCCTAGAGCCCCAGTCTTAGACATTGCATTTAGCGTGTCTGGGTTGAGGCCCAGAAATCTGTATTTTTAACAGAAACCCAGGTGATTTTTATAATCAGGAAAGATTTGGGCAATGTCTGCATTTGAAGATGCTGTCTCTCAAAATGAAGAAATACCTGGACAAAGCCAAGTCCAAGACAGGGGCTCTAAGTCAAAAAGGCAAGAGCAAAAACAACATGAGCCTTTACAAAATGTGAATTGGCAAAAAAGCAGCTGTAGCTCATATTTAATAACCTCCCATGGCTTCCAGAGAAGCAGCTGGGTCTGCAGAGTCCTGTTTGTGCACAGGATGAATGGAGTCTGTGTGCCACTCGGGATGCCCCCACAATACCCACATTATCACTGAGGTGGTCCAGCGAGGCATTCATTATGCACTCCCCTGCCACCCAAAGCCTCAGGTCAGGTTTGCCTTGGACACTCTCCCTTCTCCCTTCTCTGAGGCTGAGGGGCTGCAGGGGCGGGTGCCTGAACTCCCTCCCTCTCTCAGGGATGCCTCAGCTCTATGGGACTTCCTCTGGATCGCATGATTGCATTTTCCTGCCTTGGGGCACCCTAAAGGCCTGCCTCTGGGAAGCAGGGTCTAGAGGCATGAGCTTTTCTGGACAACAGAAGCTCAATCTCAGCATCCTAAAGGCCTACCTCTGGGAAGGGGGGGGTCACAGAGGCATGAACTTGTCTGGACAACAGAAGCTCAATCTCCATCTCCAAGCAGTTCGATCCCCCAACACTCTTGGTATTAGGAGGGGAGCCTCTGCAAGTGTGAGGACCGGGGGCCTCTAAACAGGGTTTTTTTCTTTTTCTTTTTTTCTTGAGATGGAGTCTTGCTCTGTTGTCCAAGCTGGAGTGCAGTGGTACCATCTCCACTCACTGCAACCTCTGCCTCCTGGGTTCAAGAGATTTCTGGCTAATTTTTGTATTTTTAGTAGAGACGGGGTTTCACCATGTTGGCCAGGCTGGTCTCAAACTCCTGACCTCAAGTGATCTGCCCACCTCGGTCTCCCAAAGTGCTAGTATTAAAGGCGTGAGCCACCACACCAAGCCCTAAACACAGCCTGAGGCTGGTATCCCAGGAGGCCTTGAAAAATCTCAGGTTTGCTGCTGACAGGTGTGCCAGGAAGAGACCTGGCTGCTGTCTGCAAGTGGCCAAACCCTGATAATCCCGGAAATAAACAATAAAATAAACTCCTCAATGGTGATTATAAAGTACTATTGTTTATCAGCCAGGACCTGTGCTAAGCTTTTCACCTACATTATTTCATTTATATTTCAGAGCAATCCTTTGAAGCAGTCATGTTTATATCAGTTTTATGGATGAGGTCAGAGACTTCTGCTGGTTAAGTACCTTGCCACTATCACACAGCTAGCTAGTAAATAAACTTTAAAAAATTGAAGTATTATGTACATAAAGACAGGCATAGTGTACAACTAAGTGGGTTATCATAAAAGTGAACATACCTGTGTAACCATCCACCCAAATCAAGAGCTAGACTATTACCAGCCTCAGAAAAATCCCAGACCCTCTCCAATAACCTCCTCTTCCCCAATGGTGACCATTTTTGTCACCGAGTATTAGATGGCTAGTTTGTGAATTTTATAAAAACAGAATTCTACATTATATGTTCTTTTTGTCTGACTTTTTTCTCCACTCAGTATGACATCTGTAATGTTGATCTAATGTCATTCATGTACAAGTAGTTTGGTCATTTTTAATGCTATAAAGATGTTCATAGTATGAATGTATCACAATTTATTTATACATTTTTCATTTTGCTGGTTATTTGAGTAGATTTTAATTTTGCCCCATGACAAATAATGCTACTTGGAATGTTCTTGGATAGTTGACCCTTGAACAATGAGGGTCGGAGCAGTAAAAAATTCATGTATAACTTTTGGCTCTCCCAAACTTAACTAGTAATAGCTTACTATTGACCAGAACCCTTACTGATGACATAAATAATTGATTAACACATATTTTGAATGTATATACTGTATTCTTACAGTAAAGTGAGCTAGAAAATAGAAAATACTTTTAAGAAAATTATAAGAATGAGAAAATATATTTACTATTCATTAAGTAAAAGTGAATCATCATAAAGGTCTTCATCCTCACCATCTTCACATTGAGTAGGCTGACGAGGAGGAGGAAGAGGAGGGGTTGGTCTTGTCTCAGGGATGGCAGAGGTGGAGGAAAATCTGTGTATAAGTGGACCCACGCAGTTCAAACCCATGTTGCTCAAGGGTCACCTGTACATGTGTCTTGGTGTACATATTTCGGCATAGGATATACCAAGAAATGTAATTGATGGGTCATAAGGTGTGTGGATTTTCAGCTTTAGTAGATACTGTTTACATAGTTTTGCAAAGTGGCTGTACCAGTTCATTTTCAGCTATGAGAGTCCTGGGGGATCCACATCCTCACCAACACTTGATACTGTTGGTCTCTTTTTACTTTTGCCATCCTGATGAATGTGTTTCAGTTTGCATTTCCCTGATGACTAATGAAATTGAGCAGCTTTTCAAATGCTATTGGCCATTTGGATATCTACTGGCTTATTCAGGTCTCTTGCCTGTTTTTCTACTGGGTTTTCTGTCTTTCCAGGTGATTTGTAGGAGTTCTTTATATTTTCCGGTTATGAATCATTTGTCATTTATATGGATTGTAAACGTCTTCTCTATGGCTTTTCTTTTCATTCTTAATAGTATCTTTTGGTGAAAAGAAGACTCAAATTTTAATGTAGTCCAATTTTTCAATGTTTTCTTTTTTGATTCTGTTTTTGTTTCTGTTATATATAAGTACAACTGACTTTGTATATTGATATTTCAATCCAAGAACCTTGCTGAATTTACTTATTAATTCTGTTAGTTTTTCTATAAATTATTTTGTATTTTCTGCATATGCAATGATATAGTCTGTCAATAATGGCAGTTTTTTTTCTTTCTATTTCTTAAAATTTTATTTGTTTTCTTGCTTTACTGCAAAGGCTAGGACCTCCAATACAATAATGAATAGAAGTGGTGATAGATAGGAAGCATCTTTCTTTTATTCTCAGTATTAGGGGAAAAGTATCAAGATTTGAACATTTATATGATATTTGCTGGAGGGTTTTTTTGTAGATACTCTATCATGTTAAGGCATTTCCCTTTTAGTCGTACTTTCCTAAATACTTCTTTTTTCCTTTTACTATCGCCAGGGGTTGAATTTTATCAAATGCCTTTTCTGAATCTATTGAGCTGATCAACGATTTTCTTCTTTATTCTGTTACTGTGGTAAATTACATAGACTGATTTCCAAACACTGAAATAATCTTGCATTTCTGGAAAAAAATATCATCTTGTTTGTGATGTATTGTCCTGTTTATATATTGCTGAATTCAGTTTGATAACATTTTGTTTAGGATTAGCATCCATGTTCAGGAGAAAGAAATCACCATTTTCTTTCCTTGTCAGGTATTAAGGTTATAAAGCTCTCAAAAATGAGTCAAGAAGTCATTTTTATTTTCTAGAAGAGCTTTTGTAAAGACTGATGTTATTTCATCTTTAAAGGTTTTGAAGAATTCACTGGTGAAGCCATCTGGGCCTGGAGGTTTGTTTTTGTTTTTGTTTTGGTGGAAAGGTTTTTCATTATGGATTTTATTTCTTTAATAGGTACAAGGCTATTATATCAGATATTCTTTTTTTATTTGGGTCAGTTTTAATAAGTTGTGTTTTCCAAAGAATTTGTCTATTTCACCTAGATTTAAACATTTATCATCATAAATTGGTTCTGAACAGCTTTTTGTCTTATTTAGGAGCCACAGATTCTATTGTTAGGGCTTCCTTTCCATTCCTGATAATATTTGGGACTCTTCTTAAAAAAAATTAATCTTATGGGCTTATCGGTTGTATTAATCTCTTTTGTTGTTTGTTTGTTTGTTTGAGATGGAGTTTCGCTCTTGTTGCCCAGGCTGGAGTGCAATGGCGTGATCTTGGTTCACTGCAACCTCAGCCTCCCAGGTTCAAGCGATTCTCCTGCCTCAGCCTCCCAGGTAGCTGGGATTACAGGCGCCTGCCACCATGCCTGGCTACTTTTTTGTTTTTTTAGCAGATTTCTCCATGTCGGTCAGGCTGGTCTCAAACTCCTGACCTCAGGTGATCCGCCCCACCTTGGCCTCCCAAAGTGCTGGGATTACAGGCATGAGCCACAGCACCTGTCCCTGTATTTGTCTTTTTTAAAGACTTGTTTTTATTTTTATTTTTTCACTTTGTTGGTTTTCTTTGTTGTATTATTGTTTTCTACTTTATTAATTCCTGCTATTTATTATTTCCATTCTTATGCTATCTTAGGATTTAATATGCTGTTTTTTTATTAAAATCTTGAGATGGAAACTTATTTCATTGTTTCTTCATCTTTTCTTCTTTTCTTGTAAAGCATTCAAGGTTTTAAATTTCTCTTAAGCATTCTTTGGCTGCATCCCTTACATTTTGATATGTTTTAGTTTTATTACCTTTTTATTGAAATATTTCCTAATTTCCACGGTAATTCTTATTTTGACTCATGGGTTGTTTAGATATGTATTAGTTCATTTTACATCACCTTAATCCGACCAAGAACTGAGCTCTTTAAAGATGGTTCAGGCTTTCTGCAGGCTGAGTTCTTCCTGGATCACCCCTTTGTGGGGAGTCTCAACAGAAGACCAGTGGTATTTAACCCAGCTCTTCCTCCTTGCTGGGCTCTGAATTCCTTTCTGTGCCTCAGCCCCATGAGAGTCCTGGCAACTCTGCTCAACTTCTCAGTTTCCGAGCCACTGCTGGGGAATCCATGCACGCCAAGGAGAAAAGTGGCTGGCACCTCTCCGCTCACGCCTTGTTTCTGGGATCTTAGTGCCTTAGTTTCTCATTGCGTTAGTAGTTTGTTTTTTTTAAAAAATTCTTATTCATTTATTTAGGAGACAGAGGTCTTGCTATGTTGCTCAGGCTGGCCTCAAACTCCTGGGCTCAAGTGACCCTCCCACCTCAGCCTCCTGAGTAGCAGGGACTACAGGCTACTATTAGCTGGTGGTTTTTGATGCCTTCAAATAGATTTGAAAAAGATGTTTTGTCCACATTATCCAGTGTTCTTGGCACGAAGGGCGTCTGATAAGCCAATCTATCCTTACCACCAGGGGACATCCCCTGGAACCAGGATTTAGGCACAGGTCTGTGCACACCCAGACTCCAGAGCCCACACCGCTGCGTGGCAGGGGGAGTTGCCATGTTGGAGTACAGGCCGCCAAATGCGGAGTTGAAAAGGAATGTGAAGCCCTCTTGCTCTCCAGCTCTCTTCTTCATCATCTTCATTATTCTGGATCTAGTCAAGCATTGCCATTTATCTAATCTCAGTTCTAAAATGTGTTGAACACAAATTTTCTAGTTTCTTAGTAAAATTAATCTTTTAAATCACTTACTTTCTAACGGTTGTTCACAGGGCATCTGGGACCTCTTTTTCAAGTTCACCTTCTCCTGGTCTGAAACCAAAATGAAAACAAATAGAATCCAAGTGTGCTGTAGCTCCTGACATCCCTCCGTGGGCTCGGCCAGCCCCTGCATGGAAGCCTCCACATGGGTTCACCAGGCTGTTCTTCGGGCTCTCCCAAAGTGGCTGCTTTTCCGTCAATATGAATGGCATGACTGGCCACATCTCCCTTTTTTCTTCGGGTGCCAGGAAGCCTGGACTGTTGAGCTAACTTTACGGTCCAACCATAGCAACTATGTCAGTGTGCAGATAACTGAAGGTGCCTTTCCCTCCCTGGCTTGGCTTCTCCCTCTTACTTCTCTTCCCAAGCTCTCAATTTGCTTTATTTTTGTATATTTTACCACGATATTGTCTCTCTGTGTGTCTTTATATAAAACTTGAGTTACTCCAGTTCTGCCAATCTGTGTAATCACTTGGCATTTTTATTTGTGTTCATAATTTTCAGCCATGGAGACATTTGAAAGACAACAAAATCGATCCTGGAGAAACAGAGATGTGGGCACTATTGCAATTTATAGAATTTATTGTAAAATTGGACTTTGATGAATCTTTGCCATACATATTCTGTTGCTTAAGATTTTTTGTAACAATTTATGTGTCTATTGCTTTATGTGAAAGACGCTTTTCAAAATTAAAATCAGTAAACAGTGTTCTGTGATTAACCAGGAACAAAAGTAGATGGACAACTGCTCAATGAACATGAAACGATGAAGATCAATTTTTCTTCTAGGTCATGGACAAATTAAAGTAATTAAGTGTTAAAAACAGAGACCATGATGTCATTCCTCATGACTACAATAGACCAATATTTAACTCTAAGCGTATTTCCTTTAAAAAAAAAGTTAACTACAAAAATGTAGTTAAAGGTGCTAATCTACTACTTTTTTGGTACTGTAATATTTACTGTATTATTTATTTTTCTATTTTATGGGCATAACCATCCACAGAAGGGTCAGTAAGAGAGAAATATCACTGCTTTCCTCTTCTATCCATTATTTTTGTTGTTTCGTTTCATGGCTACTACTAAAAATAATGTTGTCACAGAGAAGCAAGGTGATAAAAGGATTCTCTCTGGGGGTCAATCCATGAAGAAAGCTGGAGAAATATCTGCTGAACAGAGTTCATGGCTTCATGTTCTATCTGAGCAAGTCTCATCCTGCAGTCAGCTCTCTTGAGGCTGAGCCAGGTCTTTGCACACCTTTCCTCTGGCTGATGCTTTTAAATTCCCTCTGTCTTCGTCTCTGCTATTGAGTTCGGTCTCCTCCGTGAGTCCCCCACGGGGCCTGGTGAGGACAGGCTCTGTGGGAGCAGCTTTCTGTTTTGAGCCTGTGATGTCTGGCCAAGGAGCGCCTGTCAGCTGCTTGGGCTCCATCTCAGCCCAGAGACGTCGTGCTGTGTGGTCTTAAAGCAGGTCACTTCACCTCTCGGTATCTCTCTCTGTAAAACCCAGATAATAATACTTCCCAAATAAAGAAAGGGTTTTCTTTAAGCCCTTTGAGCTCCTCAGATGGAGCGCACCACAGAAATGCCAAATGCGGCATTGTGATCCGCGCTGCCTCCATGTGATTAGGTAATGTGAGATTGTGGTTCATTATGCTTTGTCTGGAATGAATGCGAGCCCTGCCACAAAGCACTGGGAACTCTCAGTTACACAGAAACCCCATGGTAAGCTTGGATTGGCTTACACTTAAATAAAGCACACCAGAAAAGAGCAGTAGTTTTGACGAACCCAGCTCTGAATTAACACTCATTTGATTTCTTCTGCTGAGTGCGGGCGATAAGTAAGAGATGACCCAGTTACAGGTGCGGGGGGCACAACCAACACTGAGGTGACTGAGTCGGGGGAAGGGCAGCCCCTCTGCAAAATGCTTCAGGCTCCCAAGGAGGCAGGCCCAGAGTGGGCAGGTCTGGACTTACTGCTGTACAGACAAGGGGGAAATTCAATAGCTACCATTTATTGAGTTTCTGCTAGGTGCCAGGAACTCTGCAATGTATGTCATTCTTCTAAACCCTCCAGACAATGGTATTAAACCATATTAATATTCTGAAAACCAAAACAAACACCCACTACACTTGATACATTTTTTTTTTGTACCATAATGAAAGCCTATGTGTTTGGGCCCACAGTTTCAGCCAGGATTTTGACCTGGGGCCTCCTCACTGATCCTGAGGCTTTAAGACCACACAGCATGGGTCTGCGAATTGCAAATGGGAGGCTTACTTTTCCCATTCTTATCCAAGCCTCCAGAAGTGGCTCTGGAGCTAGATCCAGCCTCCTTTCTTACGAAGCCTTGGATACATCCCACTTAGCTTGACAAACTTTTACCGGAATTCTCTGATCCCATTTCACAGCTGTTGCAAAGGTAGGGTCTTGGTTGTGTCTTCCTTCAAGCTGCTTATGAACCAGGGGTGGAGACTAGGAAGTAAGGAACCCTGGAATCAGAGAAGTCAGGAGCAAGCATCTTGTTGGCTTGAGGTTCTCCAGGCACCATAAACCAAGTAGTGCGCATACTAAGAAAACAAGCTGGACAACAAGAGGAGAGCAGGAGGGTCCTTAGGATTGGCTGCTTGTACCATGGCCCCCAGTGGCTCAGTAGAGACAAGGGGAATCCCAGGTAAGTAGACTCCTTTGCTCCCCAGAGAGGAATCTATTGTGTCAATTGCTGGGAAACACGCTCAGTTGAACTGACCCTCTATAGCCGTATGTGCGTGTGGAATCCATTGTTAGGGAAACCATGGTGAGAAGGGAAGTGAGATGCTCTGGATGGGTGCTGAGCTGAGTGCTGATGGAACAGACCTTCCAGAAAAGGTTGCATATTATCCAAGGAAATATCATTGCCTGGAGAGTCCTAGGCTGACTTGCTCTCTTGGGAGCTGATGTTTAGGGAATGGGAGAAGCAGCTGGTTTAAAGCATCAAACAATGTGAAATGAACTTCAGAATCTGCCAAATCCTAAACATTTCTTGCTAAGCACCATTTTTTCTGTATTGTGAACCCATCTGTGCTTCAAAAGCAATTTTGTTTAAATGGCTTCTTCCCCTTACTCCTAATCCTTGGGAAGCTGTAATACACAGGTGGTAAAGGGGACTCCCCAAGAGAGGCTCACTAGGACTGCTGTGAGCCAGATACTGGGCTAACACTGCATAGCACCGAGGGTGTGGGAGATCAGAAGTCAGGAGCCTGCATTCTCAGGGGAGGGACTGGATCCCTGCAAGGAAACAAAGTGTGGTGTGTGTGGCTTCATGATCCACTGGCCTAGGTCTAATAGCGGATCTTTTTGCAAATTTATTTCTTTTTCTTTTCTTTTCTTTTCTTTTCTTTTTTCTTTTCTTTTCTTTTCTTTTCTTTCTTCCTTCCTTCCTTCTTTCCTTCCTTCCCTTCTTTTTTCTTTCTTTCTTTCCTTGCTTTTTTTTTTTTTTGATGGAGTTTTGGTCTTGTCACCCAGGCTGGAGTGCAGTGGTGTGATCTTGGCTCACTGCAACCTCTGCCTCCCGGGTTCAAGCGATTCTCCTGTCTCAGTCTCCTGAGTAGTGGGGACTACAGGCAGGCAACACCAAGCCTGGCTAATTTTGTATATTTGGTAGAGACAGGGTTTCACCATGTTGGCCAGGCTGGTCTCAAACTCCTGACTTCAGGTGATCCTGACCTTGGCTTCCCAAAGTGCTAGGATTCCAGGCGTGAGCCACCGCACCTGGCTTGCAAATTTCTATTTCTAATTGAGCCAGCATTTCTTCCCAAAGGTTCACTGGAAAATCACTGACATGAAGAAGATTGATTAATAGGAAAAAAGGCATACACATTTATTTAACGTGTATACCCAGGAGCCTTCAGAATGAAGACCCAAAGATAGAGGGGAAATTGTCCACTTTTACACTTAGGTTCAAGACAGTATGGATAGTCACATAGAAATATGACTGGACAAAAAGGGTCTGATGGAATGCTAGACTAGACTGAGTGGAAAGCGCAGCAAGGCCTGTCTGCCTAGATTCTTCCAGGCATCCATGCAGCATTCCTTCCTTCTGGGTATGGGACAGGATCCTTTCTGGAGTGGGGGTCTTATGACCTACAGTCAAATAAGATAGGTTAGATGAGGTCTTTATGGCCAGTTTTTACACAGAAAGGTGGAAGGAAAGCTAGAGTTGTATTTTAGGTTTTATGGCTGGCTTTGGGGAAAAGGGGTTCTGGTTTTTATATCCGCCTTGGGGAAGAGGGATTCTGGTTTCTATGGCTGGCCTCGGGGAGAATGAGGGGCAAGAGATAGGAGGGCAGGAGAAGATCAGAGAAAAACTTTTGCTTCTGAGGCTAAGCCTTCCTTTTGGGGTATTGTTTTCTGAGTCCCAACACTTGTTATTTGGAACAACTCATTAGAATGTAGGGACTGGGGCTATGTCATGTATTAACATCTCCCAGGGAGCTGTCAGCCTCCCTCAGCAAATGCTTCCTGAATGCATGAATGAACCAATGAGTGTTGGTCATGCAAAGTCAGTAGTTTTCTGCCAACCCCATGAGTTCCACCAGTCGTCTCCAGAGATTCCTTGCAAAGAACTTGGTACTGGGGCATGTGCTTATAATGTCTCCTTCTTTTTCCTTCTATTCTATCATCCTGTGTCTTGTCCAGCCTCCAGGAGTTCAGTGAGAAAGGAAACACACACACACACACACTACAAAAACCAGGAGAAAAAAACCATTAAAAAATCCCACTGTAGGAAGATTCTGCTGCCTCTAGACATTAGGAAAGCCGCTGACCTAATTCATTTGCTATGGTGGCTTTTTCATCCTCAGGACTGGTGCTGCCTGTGTAGTTCAGCCTGTGAAGGCTCCCTTTCAAGTAGGCCAGCTGCATGGTATTCTGGACTTACAATGTGCAGGGCAGATGTAGTGTCCCCTTGAAATACACTTAACAGTGGGCAACAAAATCCAAAGGCAACCCCCCACAAATATCTAACTTAAAAAAAAAGAGCTTTCTAGATCTCAGTCCTCATCTGGATACTTCATTAGGATCCTGAGACATCTGGGGACCAGCGATGGAAAGAAGGAAAGAGACTTCCATATGTTGAGAGCCTATTATATGCCTGCATTGTGCTAAGCCCTTTCCCATATGTTATCCAATGTAATCCCCCACAAAAGCCCTGCCAGAGTGGAATTATTCTTCTCATTTTACAAATAAGAAAACAGTAGCTCGGAGATGCTAAGTTACTCGCCCAAGGTCACATAGACGGTAAGTGGTAGATGCTGATTTGAATCCAGACAGTGTCATTATCAAGGGGTGGTTTGGGAGGCTTTCGTTGTAACCATCATCTGTAGCAGCCCCCTTCTCCACAATTATCCCAAATAAACACACAATCTAAGTCGGAAGAGCCTACAGGAGGCAAAAATGTAGCTTCAATATGTGCTTCCCTGTCATCTCCCTTTCATTGAGATTATTGCTGCCCCAAATCCTGTCTACACAGACATTCTGGAGTCCGTACTAAATCAAGATTTGTCTGGCTCCAAAGACC
The DNA here is from genome assembly GCF_000001405.40 of Homo sapiens. Classification (NCBI taxonomy): domain Eukaryota; kingdom Metazoa; phylum Chordata; class Mammalia; order Primates; family Hominidae; genus Homo; species Homo sapiens. The sequence goes on from NW_025791756.1 coordinate 929,800, forward strand.
ATGTTCTTTCCAACACAACCAGGATGCCTCTTCTCTTAGATTCCTACCAAGAAGACCTTGCTTCTTGAAACCCTTACCTAGAAGAGCCAATGAATCAGTGTAGGATTTCCCTAATGGTGGCTGGCACCATAGGTTCCAAAATGTCACCACCAGCTCTAAGTCATCAGCCCTTTAAACGCCTCCACACATCCCGGGGTATACTGACGCGAGGAGTCACAGTGGGTAAGCATCACTAGGTTGCAGAAGCACTGGGCTAATGGTGTGGATGAGGGTTTCAATTTACTTGGAAACATCCACGGGCCAAGGTTCAGTTCATTTTAGGTTTCGACTAAGTTTTTCCAGGCTCTAAATGTAGAGAGCAGGGGTGTTTAAAGTGACTGTCCTGACACAGGCTGTTCCCTAGGGGCCACCCTAGCTTCCTTCTTGGAAGTGTGATGTGGGTCCAGAGTTCAGGCCAGCCACGGTCTTGGATTCCAGATGGGAGTTCATTTTTAGAGACCAAATGGTCATAAGTGAACATGTCATCTTGGGCTAGCTGGAAAATACGAACACCAGCTCAGAGTCCAGGAATTCAGGATTGTAAATAGGTGAAAGCACCCTTCACCTTCTCTCCTCCTTCCCTCAAGGTGGTTCACATACAACTATTAGCAATTGACATTCATAGCTCTTGTACTTCATAGTATTTTCATGCCTGAGACTCTGTTTGATCCCTGCAAGTACAGTGTTATGATACTCCTTTTATGGATGATGAATTGGAGACACCAAGAGGTTCAGAGCTTCTTCCAAAGTCATAGAGCCAGTGAGTTGTGAAGACGAGGGGCTCAGTCTTCCAATTCATGCAAAGGGTTGATGTGACATTTTCAGAGCCTAGTTCTAGCTTCATTGTGCTGGAAAGTGGTCTTGGCCTGAGGACAGCAGGGTGCTTCAGAGTCCAGTCTGATGCCCTTTGGCAGCCACACACCCTCCTGTGAAGGCACCACAAATTCCTTGGGAGGGAGACACGTTCCAGATGTGTATGTCACCTCTAGAGAAAACGTGACTTCTTCTGGTGAGCCACATGCAAGGTGTCTCGCTGGCCACTGTGAAGTGGGGAGAGACGCCTGGAGCAAGCCATGATCTCTGCCAGCACTGGAATCACCAACATCCTTGAGCTTCCTTCAGTCTGATGCAGAACCTGAGGACGTGGCCATCTCTTGGTGGTGTTCTGGGAAAGCAGGAAGTCTTCAGACCTGATTGTCTTCAGATTTCAGCCATGGGCTCCCTGGTGAGCCATCTCAGGGGTATAGGGAACATGGATGCCGCCCCGGAGGCAGCTCTCAGGTATGCATCCCCTGGTGGCCCGGGCCTCTCCGGGGCTGGTGGCTCAGGCTGGAGGGACAGGCACCGAATGAGGCTGTGTACTAGATTTCTCCCCTTTCCACATGCTGGTCTTACTGAGGCAGGTTCAGGGGGTGCTCTGAGGGACAGAATGCTGTAGGGGACAAAGAAAAAACATCCCCCTTCTTCCTCTGAGGGTTTGCTGAAAAATCAGCTCACAAAAGGAGATTAATTGGAATAAAGGCATACAGATCAATATGCGCATGGGGGAGAACCGTGGAGTGATTACCCCACCATCTGCATTGAGGTATAGAAGCTTGCATCCCATCCTACAGTTACAGAGAGAATGGGGGCTCAGAGCATGGCCCAAACCAGACTATGGTGGAACAGCAGGTTATGGAGGCAAGATAGGTTATTTGGGGGGAAGAAAGGGAGTCGTGGCTAACAAAGGTGATCTTGTTATGCAGAGGAAATCCCACAGATAGCAGCCCTCAAAGAGAACAGATGATAATTCTTTTTTTTTTTTTTTTTTTTTAAGATGGAGACTTGCTCTGTCGCCCAGGCTGGAGTGCAGTGGTGCCATCTCAGCTCACTGCAACCTCCGCCTCCCGGGTTCCAGTGATTCTCCTGCCTCAGCCTACTGAGTAGCTGAGATTACAGGCATGTGTCACCATGCCCAGCTAATTTTTATATCTTTAGTAGAGATGGGTTTCACCATGTTGGCCAGGCTGGTCTCAATCTCCTGACCTCAGATGATCTGCTCATCTCGGCCTCCCAAAGTGCTGGGATTACGGGGATAATCCTTTTTTAGACCTTTAAACATGTCAGACTCTTGGTTAATCTTTCCTAGATCTGGACAAGGGAAGGTCTTGGAGAAGGCCTGATTGCATCTCTGCAGATGCAAATCTCCCCCACGAAAGACAGCTCTTCAGGGAATCTTCTGTTTGCTGGCTCTCTGAACAACCTTCTCAAAAGATGTCAATGACCTATGTTTTCTATTGAAATATTTTTATTTCTTCCAGCGCAATCTGGGATCTCAGGGGCTGACAGCAGAGAAGTTACCTGAAGGCGCAACAAGCAGTGGTCCCTGTAGGCAGAAGCTACCTGGTGCCCCAGTGATGTGGGAGGCCCTCAGTTCCTGCGCTTCTTGCTGCCTGGGCACATGTTCCTGGAGGATGGCAGGACCTCCTGGCCTCTCCCCTGTCTACCCGCCAGAGCTCTGCTTCTTAAGATAAGACCACCTCTTTCCTCCAGCCAATGTGCTGCTCTTCTGACTTCAAAACACTTGCACTTCCAGGGCTCAACGTACAGTGAGTTCTCAAGGATTCGGTGAATAAATGTACAAATGTCTCCCGTTACAGCTGCCACATTCAGTGGGGTAGGTCTTATGATCATTTCTCTGAGGAAGGGGCTGTGCTCATGGTCTCAGTCTGCAAATTGCAGACTGAGAATCCAACGAAGGCACCTGCTCTCTGCCCCCGCACCCCCCCACCGGCCCCAAGGCTGACCCTCTCCTTCCCTGGTATCAGCTCGAAGCATTGTTGGAGTCCCCAGGGACCCGGATGCTTCCCTGTGTGCCCTGTCTTTGAGGTGCCCGCCATCTCAAGTCAAGACACACAGCAGGGTGTGAGAGGCCAGGGAGCCCATGGGAATTCCAGGGGATGCTCTCAGCGTGTTTTGTGAGGAACGACTGGCTCACCTAGTCAGGCCTGGGACAAAATATCACCTGCTGAAGGATGATTGGCTGTGGCGCTTGCCTTGTGCTGGAAGAGGGCCTCTGAGAGCACAGGGAACTGCCCCTGGGCATTTTCTCACAATTGTTCCGAGGGTTAGAGGCTGGATCCCAGGAACCGCGTGTGGCCACTCTGTCCTTCTTCAGAGAGAGATTCAACTTCCGGAGCCAGGGTCACCCCTAATGGCTCACTTCCCTTCCTTCCCCTGCCAGGATTTTCCCCCAGATTATCTTGGGGTTGTCTCAGCCCTTACCATACCTCATCCTTCCCAGCAGCAGCCCGCCAGCCCCACGCGGAGTGTTCTACTCTTTCCAAAGACAGCCCACATTTCGGGGTCTCCTGCACCCCCAAATGTGGGATTGGTAAGATGCACGCTTCCTGACTTGGGTTTCTTCTTTCATTTGCAGTTAAAAACCATGACCACAAAAGAGACATCCACAACTCGCTGTAATAGGCGCTTGCATAATAGACTTGGGGACAGTGTTTGGGGGAACAGGATAGGGTGGCTCTGTTTTTCCAACAGTTGTGAGATTCATTTTGGTGAAGTAAGAAGGTTTTACAGGGTCCTCTAAGACAGAAGGGGTTTCCTGGGAAGGAAGCTGGCTTATCAACCTGCCTCCTCTCGTTCACCTGGTGCTAGCTGCTTACTTTCCACCCTTTGCCCTCTGCTGAAGGGAGAGTTTGAACATCTTTAGATTCTTTTCTTTGCTTGGCAAGATGTGCCGTATTTATTCAACTTAGCATCAAGGTTAAGCACACAGATCCTTGTCAGAAGCCAGACAGCGAGTGTTCAAATCCCAGCTGTGTCACTTACCAGCTCTGTCACACCTTGGGGATGTGACTTCACTTGCCTTGATTTCCTCATCAGTGAAATGGGGATAATACTAGTACTTGTCCCATAAACGGGGATAATAGTACTTACCTTATATAATAAGGATTACATGTAAACATTTAATATACATAAAGCTCTTGTTTGTTTGTTTTTAGAGACAGGGTCTCAGTCTGTCATCCAGGCTGGAGTGCAGTGGCAAGATGCTAGCTCACTGCAGCCTTGACCTCCTGGGCTCAAGGAATCTTCCTATTTCAGCCTCCTGAGTAGCTAGGAGTACAGGTGCATGCCACCATACCTGGCTATTTTTAAAACATGTTTTTATATAGATGGGGTCTTGCTCTGTTTCCCAGGCTAGTTTTGAACTTCTGGCCTCAAGCACTCCTCCCACCTCAGCCTCCAAAGTATGGGGATTATAGGCATGAGCCACTGTGCCCAGCCAAACAGCTCTTAAAATATACAAAAGCTCTTAAAATAGTGCCTAGCACAGTGTTTACTATTGTCACTATCTACTTGGATTCTCTGCCTGTTGGTCTCCACTTTGCACAATTATTTGTGGACATTTGAGATCGTCGAGTTCTCGAGAACCAGTCAGGCTGATTTACCTCCAATGTACGTGTAATATGTTTTTTTCCTTTTCTGGAACTGAGCAACATCCTCCAAGTTTGTCCACTCTCCGAGTGTCTTAACTGCCCCCGGTAGAGAGGCATTTAGCAAACAGAAACAGATTACAGAGACCCTCGTGGCCACATGCAATTTGCAGTTGCTCTCAAGAGTGGGTGTGGTCACTTGTTGTTCCCTTTAGCCATCATATCAGCTGCCTGGGTGAGGGGTCAGTGTGCCAAACGTTCCTGGTGGGAAATGACTTGGTTTCCCATATGAGCCCCGACCTTCACTGGCCTCTCCCTCTTAGAACTCCCATTAATCACCATGTGTGCTGGTCACTGCAGCTGAATCCATCCACAGGGGCTGCCCAGAAAAAGACAATGACTTCTGCAGGGCTGGGGAGGCTGTCCTCGTGAAAATAACTGAATCTACCCGAGTGTGTGGCCTGTGCTGGGGAAACGTGGGTGACTTGAATGATGTCAGGCAATCAGTGCAATTGAAATATGTCAAAAATGGCTCCATCAACGCACCCGGCTCGTATTTAGCTATAAAATGTGAGGCCAGGTTACGAACCGGAAGCATTTCTTTCAACCAAAGTCATTTGGAAAGGAATATCTTTGACACATCCTTGCTGCCCCTTCCCCCATTGCGGTGTCCCTGGCTGTGTGGCTGGCAGCCTGGCTCTTGGTGAGTCGCAGCTGCACCTGTGCCCACCTTCTTACCACGGGAGTAGGTGCTTCTCCTTTGGGCACCTTCTGGCTTTGCACCGTAAGAGTGAAATACGGTGTGGTCCTGCAAGCTGCTTCTCCAGTGATGTGAAAAGCGTAAGAGAGAGGCTCTGGGAAGGGGCAGATGCTGCAGGTGCAATGATGCCAGCTGTTGAGGACGGTGCCCTGTGCCTGGGGAAGTACATGCTGTAACTGGAGCTCCACCTTGGTACCCCACCGCTGGACCCTCCAAAGAGAGCTCTGACATGTGCCCCATCCCGCCGGCTTCTGCAGCTTCTGGGAGCCAAGAGTGTCAGCCGGAAGGATCCCGCACACGGCGCTTAGTTCTGGAACTGGATACCCGGGGGAGGATGCGGGATCCCGAAGCCCGGGTGTGGGTCCCCGTGGTCTTCGTGTTGGGGGTAGGTGCAGAACGCTAAGCCTGGGCCTATTGGGAGCCATAGTCTTCTTGATGGCTGGTGCTTATTGGGCTTTTTTCAGTCAAATTTCAAAATGCAGTTGGATTTCTTACTTTGGAAACGATAATAGAAATGGCTGACCTCAGATTTTCATGATTATGTTTTGCCTTTTCCAGTGTATGTGCAGTTTCTGTAGTATAGTGGTTATCATGTTTGCCTCACATGTGAAAGACCCTTGGCTCGAGACTGGAGGGAAACATGGTTTTTTGGTTTTTCTTTTTGTCCCTAAATTTAGTGAGTTTAATCGAGGTTGGGAAACAAACAGAAAAGTAGTTGAACCTGTGGCTACACTTTAGACCTCCTCAATCTAGACAGATCGTTGACCAGGCTACAGTTTCCACTGGTCTGCCAGCAAGAGGCCTGCTTAATATTAGCTTTGCTTCCAGAAATTCCTTAAGATTCTCTTCATTCTCTTCTGTCGCCTGAATTTTCACAGGCTGACACTGAAAGTGGATGACATCTTAGTGCATTTCCTAAGTGTCCCGCTTGGCTTCGCTTCACTCTGATAAGTTGCAGATCTGGCTGATTTGCGAGACAAAAACAAAATATTTTTTTAAAAGGTTCTAAATCTGCATCTGGAACTCGTAGAGTCAATAATCTGAAACCACACGAATTATCTACATACAAAAGATTTTGAATGCATACCCCTTCCCCAAATAATCCTCAGAAAACCGGTTAAGTTTTAGCATCTGTGACTCTGAGATACATATGAGGCCTTTGTAAATTTAGAAGTTGAGAGTAGAAAGTACAGGTTTGTATTTTAGAAGGAGATTTGGGAATAAATATAGCTCTGGTGGATATAGATCATATGTTAAGGTTTGTTGGCCAGAGCTGGTGTGTGTCTTGGGTGTTGGGCAAAGAACAGAGAACAGCCAAAGCTCTGCGAGGTCAATGTGAAGGGTGATTTCCTTGGTGGGCTCAAGTTTATGACGCAGCCTGGACCTAGCTTGGCTTCTCAGCTAGAGAAGAAGCATGATTCCATGTCACAGCTCCTGTCTTTGAAAAAGTCATAATGACTCCCAGACCCAACATGTGGGGAAAACTCTGGATTTGTCTCTTCAGTTGAATGTCTCCATTGAAAATTGAGGAAAGAAATCTCTCTACTATTTGAACTTCATCAAAAGACGAATATGTTAATATTTTGACCGTCAATATTTCCTTAAACTAGTCTACTCCTTTCATAGCTAACACATCAAAGCATATTAACTTAGGAAATGGGATTCTCCCAAACAATGAAACATTGACGGCAAGGGTTCTTAATCTTTTCACATCACATTTCCTTCAAATGCTTTATACATCCTCAAGCAGACAAATAATAGTATTATAATGATTACGAGACCGATCATTACTCTTTTGCCAAAAAAACCAGCGACAAAAGACTAACTTAGTGGACCAACCTTTGTTTCTTCATTATCTGTACATTGATTCTGTCCTTTTATTTCATCTTTCTTCTAATTCTGCTTCTGCTTCTTATTTCCTCCCTGGATTTGAACTTTATTTACCTAAACTACCAGTTAGGTTACCTTCTCAGAACCTCTAAGGCAGCAGTTTGAGATTGACGATGGAAGATTTAAGATTAGAAAAAAGAAACATGAATGAATTTCTGATGTTTTATTATAGGGGTTTATAATGCAGGTAGAAAGACCTTTTTCAGACTTAAGAGTTTGATCCACCAAATGAGCTATTTTGATATTTATAACTTTGTCTAGTAAAAGTTTCCTATAAAAACATTTGGTTTGGATGTCTTTGTTAGCTTTTAGTCGACACTTGAAAAAGGCGGTTGGAAGTTTCTAAGTCTTTGTGGATACTCTTTTCTGTTATCCTCCAGGCTGTGGCTGTGGGGAGGCATTGGTGGTTCCGTGGTAGCATTCTCGCCTCCCACGCGGGAGACCCGCGTTCAATTCCCGGCCAATGCAGCAGGGACTTTTTCACTTCATTATGGCCCTTTACCCGTCTTTTACGCTGCAAAATTATACTGCATAACCTAATAGTGCATTTAGGGGCTTGGCCACCACAAGGTAAAGTGACAACATTACTCACGAGAGTAGCGGCAAGAGACATTCAGGACACTAACCCAGGACCCATGCAATTGTTGGACTCAAACAGCTTAGCAAAGTGGCAAGCACGAAGTCTTTCCGGTGAGTCACTGCAGTTTTGATATTGGTACCTGTTACTTTCATCTATTCACGGGGCGGATCCCTGCAAACCCGAAGAATCATCAGGTTCCTGATTCACGTGCTGGACCTTGGGCTTACTGCTGAGCCACTGTAGAGAGGATCAAGAAATGACGCTCTTGGAAGGAGAGAAGCTGCGGGCAGGACAGTCACGTCAGAGGTCCAAGAGGCTTCAGCGGCCCAAAGAAAGGGAAGGTGTGTGGGGAAGAATCTGCGTGGAGATGAGGGGGGCGGCGGGGACTGGTCCTTGCGCAGAGGTGGCCAGTGGACCCTCAGGGCTGTACCCCAGACACCGTGAACCGAATTTGCTCACATCGTCAGCGAGGGATTCCGTGTGTCTGGCAATGTCTGTCAACAGGTGTTGGCCTGAAATTTGGCCGGGCACGTTGGCTCACGCCTGTAATCCCAGCACTGTGTGAGGCCGAGGCGGATGGATCGCTTGAGGTCAAGAGTTCAAGACCAGCCTGGCTAACATGGAAAAATCCCGTCTCTACTAAAAATACAAAAATTAGCCGAATGTGGTGGCATGCACCTGCTATTCCGGCTACTTGGGAGGCTGAGGCAGGAGAATCGCTTGAACCCAGGAGGCAGAGGTTGCAGTGAGCCAAGATTGCGCTACTGCACTCCACCTGGGCGACAGAGCGAGACTCCTTCAAAAAAAAAAAAAAAAAAGCAGCGAAAGAAGGCAGAGATGTCAATGGGACAAAGAGACCTCCCAGGAGGCTTGTTGTAGAGGCAGTGGGTGGATCCTGGGAGATGAGATTTTTTTAAAATTATGTAGCAGAATGGGGAGAGAAACGGAGAAGCGCATGAAAGAGAGAAAAGCACGAAAATCGGCGGCGTCCAAGAATGAAGCAGATAAAATAGTGTGAGTGTTTTTACATTAAAAAAATAGAAGAAGTGCAATGCTTGTCAGCAGACTTTGTGGTCGTGTAGTAGTTAATACTTGTAGTTGTGGTTGCCACAACCTCGGTTCTAATCTGAGTCACAGTAGTGTTTTCTAGCCTGCGATTGTGGCTAATAGACCTGTCGTTTGCTTTGCCTTTAATCCTAGCAGCCTCCAGAGAGCAGAGTAAACCTCTGGCCCTGAAGGGCGCCAGCTTCTGGAGTTTAGCCCACAGCGCAGAAACTAGGGGGCGGCCTGGCCGATAGGAAAACTTGGACATGCTCTTTGTCTCACAATTGAGCAGGAAAAATTCCCGTAGGTGAAGATGCCGCCTCTCAAGGGCCCTTTGTCTGTAGCTTCCACTGGTGAAATAATGCGGTTATAGTCTTTTTCGGTAGAGAAAACGGCTGTATCAGTGGAATTTTTTAAAAACACAAAACGAGAACGAGTTTTTAATGAGTTGACAATAAAATCTAAACTAGTTGTCATGGTCTGCACAGGCTTGCCTCCATTCCCCATCCGCTAATTTTTATGAGAACAGTAAATTATTACTATTATCATTGTTTTTGAGACGTAGTCTTGTTCTGTCACCCAGGCTGGAGTGCCGTGGATCAATCTCGGCTCACTGCAACCTCTGTCTCCCAGGTTCAAGCAATGAGAACAGTAAAGAAGCTACAGTTCACATAAAGTGCACAAATCTTTAGTGCAATTTGTTTAGTTTTGATCAATGTTATCACCACCCAGCTCAAGTTATAGAAAATTGCCATCATCTGAGAAAGGCCTGTTAGAGCCCCTGTCCAGGTGATTCCCACCCTGTGTCTTCTTAGTTAATCACTATTCTGATGTCTATTCCCACAGGTTACAATTGCCGGTTCTTAAAGTTCACATGAATGAATGTACATATGTTTTGTGTCTGGCCTTTTTCTCCAGTTACATTCATTATACTCATGAGATATATCCACGTAGTTTCATAGATCACTTCTCAATTTTGGGGTTATTGATTTCTTGTGCTGAATATTCTTATAACAGTCTTTGTGTGCACTTGAGATTCATGGAAGTCCTTCAATTGCTGGGTCATGACCTGAGTATAAGTTTAACATCAGTATAAATTGCCAGTCTTCTAGAATGCTTTTTCGCCAGCGATGACAGTTGAAGTGGCACCAAATTCTTGTCAGCATTTGGTGTACTAACTTTGTTAAATGTAGCTATGCTCTCAGACCAGGCTGGCCAACATGGCAAAACCCTGTCTCTACTCAAAATACAAAAATTAGCAGGGCATGGTGGCATGCACCTGTAGTCCCAGCTACTCCAGAGGGGGATGTTGCGGTGAGTCAAGATCGCAGCATTGCACTCCAGCTTGCGTGACAGAATGAGACCCTGTCTCAGAAAAAAAAAAAAAAGTAGCCATACACTGGTGAGTGGTTAGTGCTATCTCAGTGTGGAATTAATTTGTATTTGCCTAATGAGCAATCCTATGAAGCGTATTTTCTTATGGCTTCCAGCATATAAGAAACTCTCCTTTGCAAAGGCCTATTCGAATATTTTGCCCTATTTTATTTGGCTTAGCTCTATATTACTGACTTACAAAAGTTCTCTTATATATTCAAGAATTGAGTCTTGTTTTGACGTTTTTTAAATTATACTTTAAGTTTTAAGGTACATGTGCACAACGTGCAGGTTTGTTACATATGTATACATGTGCCATGTTGGTGTGCTGCACCCATTAACTCGTCATTTACATTAGGTATATCTCCTGATGCTATCCCTCCCCCTCCCCCCACCCCACAACAGTCCCCGGTGTGTGATGTTCCCCTTCCTGTGTCCAAGTGTTCTCATTGTTGAATTCCCACCTATGAGTGAGAACATGCGGTGTTTGGTTTTTTGTCCTTGCGATAGTTTGCTGAGAATGATGGTTTCCATCTTCATCCCTGTCCCTACAAAGGACATGAACTCATCATTTTTTATGGCTGCATAGTATTCCATGGTGTATATGTGCCACATTTTCTTAATCCAGTCTATCATTGTGGGACATTTGGGTTGGTTCCAAGTCTATGCTATTGTGAATAGTGCCGCAATAAACATACGTGTGCATGTGTCTTTATAGCAGCGTGATTTATAATCCTTTGGGTATATACCCAGTAATGGGATGGCTGGGTCAAATGGTATTTCTAGTTCTAGATCCCTGAGGAATCACCATACTGACTTCCACAATGGTTGAACTAGTTTACAGTCCCACCAACAGTGTAAAAGTGTTCCTATTTCTCCACATCCTCCCCAACACCTGTTGCTTCCTGACTTTTTAATGATCACCATTCTAACAGGTGTGAGATGGTATCTCACTGTGGTTTTGATTTGCATTTCCCTGATGGCCACTGATGATGAGGATTTTTTCATGTATCTTTTGGCTGCATAAATGTCTTCTTTTGAGAAATGTCTGTTCATATCCTTCGCCCACTTGTTGATGGGGTTGTTTGTTCTTTTCTTGTAAATTTGTTTGAGTTCTTTGTAGATTCTGATGAAACTACAGATGAGTAGATTGCAAAAATTTTCTCCCGTTCTGTAGGTTGCCTGTTCACTCTAATGACAGTTTCTTTTGCTGTGCAGAAGCCCTTAAGTTTAATTAGATCCCATTTGTCAATTTTGGCTTTTGTTGCCATTGCTTTCGGTGTTTTAGACATGAAGTACTTGCCCATGCCTATGTCCTGAATGGTATTGCCTAGGTTTTCTTCTAGGCTTTTTATGGTTTTAGGTCTGACATTTAAGTCTTTAATCCATCTTGAATTAATTTTTGTATGAGGTGTAAGGAAAGGATCCAGTTTCAGCTTTCAACATATGGCTAGCCAGTTTTCCCAGCACCATTTATTAAATAGGGAATCCTTTCCCCATTTCTTGTTTTTGTCAGGTTTGTCAAAAATCAGATAGTTGTAGATGTGTGGCATTATTTCTGAGGGCTCTGTTCTCCTCCATTGGTCTATATCTCTGTTTTGGTACCAGTACCATGCTGTTTTGGTTACTGTAGCCTTGTAGTATAGTTTGAAGTCAGGTAGCGTGATGCCTCCAGCTTTGTTCTTTTGGCTTAGGATTGACATGGCAATGCGGGCTCTTTTTTGGTTCCATATGAACTTTAAAGTAGTTTTTTCCAATTCTGTGAAGAAAGTCATTGGTAGCTTGATGGGGATGGCATGGAATCTATAAATTACCTTGGGCAGTATGACCATTTTCCCGATAGTGATTCTTCCTACCCATGAGCGTGGAATGTTCTTCCATTTGTTTGTATCCTCTTTTATTTTGTTGAGCAGTGTTTTGTAGTTCTCCTTGAAGAGGTCCTTCACATCCCTTGTAAGTTGGATTCCTAGGTATTTTATTCTCTTTGAAGCAATTGTGAATGGGAGTTCCCTCATGATTTGGCTCTCTGTTTGTCTGTTATTGGTGTATAAGAATGCTTGTGATCTTTGCACAAGAATTCTGTATGCTGAGGAGTCATTTTTAAAATAAATATATTGCAAATGACTTTTCCCAGTCAGTGAAAAGTCTGACTGAAAGCTGTCAACTGAAAAATCACACAATTTATAAATTTAGAAGGGAGATTTTATTTTTTATAAATGGTTACAGCCTGCAAGGTGGCCATTCCGACAGACAGGGAGGCATACCCTCCTGCTGAAACCTGAAAAGTACGTTTCCAGGGAGGGGAGGGGGGAACAGGGATTTATGTTGATGTGGTGGGCCACATATACATATTCAACAGGGAATAGGAGGAGCTCTGAATATTCATGAAGGGATCCTGCTGCATGCATGCTGAGTAAACATGCCTGTTACATGCAACCCATGTTCATTTTGGGGTGGAGACAACATTTAAATACATTATAATTAGGCCCTATGCTTCAAAAGGGGAAGCAGGGACACAAAGGCAGTCAAGTGCACAGCCTCTGTAAACCGTCCAGAACCCGTCCACAGCCAGTGCTCTCTTATCAAGGGGAAGTTACTGAAATCAGTCTCTTGTCCAATCAAAGCTGTAGTTATGGCTTGTGTAGGGAGGGCTCAGTCAGTTTATGGTAATGGGTGAGCTGCAAGTGCTTCAGCATTGCTTATCTCAAGGCCAGTGCTTGTTTAGCTAGAGAAAAAAAGGAAGAAGAAAAAAACCTGTGGCAATTGGAACATAGTTTATTCTTTAAGTTGAGGGGCGCATGACTCCACCTTGCCTGGCGTGGCCTTAGGTCTCGTTTATCATACCATATCTTACTACTGCAAGGAGTCTGTTCTGTCAGTCTTAGGATCTCTATTTTAACAATAATGCTGGTCAGTTGTGTCTAAACCACAAAGGGAGAGAGTATAAGGAGAGGTGTCTGAGATTCCAACTACTGGGCAGGAACTCAGTAGTTAAGACTTCTCTGGGGTCTCCTTGGCCAAGAAGCAGTCTGTCCAGTTGGTTGAGTGGCTTTGGATTTTAATTTTAGTTCTCAAAGCATTTAATTTGATGAAATTTTGCCATATTTTTTCTTTATTTTTAAAGCCTGTTATGTTCTATAAGAAATCTTTCTACTCAGGATAGTGAATGTATTCTCTTAATTTTATCTCTCTATGAGTTCCAGCGTTTTAGTTTTAATTTTTAAATTGATGACATCTAAAATTCTACTCCTAACCAAAACATTCCTGGGGGTGACCAAGGACAACTCCAAAAATCTTCCATAAATGGAAGTAAGACTTACTCCTTGAAGAACTTACTGGGATCTGGGCCTGCAGGGCACAGTGGCTTTAGTGCACCTCTGCTCTTACGACTATTCAGAAATTGTCTTTGTGAACCCATCAGGCTGTTTCAAAATCAGCAATTTAGGGCTTGCTTGCAACATGCAGTTATGCAGCAGCTGTTTTGTGGATCTGGTGAGTGCCTGCACGCATAGTTCCCCGGGAATTTTCTGAATTTGAATTCTCATGGTATTTCAAGTGGCTCAGTTGTCTCTTTCTTTTCTTTTTTTTTGAGTCAGAGTCTTGCTCTGTCACCCAGGATGGAGTGCAGTGGCTGGAGTGCAGTGGCGCGATCTCAGATCACTGCAAGCTCCGCCTCCCGGGTTCACGCCATTCTC